>NC_000011.10:5817575-6120606 GCF_000001405.40 Homo sapiens | reverse complement strand
AATTGAATACCCTTTATTTCCTTCTCCTGCCTAATTGCCCTGGCCAGAGCTTCCAACACTATGTTGAATAGGGGTGGTGAGAGAGGGCATCCCTGTCTTGTGCCAGTTTTTAAAGGGAATGCTTGCAGTTTTTGCCCATTCAGTATGATATTGGCTGTGGGTTTGTCATAGATAGCTCTTATTATTTTGAGATATGTCCCATCAATACCTAATTTATTGAGAGTTTTTAGCATGAAGGTTGTTGAATTTTGTCAAAGGCTTTTTCTGCATCTATTGAGATAATCATGTGGTTTTTGTCTTTGGTTCTGTTTATATGCTGGATTACATTTATTGATTTGTGTATATTGAACCAGCCTTGCATCCCAGGGATGAAGCCCACTTGATCATGGTGGATAAGCTTTTTGATGTGCTGCTGGATTCAGTTTGCCAGTATTTTACTGAGGATTTTTGCATCAATGTTCATCAAGGATATTGGTCTAAAATTCTCTTTTTTTGTTGTGTCTCTGCCTGGCTTTGGTATCAGAATGATGTTGGCCTCATAAAATGAGTTAGGGAGGAGTCCCTCTTTTTCTATTGATTGGAATAGTTTCAGAAGGAATGGTACCAGTTCCTCCTTGTACCTCTGGTAGAATTCGGCTGTGAATCCATCTGGTCCTGGACTCTTTTTGGTTGGTAAGCTATTGATTATTGCCACAATTTCAGCTCCTGTTATAGGTCTATTCAGAGATTCAACTTCTTCCTGGTTTAGTCTTGGGAGAGTGTATGTGTCGAGGAATTTATCCATTTCTTCTAGATTTTCTAGTTTATTTGCATAGAGGTGTTTGTAGTATTCTCTGATGGTAGTTTGTATTTCTGTGGGATCGGTGGTGATATGTTCGTTGGCCACATAAATGTCTTGTTTTGAGAAGTGTCTGCTCATGTCCTTTGCCCACTTTCTTGTGCCAGCTTTCAAGGGGAATGCTTCCAGCTTTTGCCCATTTGTTATGATATTTGCTGTGGGTTTGTCATAAATGGCTCTAATTATTTTGAGGTAAGTTTCATCAATACCTAGTTTATTGAGAGTTTTTTATGTGAAGAGATGCTGAATTTTATCAAAGGCCTTTTTTTGCAACTATTGAGATAATCACATGGTTTTTGTCTTTAGTTCTGTTTATGTGATGAATTACGTTTATTAATTTGCATATGTTGAAGCAGCCTTGCATCCCAGGGATGAAGCTGACTTTATCATGGTGGATAAGCTTTTTGATGTGCTGCTGGATTTGGTTTGCCAGTATTTTATTGAGGATTTTTGCATGGATGTTCATCAGGAATATTGGCCTGAAGTTTTCTTTTTTTTGTTGTATCTCTGCCAGATTTTTGTATTAGGGTGATGCTGGCCCCATAAAATGAGTTAGGGAAGAGTCCCTCCTTTTCACTTGTTTGGAATAATTTCAGAAGAAATGGTACCAGCTCCTCTTTGTATCTTTGGTATAATTCAGATGCAAATCCATCTGCTCCTGGGCTTTCTTTTGGCTGGTAGGCTATTTATTACTGCCTCAATTTCAGAACTTGTTATTGGTCTATTCAGGGATTCAACTTCTTCCTGATTCAGTTTTGGGACGGTGTATGTGTCCAAGAATTTATCTATTTCTTCTAGATTTTCTAGTTTATTTGCATAGAGGAGTTTATGGTATTCTTTTATGGTTGTTTGTATTTCTGTGGGGTCAGTGGTGATATCCCCTTTATCATTTTTTTGTGTCTATTTGATACTTCTCTCCTTTCTTCATTAGTCTAGCTAGAAGTCTATCTATTTTATTAATTTTTTCAAAAAACCATCTCCTGGATTCATTGATTTTTTGAAATGTTTTTCATGTCTGTATTTCCTTCATTTCCACTTTGATTTTGGTTATTTCTTGTCTTCTGCTAGCTTTGGGGTTTATTTGCTCTTGGTTCTCTAGTTCTTGTAGTTGTGATGTTAGGGTGTCAATTTGAGATCTTTCTAGCTTTTTGATGTGGGCATTTAGTGCTACAAATTTCCCTCTTAAGACTGCTTTAGCTGTGCCCCAGAGATTTTGGTATGTGGTCTCTTCATTCTCATTGGCTTCAAAGAACTTCTTTATTTCTGTCTTACTTTCATTATTTACCCAGGAGTCTTTCAGCAATCACTTGTTCAATTTCCATCTAGTTATGTGGTTTTGAATGAGTTTCTTAATCTTGAGTTCTAATTTGATTGCATTGTGGTCTGAAAGACCATTGTTTCAGTTCTTTTGCATTTGCTGAGGAGTATTTTACTTGCAATTATGTGATCGATTTTAGAGTAAGTGCCACATGGCACCAAGAAAATGTATATTCTGTTGTTTTTGGGTGGAAAGTTTTGTAGATATCTATCAGGTCCACTTGATCTAGAGCTGAGTTCAAGTCCTGTATATCTTTGTTAATTTTCTGTATCAATGATCTAATATTGACAGTAGGGTGTTAAAGTCTCCCACTATTATTGTGTGGGAATCTGTCTCTTTGTAGGTCTCTAAGAACTTGTTTTACGAATCTGGGTTCTCCTGTATTTGGTGCATATGTATTTAGGATAGTTAGCTCTTCTTGCTCTTCTTGTTGAACCCTTTACCATTATGTAATGCCCTTCTTTGTCTTTTTTGATCTTTGTTGCTTTAAAGTCTGTTCTGTCAGAAACAAGGATTGCAACCCCTGCTTTTTTCTGCTTTCTGCTTGCTTGGTAAATTTTCCTCCTTCTATTCATTTTGAGACTGTGTGTGTCTTTGCATGTGAGACAAGTCTCTTCAATATAGTACACCAACGGGTCTTGGCTTTTTATTCAGCTTGTCTTCTGTCTCTTTTAATTGGGGCATTTAGCCCATTCATATTTAAGGATAATATTGTTGTGTGTAAATTTGATCTTGTCATCATGATGCTAGCTGATTATTTTGTAGATTTGTTGATGTAGTTGCTTCATAGTGTCAATGGTCTCTTTACTTCAGTGTGTTTTTGTAGTGGCTGGTAAGGGTTTTTCTTTTGCATAGTGTTTCCTTCAGGGGCTCATTCAAGGTAAACCCAGTGGTGACAGATTCCCTCAACATTTGCTTGTCTGAAAAGGATTTTATTTCTCCTTTGCTTGTGAAGCTTAGTTTGACTGGATATGAAATTCTGGATTGGAAATTCTTTTATTTAATAATATTGAATATTGGCCCCCAGTCTCTTCTGGCTTATAGGTTTTCCACTGAGAGGTCCACTGTTAGTCTGATGGACTTTCCTTTAGGTGACCTGGCCTTCCTCTCTGGCTCCCCTTAACATTTTTTCCTTCATTTCAACCTTAGAGAATCTGATGATTATGTGTCTTGGGGTTGATTTTCTCATGGAATATCTAACTGGGGTTCTCTGGATTTCCTGAATTTGAATGTTGGCCTGTCTTGCTAGGTTAGGGAATTTCTCCTGGATGATATCCTGAAGTATGTTTTTCAGCTTGTTTCCATTCTCCCCATCTCCTTCAGGTACCCCAATCAGCCGTAGGTCCAGTCTTTTTTATATAATCCCATAGTTCTTGTAGACTTTGTTCATTCCTTTTTATTCTTTTTTCTCTAATCTTATCTTTCTGTCTTATTTCAGCAAGACAGTCTTCAAGCACTGAAATTTCTTCCTCCGCTTGGTTTATTTGGCTATTGGTACTTGCAGTTGCATTGTGAAGTTCTCATGTTGTGTTCTCATTTTCAGCTCCATCAGGTCATTTATGTTCCTCTCTAAACTGGTTATTCTGGTTAACAGCTCCTATAATGTTTTATTGTGGTTCTTAGCTTATTTGCATTGGGTTAGAACATGCTCCTTTAACTCAGTGGAGTTAGTTATTACCTACCTTCTGAAGCCTATTTCTGTCAATTCATCCATGTCAGCCTCAGCCCAGTTCTGTGCCCTTGCTGAAGAGGTGTTGTGATCATTTGGAGAAGAAGAGGCACTCTGGCTTTTTGAGTTTTCAGCATTTTTTCATTGACTCTTTCTCATCTTTGTGAGTTTATCTAGCTTTGATCTTTGAGGCTGCTAACCTTTGGATGGGGTTTTTGTGGGAACTTTTTTGTTGATGCTGTTGTTGTTGCTTTCTGTTTGTTTTTCTTTTTACAATCAGGCCCCTCTTCTGTAGGGCTGCTGTGGTTTTCCAGGGGTCCACTCCAGACCCTATTTACCTGGGTCCCTCCCATCCCTGGAGGTGTCACCAGTGGAGACTGTAGAACAGCAAAGATGGCTGCCTGCTTCTTCCTCTGGGATCTCCGTGATGCCAGTGGGAACGCTCCTGTATAAGGTGTCTGGTGACCCCTGTTAGGGTCTTATCCAGTCAGGAGACATGAGATCTGGGACCCACTTTACAAAGCACTCTGGCTACCCCTTGGTGGAAGGGGTGCACTGTGATGGGGGGAATCCCACTTGTCCAGACTCCCCAGATTTCTCAGAGCCAGCAGGGGGAAAAATTAAGTCTGCTGATCCATGGGGATGGCCACCCCTCCCCCCAGGGGCTTTGTACTAGGGAGATCAGAGTTCTGTCCATAAACTCCTGGCTGGAGTTGTTGAAATTCCCTTAGGAAGACCTTGCCCGGGATGGTTCAGGGTCTGGCCTAAAGAGGCAGTCTGGTCATGATTTGCCACAGCCTTTGTGTTGCACTGTGGGGAATTCATCCTGGGTCCAAACCATCCAATCTCCCTGGCACTGGCAGGGGAAAAATGCCAGACTGGAGCTGCAGTGATGGCTGCCACTCCTTCCCTTGGGAGCTCACTCATCTTAGGCAGCAGGCAGCTGCAGTGATGGTGGCTGCCCCTTCCCCCAGGAACTAGGTAATCTTAGGCAGTCTTTAGCCAAGTGGCCACAGAGAATCTGCACGGCTCTGTGCTTGTGACCCAAGGCCCCGGTGGCATGGGCTCATGAGGGAGATCTGATATGCAGGTTACATTGATCTATGGAAAAAGCATGGTTTCCCGAGCAGAGTAGCTCAATCACTCACTGCCTTCCTTGGCTGGGGGTGGAAGCTCCCCCTGCCCTGTGTGGCTCCCAGGTGGACCATTGCACCACCCTTCTTTTTCTCACTCTCTGTGGGTTGCACCAACTGCCTAGTCACTCCCAGTGAGAGAATCTGGATACCTCAGTTGCCAGTGCAGGATTCACTCACCATTTTTGTTCTTCTTGGTGGGAGCTTTCTACTGCGGCTCTTTCTAGTTGGCCATCTTGGCATCTTCCCCATGATTTCAATGTTTTAAAATTTATTGAATCTTATCATGGCCTAGCATATGGTCTACCTTGGAGAATGTTACAAATGCTCTTGAGAATAATGTGTATTCTGTTGTTGGGTTAGAGTGTTCTATATATGCCTATTAGGTTTAGTTGGTCTATGTCTTCCTTCAATTCTATCAGTTTTTGCTTTATTTATTTAGGGGCTCTGTTTTTTGGTGCATATATATGTATAATTGTTGAAGTTGCTTGACAGATTTGCCTTTTTGCCTTTTATCATTATATAATATTGTTCTTCATCTCTCATAACAGTTTTAAAAAATCTGTTTTGTCACATATTAGTCTAGCTATATATACTTATCTATGGGGGATATGCTCTAAGATTCCGAGTGAATGAATGCCTGAAACCACAAATAGTACCAAAACCTATGTACACTATATGTGACATTTGATCTGATACTCTAGAGGATTACTAAGTGACTAATGGGTGGATAGCAGTGTGGATATACAGTGTGGATATCCTGGACAAAGGGAAGATTCATGTCCTGAGTGAAATAGAGTGGTGTGAGATTTCATCATGCTACTCAAAGTGGTATGCAATGACAAACTTATGAATTGTTTATTTCTGGATGTTTTAATTTAATATTTTAAGATCATGGTTGAATGCAGTTAACTGAAACCATGTAATGTAAAACCACGGATAAAGGGGGACTACTGTATACTCATATATTGTATTCTAGTATAATATAGGATAGCTTTCTTTTGCTCACTATTTGCATAGAATATCTTTTCCCACCCTTTCCATTTCGAAGTATTTGTTTTTTATTTTAATGTGAGTCTCTTGTAGATAACCTATTATGTTTCCTTTAATCCATTTTAGCCATTTATACCTTTTAATTGGACAGTTTAATCTATTTACACCTGAAGTAATTACTGATAAGGAAGGACTTCTGTCATTTTGCTACTTGTTGTTTCATGTTTTAGATGTTTTTCATTCTCAATTATTCAGTTCTGCCCTCTGTAAAAAAATCATTATTTTTTAAAATATTTTAAATCTATAGTTTGTTGAATCCACATATATAGAACCCATGGATACAGAGGGCTGACTGTATACAAGAACTTTGTTTCTGTCTAGCTGTTTCCCTTTATCTTGTGATTATCACAAATTACATCTTTATACATTGTGTGCCCATTAACATATATTTATAATTTTGTTTATGTAATTATCTTTTAAATAACATAAATATATTACGTTCTTTATTTCTTTAAGCAAATTTGAGTTACGATTGTGTCCTTCCATTTCATTCTGAAGGATTCCCATTAACATTTTTTGTAGGGTAGCTCTACTAGCTATGGACTCTCTCTTTTTTTTTTGTTTTTGTGCCACTGGGAATGTCTTATTTTTTCCTTTACTCTTGCGCATAGTTTTGCTGGATATAGAAACATTGGTTGACCTTTTCTTTTCCCAGCAATTTTAGTACATCACCCCACTAACTTCTAGCCTCTACGGTTCCTGATGATAAGGCAGCTGTTAATCATACTGAGAATCTCTTTTATGTAATAAGTTGTTTCTCTCCTGCTGCTTTTGGGTATCTGTCTTTGTTTTTGTCTTTCTTTTTAAATTTTTCTTTTTTTTCTTTTTATTTTTGTGTTTTTGTCTTTCTAAAGTTAGATTGTAATATGTCTCAATGTACATCTCTTTGAGTTTATCCTAATTGGAATTTGTTGAGCTCTTAGATATATAGAAAAGCACACTTCAATTCCAGTATTTTTATTTTGTTTCTTTTTATAATTTCTCTCTCCTTATTAACATGCTCTGTTTGGTGGGACATTGTTCTCCTTCCTGGTTTGCTTTAGTTCTTTGTCCAAGGTTTCCTTTAGCTCACTGAGTAAATACATTTGATTTGAAGTTTTTGTCTAGTAAATCCTAATACTTGGGCTTCCTCAGACAGTTTCTATTTTTTTTTAACCCCTGTGTATTGGCTATACTTTCTTTTTTTTTTTTTGCATGCCTCATAGTTTTTGTTAAAAAGTTAACCTCTTAAATATTATAAGCAGTCCAAGCTTTTAAGTGTGTCTGTTATTTCCTGACTGTTATTCCTTCTCTCTGGTGGCAGAGGCTAACACATTCACCAGCTGTTTTTGACAAGGCCCCTAGACAGCTGCCATTCTATCCTGAGAGATTCTGAGTTAGGCAAAATAAAGGCAAGCTCTTTGCACCTGTCCTTCAGTGAACCATCAGATGGGTCAAAACACCAATAATTCTTAGAGAACAGGTCTCCTCTGCTCCTTCTGGTACCGTGAACCCACATAGGAAACATGGGATGCTGTTCTGAAGACTACCACCAAACTGGAGAAGAAGGAACAGAGCCAGAGTGAGTTAGAATGCCACAGAGGTCTCCTACTGAGATTGTCATCTTTTTTTTGATCAAGTGTTCACCTCATTGATGCAGACCTTTGACCAGTTCCATTAAAGTTCATTCTAACAATTTGTGCCTGTTTATTTGTTAGTTTGGTGGAGGGGCAGGCTCTTGGAATTTCTTAATTCACTATTCTCACTAAAGTCACTAGAGAGGATTTTATTTCCTGGTTCTGATGTGCTTGCCTGTCAGGCTTAGCTGCAGCATGTACAGTTTCTCCAATACCCAGTTCCTGCAGTACATGGCAGTCAGCAGCATCCAGTGGCCAGCAGCTTCCCCCCAGTAGCTTCCTGGGGGTGATTTTATAGCAGAGGGTCTCTGGTGAGCTATCTCCTTATGAACAACTTTCCCTAGCATCCTAGAATGTAGATTTTCAGCAAGTTTCATGAGCACAGCATGATTGCATTTTCTCTCCATTCTGTATCCTCTCCAATAAGGTCTGGATCTCAGCCCAGGGGTCCTTTATCTTAGGTAGTCTCTCTCATCTGTAGTGACAATGGCTCCTCCCTGCATCTACTATTCTTATATTCTTTAGCGTTTTCTCTACTTACTAGTCAATCTCTTGATACTCCAATCCCTTGTTATAATTAAAAATTATTTATATTAACTTTCTCCTGTTGAAATTCATGTGGTTTCTCTCTCCTGATTGGACACCAAATAATATATTGGAAGAATGAAGCATACTAGAAATTGCTATGAACAATGAATTTAGTAAAGCTTCACAGTCAAATAGAAATAAATTTTGATAATGTAGTTGTGAATATTAAAAATTCTAAGACATTTTTGAATTGGAAGCGACATGCTTTAAAAAGTAATTATGACTTAGAACTAAAATTCCAAATTATTTTAGTAAAATCCAGTGTTCTAGTTATCTATGCTTTTTAACAGATCACCCTAAAGATAGTGGTATCAAACAACACTTATTTTATCATGCTCACAGATTCTCTGTGTCAGGAATTTAAGAGCAGTGCCGTGATGATGGCATACTTCTACTTCACAAATATGCAGCCTTGGCTCAGAAGACTCAGACAGCTGGAGGTGATCAAATGGTTAGTGACTGGAATCTGTTGAAGACATCTTCACTCACATGTTAGACTTCCTGGGCTAGCATGATTCCAAGGCTGGGCTCAGCTGGGGCTGTTGACTAGAGTCCCCATACTTGGCCTTGTCATGTGGTTTAGACTTCTCATCACGTGACAGCTGGATTCTGACAGGGAGCATCCTCCAGGGAGCAACCAGGGAGCAAATTTTCCAGGAGACACAAGTGGATGCTGAATGGCTTTTTTTGGACTTCTGTCACATTCTCTTGGTTAAAAGTGAATCAGTGAGGCTCAGATTCAAGGAGAAGGGGAACTAAGTTCAATTTCTTGATACGGAATTGTTAATGTTTCACTGCAAAAGAGCATGTGAGGTGGGAGCTATTATTATGCTTGTCTTTGGAATGTGCCATATTCAGTGAGATGTTCAACAGAGAATAAAAGAGACATAAAAATGATAAAGTTCTTATCTTGAGCTTGGAATTGGAATGAGAAAATACTGCATAACTATTATGTAATTTGGGCATATTAATAAAAAAGTATAAGTTTGAATGTGTTAATAAAGTTATGCATACAACAACCTGTCAAATAGATATATTTAATAAAATGTGCAGATCAATGAAATGGGGATGTGGGGAGATGTGTGAAAGAGATCAGTTCAGCAAAAGTCAGGAGTAGGAGAAATCTGCCAGAAAACATAATAAAAATAAATAAGATGACAGGGTGAAACAAAACAAAATCATAGGAATTATAACAAATATGAATGGACTTAGTTCCCCTATTTAAAGGGAAAGTTCCTCAAATATGGTTAAAAATAAAGATCAAACTAACGGTGTTTCCAAAAGACAGACTAAAGTTAAAATATCAAAGGAATATGGAAAGAAGTGAATGAGAGAAGACAAACAGGCAAATATAGTATGACAGTATTAAAATCATATAAAGCAAAGCATATGGGCAAATATGAAATACATGACAAACATAAATAATTCATAAAAATAAAACAATGCACAATCTTTTTTTATCCTCATGGCACATATAGAGGAGAGAATAATTAATTGCATAAATCTTCCTGACTCCAAGATGAATGTTAGGTGTTTATTTATTTTCAGAAGAACTGAGACACATGTCCACAGAAGTTGTTGAGAGTGGCCTACAATTTGGGCTGCTGTGCATAGACTCATGCTATGTATTTTTGAATGAATGAATAAATAAACAAATAAATAAATAAAGGTATGTATGAATGAAAGTTTAAAGGCAGCTTTGAGGATGGCACACTATTGCCATCTACCAGAGACAGCTAAACTGCCTGAGCCTCAGTACTGCCACTTCCCAGTGGGTGAATTTATATAATTACCCAAACTTAGCCCCTATTTCTTTGTAGAAAAGAATTAATAGTAATCCTTTAACAGCTTCCTAATTAAGAGGACTGCTATGAAAATTATGTGAAATTACTCAATCCACTGTGGGAAAGTATTTTGCAAACTGTGAAGAACTCTGCAGGATTAGATGTTATTACTCTGATCCTTCAGGGTAACAAACCATGGGAGGTTGAGTTAAGTTAAAATCCTTTCTGTAATTGTCTCTCTCTTGCCTCCTCTTATTAGATGATCAGTTGCTTCCATTTGAATCACTGTCAAGAAAGAATGAAGCAGCCAATTCTTTTGGAGGAAGTTGATAGTCTCTTTTTGGGTAAGTTTCCAAGCATAACTCTTAAGAAGTCCTGTCCCGCACACAGATGACTTCCCCCTGCAGCTCTGTTATGCTGCCCAGCATGCATTACTCTGGTGAGATGAGCTGATGGTTTCTGATGTTGCTTTAGTCCTTGTGCTATTTCCTAAGAAGTTGTTTTCCAAGGTGGACTCATGTGCAAACTTCCTGAGGTCATTATTCAGACCATGGTCCAGGTATTTTCTTTGATACACATAATTCAACAGATCTATAATGCTCCCTGATTATATAATGAATTAAGCACCTACTGTGTGCAATGTTCTGACTGAGGCTCATTGAAAGTACACATGAATGGTTCTTGTACTCAAAAAGTGTGCAATTTTTTTAGGTGAGCAAACAGCAAAAATTCAGTTAGCTTTAATTAACAGGTTATTTGAAACTATTTTTATAGGGCATTTTCTAGGATCCATTTTCTTCCTTTCCTAGCAAGAAAACTGCCACATAGTTAGATTTATATTTCCATGTGTATATCTTATTTCAAAGCATGTATTCTTTATCTCTTTTGATTGTCACAGCATGTTTGCGATTTGGCTCAGCAAAATGTTATGATTTTTGTCACTTTTAATCAGAAGAATTGAAACATAGGGAGGTTTCATAAGTTGTTCAAGTTCACACAGAAATTTTGGAACAGAGCAAGACTGAGAGTAAGAATAGTGCTATGGTTTTTCAATCAGACTTCCCAGGACTTGAATCCCAGCTCTCCCACTTAGAAACTGTGCTGTCAGGGGGCAAGTTCTATAATTTCCAGTGCCTGAGTTTTCTTAGCTGGAAATTGGGAATAATATTGTACCTGCCCAAAGGGTTATTGTGAGAATTGAGTCAGATAATCTACATACATATTTTATCAAAGTTTCTGGCCTACAAGAAGTATTTAACACTTGTTAACCATTAATTCATTAATTATTGAGATTTTTTTGGGTACGAAAATTAAACTTTACTCCTTTTTAATAAACATTTATTGTTTACTTTTTATTATAAAAATTACATATGAAAAGCACATAAATATGTAAGAGTTAAATATGTGTAAATATTAAAGGCTTTGTTTTCTATTATTAGTCATATTATAATGATTTTTATGAATAACTTTTTGACTGCATTTAGACTATTTCTTTTGGATATTTTTCTAAAATAGAATTACTGGTTAAGAACATTTAAACATTTATAAACATTTTGATAAATTTTACCAAATTGCTTTTTGGTGTGTTTATAGTCCTACCAGTTGTGTAGGAAAGTGTTAATCTCGGGGTAGGCTAGCAGTAATAGTTAGAAACATTTCACTTTTTTGTTCTTACTTATTTTCCAGGTAATAGGAAATTTTCTTGTAATTTTAATATACATATTTTGATTAGTGAGGCTGACAGTTTTCATGATTTTATTGGCCATTTTTTTCCTAGGGAGTGTGGTAAGTGCAGATTATAACCCTGATCTATTGAGAACTAAAACCTCTGTCATTTCCTAACATCTTACTGGATTCCTAAAGCTGGAGTTACTTGGACACGTCCTGACCCAGTCCAAGCAGTCTCTGAAAGCCCAGTCTGAGTTTGTGCATCCTGAGTGCACAGGCCAGGGGGTTGAGTGCAGGGGGGATGACATTGTGCAGCACATTAAGGAACACAGGAATAAGGGGAATCTTTTTCTCTGCAAGGTGTGTGACAGACAGCACAATGATACCTGTGTGGAAGAGGATGAGGATGAGGTGGGAGCTACAAGTGCTCAGAGCCTTGGACATTGCTTCTGCTGAGTTCAGCCTCAGCACAGAGTGAAGGATTACAGCATAGGAAGAAAATACCAGAGCCATATCACTCCCAACCAAGACCCATGCTAGCATCAGTTGGTAAAATTTGTTCACAGTGATGTCATCACAAGCCAGGCTGATAACCCCCAAGTTAGAGCAGAGGCAGTGCTCGATTTCATTCCTGGAACAGTAGTGTCTCTGGGCAGCCAGTATAGGCACTGGGATGGTCAACAGGCCATTCCTGAGCATGATGAACCCTGTGGCTTTGAAGACAAAAGCTTTAGTGACTATGGAGGGGTACTGAAGAGGGCGACAGATGGCTATGTATCTGTCTACTGCCATGCAGAGAAAGATGCCTGACTCTATGCAGAAGAAGCAGTGGATGGCATAGATCTGAGCAAAACACATGGGGAGGCTAATGGCCTTGGCATCAAACCAGAAGATGGCCAGGATCTTGGGCATGATGGTGGTGGCCAGGCCAATGTCCACCACTGCTAATATGCCCAGCAAATGGTACATGGGTTCATGTAGCACGGTCTCATGTTGAATGGTGATTATGATGAGGAGATTGGCACCAAGAGCTAAGAGGTAGAGCAGAGTCAGGGGCAGGGAGAGCCAGTGCTGCCACTCATGAATGCCTGGTAATCCCATCAGGATGAACTGGGAAATCTGGAGGCTGGAGTCATAGGTAACACTGGTGGAGGTATCCATGGAATGGGTGCCTCAGTCTCAGTGTCTGTCTGAAATAGAAGAAATCTCTGTTTAAAAGTTCAGCTAAGGGGCTGAGCATCGTGGTTCATGCCTGTAATCCCAGCACTTTGGGAGGCTGAGACAGGCAGATAATTTGAGGTCAGGAGCTCGAGACTGACCTGGCTAACATGGCAAAATCTCATCTCTGCGGAGAATACAAAAATTAGCTGGGTGTGGTGGTGCCTGTCTGTAATCCCAGCTACTTGGGAGGCTGAGGCATGAGAATCATTGAACCTGGGAGGCGGAGGTTGCCGTGAGCCGAGATTGTGCCACTGCACCCCAGCCTGGACAACAGAGTGAGACCCTGTCTTAAAAAACAAAACAAAACAAAAAGTTAAGTGTCTTGGTAAGAGCTCCTCAATAATGAACCAGCTCCTTTTATTCATGAATGACCCTCAACTTTATTTGACTTCTGGAAATATTCCACAGAGGAATAACAAAAAAAGCAAAAAAATTCTAAACAGAAGAGTTGGAATAACTATTTTTCATCACCACTTGTATGTCTAATAAGCATGTCCACATATATTAACAACAGTCTTATCACTAACAGATAACAAATGTTAGTATTTGATTTATTTCCAATTTTCTATTTTATTTTTAAACAGTCTACATCATTATCTAGAGATGATTTTGTATCTTGTTTTTGTCTTTTAGCAGTATGTGTTAAGATGTAATATAAGCACTCAAAAATTTTATTTCATGGATGAATACATTAACCAAAGACTTCACAATATTATTTAAAAAGTGTGATGTTAATTTTAATTGCTGCTTTAAATTTTTGCATTTGGCTATTCTATAATTTACTGACAGGTATTTTGCTTTTAATATTGTTTTCCTTGAGTAGAGTTTCAAAAGTGATGCAAAAATTATATATACAAAGGATATAATAGTCTTAAAATTTTAAATATAATTTTGATTTTATTTTAAGATATATTATCTATACATGGTAAAAATCAAAATAAAATGAAAAATATAAACAATGAAAAGTAAGACTCTCATGCTTGGGGCTTTGAAATCTTTTTCCTTTTCACTAGAGGCAGCCAGTAATATGTTTCTTGGGAATCCTTCCATTAATAGTTTATGCATGGATAAAAACATATATATATATATATATATATATATATAATTTTCATAAAAGACATAATCAATTGTTAGCACACCTTTCTCCTTTTTTCTTTCCTTTTCTTTTTTAACTTAATATTTTGAAGACTGCTCCATATTTCCATACTGCAGTTAAGTTGCATTATTTTCTACCACCTAGATGCCCTATAGTTTAATGATTTTTTTTTGTATTTTTAGAATTGATATATCATATTTGTAGATATTTTGGAGGTACATGTGATATTTTGATACATGTATACAATGTGTAATGATCGAATCAGTGTAATTAGGATATCCATCACCTCAAGCATTTATCTTTTCTTTGTGTTAGGAACATTGCAATTCTCTTTTAGCGATTTTGAAACATACAGTAAATTATTAACTATAATTTTCCTACTGTGCTATTGAATACTAGAACTTATTTCTTCCACCTAACTGTATTTTTGTCCCCATCAGCCACCCTCTATTCTTCCCCTACCCCCACCCTTTCCGGCCTCTGGTAACCACCATTCTATTCATTACTTCTGTGAGATCCACTTTTTTTCTTTTTCCGGCTCACTGCAAACTCCACCTCCCAGGTTCAAGCGATTCTCCTGCCTCAGCCTCCCGAGTAGCTGGGATTACAGGTGTGTGCCACCACACCCGGCTAATTTTTGTATTTTTAGTAGAGATGGGGTTTCACCATGTTGGCGAGGCTGGTCTCAAACTCCTGACCTCAGGTGATCTGCCTGCCTTGGCCTCCCAAAGTGCTGGGATTACAGGCGTGAGCCACCGTGCCCAGCTGAGATCCACTTTTTAAGCTCCCAAACATGTGTAGGAACATGTAATATTTGTCTTTCTCTACTTGATTTATTTCACTTAACACAATAACCTCCAGTTCCATTCATGTTTCTGCAAATGACAGGATTTTATTCCTTTTTGTGGCTGAATAATAGGCCACTGTGTGTGTGTGTGCGTATCACATTGGATATATATATACACTCTCTATACTATATACAGTGTGTGTATATATAGTGTGTATGTATCTATATATATCTCTCTCTATATATCTCATATTTTCTTTATCCATTCATCCATTCATGAACACTTAGGTTGATTCCATATGTTCGCTATTGTGAATAGTGCTGCAATAAACATGACAGTGCAGATATCTCTTCTATTTACTGATTTCCTTTCTTTTGGATATAAACCCAGCAGTGAAGTTGCTGTACCATATGGTAGTTCTCTTTTTAGTTTTTTTGACGAACCTCCATATTGTTTTCCATAATGGCTGTACTACTTTACAATCCCACCAACAGTGTACAAACATTCCCCTTTCTCTGCACCTTTGCTTGCACTTTCATATTTTTGATAATAGCCATTCTAACTGGAATGAGATGATATCTCTTGTGGTTTCGATTTTCATTTCCCCAATGATTAGTGATGTTGAGCAGTTTTTA
The DNA here is from genome assembly GCF_000001405.40 of Homo sapiens. NCBI lineage: Eukaryota > Metazoa > Chordata > Mammalia > Primates > Hominidae > Homo > Homo sapiens. Next base: position 6,105,199 of record NC_000011.10, on the reverse strand, counting down.
ATATAGCTATTCACCATTTGTATGTCTTCTTTTGACATATCTGTTCAGATATTCTGCTTTTTTTTTTTTTTTTTTTTTTGAGACGGAGTCTTGCTCTGTCGCCCAGGCTGGAGTGCAGTGGCACAATCTGGGCTCACTGCAAGCTCTGCCTCTGGCCTCAGCCTCCCCAGTAGCTGGGACTACAGGCGCCCACCACCATGCTTGGCTAATTTTTTGTATTTTGGGTTTCACTCTGTTAGCCAGAATGGTCTCAATCTCCTGACCTAGTGATCCACCCGCCTCGGCTTCCCAAAGTGCTGGAATTACAGGCGTGAGCCACCGCACCCAGCCTCTGCTTCCTTTTTAGTTGGATTATCTGTTTTTTTCTAGTGAGTTTCATATATATTCTGGTTATTAATCCCTTGTCAGAGATTTTGCAAATATTTTCTCCCTTTCTCTCCTCATAAATTGTTTTTCTTTCAGTAAACATGTGAGTTTGAAACAGAAGGAAGTTTGCAAGAAAACATCAAAAAGTTATCAGACATGTTTCTTCCTCCAATAGGTGTCAGTTGGCCCACGGAAAAATCCACCCATAAAAAGTAAATGTAAGCTCACTTTCTTAAAGATTCTGTAGGTTGTATATTTGTTGGGCTTTTAATCTGTTTCCAGCATTTTCTACTATAAAAAATGAAGCTGTGAATGTACTTTTTCTTGTATCTTTATGCATATGTATAAGTTTCTCCACATAATAATTTCCAAGAACTGAACTGCTGGGTCAAATGGAATGAAACGATATTGATTTGACAAGACAAATTGTCTTTTAAAGAGGTTATTCTGACCCTGTATGAAAGTATGGGGATTTTGAATGCTCTTGATGTATACTAAAATGATGTATACTAAAATAGGTACATTGTAGTACTTTACACACACAGAATTTGTTCATGAGTGTGTCTGTTTCATCATGTCCATGCCAAAACTGGGAATTTTAATTTAAAATATTTATTAATTATTCTATTAATATAATAGAATGAAAATTGATATATCAATTTTGTTTTAGTGTTCACTTCATTGTTTAGTAAATTTTAATTTTCAAGCACTCATTTTCCATTTATAAGCTTACTCATTAATTTTCTATTTTATCTTATTGTCTATTTGTTATTTATCCAATTTGTCTTGTAGTACTAAAGAAAATAATGTTTTTAAAGTGCTTACCATTGCAGTATATACTACTTGGGTGATGGATGCACCAAAATCTCAGAAATTACCACTAAAGAACTTATCCATGTAACCAAACACCACCAGTTCCCCCAAAACTATTAAAATATTAACAATAAAAATAAAAATAGTAAAGTGCTTACCATGGAGTCTGGCAGCACAACCTTATTAATATGTATGAGTTTCACTATATCTTGAGAATATGACTTCTTTTTAAAGATTATTATGGTTAAGAATTTTATTATCAAAATTATTACATCTCAGAAAGTTCAAATGTTACAGCAATGTGTAAACACTCCACATGAGAAAAAAGAGCTACTTCTTCACTCCCAAAAGTTCCCCCCACCTCCTTTGCCCTGACCTCCCCCTGGAAATTTGGTCTTGACAGCACCCTGCCCACACAGAGTGGCTGGGGTCTCTGTCACTGCTAGGCAGGGTGAGGTCCGCTTGCCCACTGGCCTCTCCCTTTGGTTAACAGCCAAGGGTACAATGCAAACCCCAGCCCAAATGAAGAGACATTTACATACATTTTATATAATATAGCATCCCAAGCAGCATGATTTCTTCTTCCAATGCTCTCCCAGACTGATGGGTTTGTGGGGGAAACAAAAAGAAAAGTACTCTGCTGAGCATTAAAAAAAAAAACAACTCCCCTCATTTGAGCAGACACCTGAATTTAATTTTGAAAACTGAAATTTTATAACAGTCACACACAAAGAGAGAAGGCTGTTCATATGATAGTTGTAGGACAAAGTAGAAAAGAAAGGGATGCAAGAGGCTAGGGGGAAAAATGAAGAGAAAAGAAGTTAGAGGGGATGAAGGAGGGAGATTCACAGTATTATCTTGTTATTCACTACCCCTCCCATGGTTATAACTAAATACAAAATTATAAAAAACATCAGATATTACAGTAAACAAGTGAAAGAAATAAGCTGGCAACCATACAAAATTTGAAAAGATTGTGTACCTAACCTGGTCTGGCCCTAGGGCTCCTCTAGAGGTGTACAGCATGGGGAGAAGCCGGTCCGTTCTCGTCTCCCATCTAGGACAGTGTTAGGGGTGTGGGTGGCTTGGTAACTCTTTCACCAGGCCCACTCTCACATAAGCATCCCCCGAAGAAATGTGGGGCAGCCCACACACAATCAGTCCTGTTGGTGCCACTCCACAAACCTGTCTTCCCACCTTACCCTACAGACACAGTACATGCTCCTCAATCATGCAGATAGTCGTGCTCATGGCATTGTCAACTCCTGATTAATCGGGAGTAGAAAAAGTAAAATTCAGAGCATTTCCAGACCACTTGGTATCCTTCCCAATCAAATTTATAGCCAAAAGCTTGTAAGTAGCAGTGCAATTGGCCTATATTCGTCTCATAAGGATATTACCTCTATCTGTTGAATTTTCTGGGAAATTTTCCTCCAATTCATTTTCTGTTAAATTCTATTTATCCTTTAAAAATGTATTATGCACATGCAAACATTTAATTTTTTTTTTTTTTTTTTAAAGACAGGGTCTATTTCACTCAGGCTGGAGTGCAGTGGCATGATCACGGCTCACTGCAGCCTTGACCTCATGGGCCCAAGCAATCTTCCCACCTCAGCCTCCTGAGTAGCTGGGACTACAGGCGTGAACCACCAGGCTTGGCTAATTTTTGTATTTTTCTGTAGAGATGATGTTTCACCATATTGCTCAGGCTGGTCTCAAACTCCTGGGCTCAAGTGATCTGCCCGTCTTGGCCTCCCAAAAAGCTGGGACTACAGACATGAGCCACTGCACCAGGCTACATTTAAACTTTTATGTAGTCCTAACATTTGCACTTTTAAAATTAATTATTTCATGACTAGTAAGCTTTTAATAATGTAAACTCAGTTTTGTTTTTGTTTTTTTTTTTTTTTGAAACAGTCTTGCTCTGTTGCCCAGGCTGGAGAGCAGTGGCATGATCTCAGCTCACTGCAACCTCTGATCCCGGGTTTAAGCAATTCTCCTGCCTCAGCCTCCGAAGTAGCTGGGACAACAGGCGTGCAGCACCACGCCCAGCTAATTTTTGTATTTTTAGTAGAGAGAGGGTTTCACTATGTTGGCCAGGATTGTCTCGATCTCTTGACCTCAGGATCCGCCTGCCTCGGTCTTCAAAAGTGCTGGGATCTCCCAAAGTGTTGGGATTACAGGCGTGGGCCAACACACCCTGCCAAATTCAGTATTTCAATAACCATTTGTTTGCATTTTCTTTATAAAAATTTATTAAAAAAATAATTTTTAACTGATAAAGCGAGAAAGTCTCTAAATTAATATTCCCCCGCAAATAACTAGACCATTGTTCCAGTACCATTCAGTAAATAACCCCTCTCTTCCCCATTAGTTTGCAATGCCCTTTTTTTGTCATATATTAAATTTTAAAATATATTCAAAGATCACTGCCTGCCTGCACAATCTTTTCTGGTTTTAGTGCATGTACCAATTGAATTAGTTTATTTGCTATTTTGTAGAAGAGATTCTTATTACTAACTTCAAATAACTTTTTAAAAATTAATAAAAAACTGGTTGTAATTTTTTGAGTATTATATTAAAACATGTAAATCAATTATGGAAGAAGTGATGTCATTATCTCATTGATTCTTTCCATTCAGAAGTATTATGTTTTTCCTTTCTGTCATAGGTATTTTTGGATTTTTTTTTCCATTATTGTTACCTTCTCCCTCCATTATACTTTCTAATTGGCTATTGTTACCTAAGAAACCTGATTATTATAATTTTAAGGAAATGTTTTCCAAAATACAGTTATTTTACAGTAGTACTTTCCAAAGCTAGCAGCTTTTTATTAAATTATTGTCTCTTGCAAATTTTCTGTTTTTGGAAGAAAAATGTATTACCTATCATTACGATAGTTTTGAATAATGTACACTTTTATTTTTATTTTGCATATTATTACAATATTTAGAATTTTCAAAACTATACAAAAGAAATGGTGATAGTCAACATCTATTCTAGCTCTGAACTTTAAACCCTCTCTAGAGCTCTCTCTCCTACGGCACTGGCTAGTCCTTTTCTGGTAAACGTTTTTATTTATTTAGGTGATTTGATGTTTATTTCTAGTTCTTAATTTTTTTTTTAATTGGGCATTGATGAAATCAATAACTATTTTCGGGAGTCTCAAATGTGTGATTTAAGTGGCAGGATCTCCTGCTTTCACCATTCCTTCAGTATTTATAGAGCTCTTCCTCTGTGTCAGACTCCATGAGGCAGGAGTGTGTACTTCCACTGGTAGGGAAGTTTCCAGCATGTCCAGAAAAGACCTCAGATTCATTTTTCTCACTTTTTTCTCACTTTTTCTCCAGGTCTCAGGTCTTTGTCTCTGCACAGGTGAGGATCTTGAGGGAAAAGAGGGCCAGAGTTGGAAGGATCAAACTGAGAAAGCCAGGGAGGAAGGAGAAAAAAAGGCAGCAGCAACCAAGACAGAGACCTATGAACAGAAAAGGAAACAGCTTCTCATCTCTGGCCTCTTGGTTCCTCCCTGCTAGGAGATCCAGGACAGATCCTTTCTAAATGGAATTGCTTTCTGTGGCTGCTTCTGTTCTCTTGGCTACACCTCTCTTTTATCACTTTGTTGCTGAGAGTACGTCTCATTCTCTCCCGTGGGGTTTGGGCTATTGAACAAATTGGAGCACCAAGATGCCCTGGACCTTCTTTGCTACTCCCTATGTGCTCCATGAGGCTTCCTCTAATTTTCTTCCTGTGTGCCTCAATACTTGGAGTTTTCTCATCACCACCCCAAGTGACCTCCCCATGATTTTAGAGGAGTATCAGACTCAACTTAGGGAACAGAATTACTCAGCCCCTAGTCCCATGGGAAGCACTCTTAGATAGTCTTCTGTGTCATGATGAAGGGTTGGGAGGAGGTGTCCCTCCTTCTGGTGTGAATCCCTGAATGTCTGTTCCTCTCCCCAATACAAACAGCTCAATTCAGCCTCTTCAGGAGCCATTTTCCAGTGGATGTATTTTCTAGTCTATACTTCATGTTTTACCACTTCCTTTATCGTGGGTTTTCTCTCCATATACACACATATATAAAATGCAGATGCCCCCTTTGTTGGCTATTTCCTGTCTGTCTCTCCAGATGTCTTTCCCACCTTGCTCTGTATCCACAGAGTTTAAAATCTACGGCCTCTGGTTTATTGTTGGATTTGGCCAGGGGGAGGCACTGGTGGGAGATCAGAGGGCAGCAGGGACTATAAGTAGAGGATTTATTTTTCTGACTCTCTTCCTATTGGCTCACTGTTTGACAGTGCCTGTGTTTCTCTACTAAAAACCACTGATCCTGTCAGGTGGTTCCCCTCTGCATAGCTCCTGTCAGTATTAAGAACTATTTCTTCCCACTGCTTTTCAGGCTTAGAAATGGCAATGGCTGTTTAAAAATTATTTGTGTGTGTGTGTGTGTGTGTGTGTGTGTGTGTGTATGTATGTATGTGTGTGTGTGTATATATATATATATATATATATATATATATTTGAGGTGTATAGCATACTTTGATATATATATGCATGTTGATTATTAACAGTGAGGCAAATTAACATTCCACCATCTCATGTAGCAACTTTTCTGTTTTTTTTTTTTTGGTTTTGTTTTTTGTTTTGGTGGTAGGAGGACCTAAAATCTACTCTCTGGAGCTCCAGAGTTTGGTGCATATATATTTAGGATTGTAATATCTTCTTGTTGGATTGATCCTTTTATTGTTATATAATGACCTTCTTTGCCTTTTTTTTTTTTTTTACTGTTGCTGCATTAAAGTCTGTTTTATCTGATATAAGAATAGCTGCTCCTGTGGACTGTTGGTTTTCATTTGCATGCAATATCTTTTTCCATCTCTTTACCTTGTGTCTATAAGAATCCTTATGTGTTAGGTGAGTCTTTTAAAGACAGTAAATATTTGGTTTGTGAATTTTTATCTATTTTATCAATCCATATCTTTTAAGTGAAGCATTTAGACCATTTACACTCAACATTAATATTGAGATGGAAGGTACTGTTCCATTCATCATGTCGATTGTTACTTAGATACATTGTTTTCTTCATTGCATTATGGTTTTATAGGCCCTGTGAGTTTTATGCTTTCAAGAGGTTCTATTCTGATGCATATTGACTTTTGGTTTCAGGATTTAGAACTTCTTTTAACATTTTTATAGAGCTGGTTTGGTGGTGACAAGTTCTCTCAACATTTGCTTGTCTGAAAAATACTTTATTTCTTATTTATGAAACTTAGCTTTTCTGGATACAAAATTCTTGACTGACAGTTACTCTGTTTAGGAAGGCTAAAGATAGGACCTCAATCCCTTCTGGCTGAGGTTTCTGCTGAGAAGGTTTCTGCTGAGAAGTCTACTGTTGGTCTCATAGGTTTTCTATTACAGGCTACCTGATGGTTTTGTCTTACTGCTCTTAGAATTTTTTCCTTCACATTGACTTTGGATAGCCTGATAATTATATGCCTTGGTGATATCTTTTTTCCAGTGAATCTCCTAGGAGTTCTTTGGGCTTCTTGTATTTGGATGTCTAAATCTCTAGCATGGACAGGGAAGTTTTCCTCAATTATTTCCTCAAATAATTTTTCCAAACTTTCTGCTTGTTATTCTCCTTCAGGAATACCAATGATTCTTAAGTTTGGCTATTTTACATAATCCCATATTTCCTTAAGACTTTGCTAATTTCTTCTCTTTATTTCTTTATTTTTGTCTGATTGGGTTAATTCAAAAACCTTTTCTTCAAGCTCTGAAATTATTTATTCTACTTCACGTAGTTTGTGTTTAAAAATTTTCTACTGCATTTTGTAATTACATAAATGTGTCTTTCATTTCCAGAAGTTCTGATTGGTTTTTCTTTAAAATATCTATCTCCTTAGCAAGTTTTTCCTTCATATTGTGAATTTTTAGATTTATTTGTTGGTTTTTACCTTTCTATTGTTTCTTCTTGAGTAACTTAATAATCAACCTTTTGAATTCTTTATCTTGCATTTAAAGGATTTCATGTTGAGTCGGATCCATTGCTGGAGAGCTAATGTGATCTTTTGGGAGTGTTATACAACCCTGTTTTGTCATACTGCCAGAATTACTATTCTGGTTCCTTCTCATTTGGGTACACGATTTTTTTCTAATTAATTTTTGAATTTATTTTGGATTCAGCTGGTTTTTGTAGTTTCTTTTTTTCCCCTTGAGGATGTGAGTTTAATGATTATAGTTTTTGTAACCTAATTTGGCTCTGGGTGCTTTCTGGAATGAAGACTCTGTACAAGTTCCGTGGTTATAGAGAGTCTTTGTATAATGGCTTTTTCAGATGCAGGTTGCAGTAGCAATGTGTTTGGTGTGTGAGCAGGTTCGCTGTCTCCTGTGGGTTTGGAATGATAGAGATCTCTTGAAGCTTATCTTGTTCCCCAGTAGTGTACACTATTTTTAATTTATTTTCCTCCCAATATTTTATTTACTGGGTTGAACAGCTCAGGCTTCAGGGCAGTAGGGGAGGTGTCCATAGGTAAAAACTTGCTTGGATAAAGCAGGTGGGTAAATACAATACCCCATGATGGGCAGAGGTTCCAGCCTTGACAGAGGCAGCTGGGGGAGTTCTCAGTGAAAAGCACTGAAGTCTTTTCAGGGGAAAGGGAGGGAGCTGCCTCAGCTCCCCTGCCAGGCCAGCAAGAAAGTCTTTCACCTCCTGGTCACACTCCTGACCCAGTGAGCTGGCTATTCAGATCAGACAGGCACCACTTTTCATCTGCAATGATGTTGATATTCCATTTAGAGAGGGATTGGGACTCTATCCCCTCATAGCAATCCTGAACCTGGAGGGCAATTCTCCTATGGGTATGTAGTCACTTTGAAGTGTTCCTGAAAGGTCGACAACACGTGCAACCACACTGAGATCTCATGGGAGAAACTCTATCTGTGCCTGCCATGGTGAGTGATGGGGAGAAAAGTGTCTTTTTCCAAGAACTTTCACGAGCACCAGGGTTGCCTGACTATTAGGGTAGAGCCACAGGCCTTCTCCACTAAACCCAGCACTGCACCTATGCCTCTGCTGAAAGAAACTTCCCATAAGTGGAATGTTCTGGGACTCAAGACCTGCCATCTGATTTTTTTTTTTGTCCCATGGGGTACTCCCTTGATGTTGTGCACTCCTTCTTCCCCTAGAATTAGAAGTTTCTGGGGGCTGGACTACTGTGAATGCTGCTGGTCCTCTTGGTGCAGCCAGCCAGTGGGGCTGCCACATTCCAGGACAGCGCTGGGAAATGTCTGCAAGAGATCTAGTTATGTGACCTCTCCTCAAGTCTCCCAGAAGCGGGTACCAGCAGCAAGTCTGATGCAGGTGGCCAGGAAGTGATGTAGGCTCTGTGATATTCTTGGTTATAAATAGCCTTGGTGTGTTGGCTTTCTCAAATGCCAGCTGTAGTAGTAATGAACTGGTCATGTGGACAGACTCAGGACCTCCTGGTTATCCAGGGTAATGCAGGCAATAGTGATAGCTGAGGTCACATACAAGTTTTCTCCTTCTTGGGCACTGTTATTCTGCCTGCAGATGCTGTAATGGACTGTGTTGGTTGGCTTCCATCCAGGAAATGGCACTTGGAAAAGAACATCAGCTGCAGAGGTAGCGGTGGAATTTGTGCTTGCCTTATGTTACCCAGGAGAGATACTGTGGTGTCTCAGGGAATGGATAGGTACATAAAGTTCTTTAAAGGTTCTGTCCTTTGTGTTAAGCTACCAAGGCAGGTGGAGAGGCAAAGCCAGGTGGGGAGGCAAAGCCAGTGGGGGCTGGGTCAGATAAATCCATGCTCTGTCTCTCCACATGCAGGCACAATCAGTGGCCCCATTGAGAATTGGAGGGATTTTTCTGTAGCCACTGTGGTAATGTTCCAGGGAGGAGCACATCTGTCTCTTCTGCACAAAATACTCCACACAGAGAGTGGGGATTAGCAGGTGGCAATAAGCCCCACCCAGCTCCCATATGCATAGCAAGGCAGGTCTCATACCCTCAGTGTTCCACTAGCATCAGCTAGCTAGGTTCCAGGCAGTCTGCACTGAGAACTCAAAACTGCCCCAGGCCACAAGCCTTCCAGGGGGGAGACAGAAACTGCAGCTTTCAGGTCATGCCCCTCCCAGTATGCCCATGAATCCGGGGCACCCAGTTTCTATGCAGGTAGCTACAACCCACTTCCCACTCGCCCCTCAGTTCAGGCCAAGGAAGTTTGTCCACACTTGAGATTATATCATGAAGCTCAGTTGGGAGGTTCTCTCAACATGTGACTGCTGCCTGAGTTAACTGGCTGACTTCTATGGGGTCCCCTGTGAGGTAAGTCCTAGAGTGGCTTCTTTCCATCACCTCTGGAGACTGGGAGTGCATGTAAAGCACGTTCTGATGTTGCTCCTTCTCATATACTCTGGACTGCTCGCTAAGCTCCAGCGCTGGGTAGGGTTAAGGCCTTCCCCTGTGGTCTGGATTGCCAGGTTCTCCAGTGGGAATTTATATCCCGAAGGCAGTTTATTCCCCTCTCACACTCCGGGGATTTACAGTTTTCTGCCTGGATCACAGTGTAGGCTGTAGCCCACCACTTCTTTCAGAGGGTCTGTGGTTTTCTTCAGTTTTTCTGTTAAATTCCAGTGTTGCTTCTTGGAAAAAAGTTCACAGCATGAATCTCTACTCACTGTTTTTCCTTTCCAAGTGGGAGAGGCATGCTAACAATGCCTCCAGTCTGCCATCTTGGAGATATTATTGGATGGAATTGTGTTTCTCTTTTCATCATTACTTTAAATTGTCAGATAGCAGCAACTGTGCCTGTTTTATTCACTGTTTTATTCCTAGTATCTTTCAGGGTAGCAAGCTGATAATAGATGTTCAATAAATATTAAGTTGGAGTCATATTTTCTCTTAGCTGCCATAATGCCATATCTTCACACTTTGTTATGTATAATAATATACAGTAAACATATTGATATTGAATCCAAATACTTTAATAAACTCTCTTTTTAATGCTACCAAATTCAGTGCCACACATTTTCATTTGAGATAGTAGTTGCGTTTGAGAGGTAACTAGAAAACAAATGAAAATTAAGGACTCTTCATTTTCATTTGTTTTCTAGTTACCTCTCAAATGCAAGTACTGTCCAGTGTTCTGGTCTCTCTTCAACCCACATTATTTTCTTTGGTAATATCCATTGCTATGACTGACAATAAACATCAACCAGAAATTATTGAAAACTTTTATGGAGACATATTTCTATGCCAATTTGTTTTGTACTTTGTCTGTCCTATCAAGGGATGGGCTTTTTTATCTGTTCCTTGAAGGGGATTGATTCATGATGCTAGAAATCAGATAATAAAACTTGTACATATATAGGTGTTAAGTCCATTTAAAGTATCAAGTCCAGGCTGGATGGTGGAGATTAAGAAGATGGCACAAATCCTGAAAGAGAAAGGTTCAGGTTATTAGGAAAGAAAGAATTCATAAGACAGAGGTTGAGTATAACATCTGTGGATATTTTGGAGATTAGTTACTATGGACTGTGGTGACAAAAAAATCTCGTCTTATTAACTTCCTGTATGAGTAGTGTTGAAACAGAAATTATGTTTTTAAAGGAAGTTTGAATTTCCTGATTTATGACAATCTTATCTATTGAGTGAGAGGCCCACATCCTACATATGAGTATAAAGAAACTCTGTAAAGCCCTACAAACTAAAGAGTGCCCCTTTCTTCCTATCACTCAGACTTAATAAGATACAATAAAATTTTGAAAATAAACTGGCTAAGATTTGTATGGCCAGGCATTTTGATCCAAGCCTTCATGAGTGTTAAGAGTTACAATCAATAGAAAACTTGGGACTATTGGCTTGTGAAAAAATAAAGGGCAGATTCATGAAAATTGCTTATACTCTAATGCCTTCCCATCAGCATGATATTCATAAATTTGATAATATATAATGAGATTATTGTGATTTCATTCACATGTTTGAAAATTCCTATTGACATATCTGGAAAAGCTAACCTATAATCTGTAGCCTGGTGACAGGTTTTACATCAAAGTTCATTAGAGAACAAGATTGAAGAATTCATACTATGCAAGTAAGATATATTATTAAGCTACAATAATTAACATAGTGTGGTATTGACAAAAAATGAAACACTTCATGAGCAAAGGAGAAGTAAGATCCTTTTCAGACAAGAAACTGCTAAGGGAATTCATTACCACCAAACATGCCTTATAAGAACTCCTGAAAAAAGCACTAAATATGGAAAGGAAAGACCATTACCAGCCACTACAAAAACACAATAAAGTACACAGACTAGTGACATTATAAAGCAACCGCACAAATAAGTATGCATATTAACTAGCCAACAACATGATGACAGGATCAAATCCATACATATCAATATTAACCTTGAATGTAAACAGGCTAAATGCCCCAATTAAAAGGTATAGAGTGACAAACTGGATAAAAAATCAAGATCCAATGGTATGCTGTCTTCAAGAAACCCATCTTATTTGCAATCACACCCATAGGCTCAAAATAAAGGGACAGAGAAAAATCTACCAAGGAAACAGGAAAGAGAAAGCAGCAGGAGTTGCAATTCTAATTTCAGACAAAATAGACTTTAAGCCAACAAACATCAAAAAAGGCAAAAAAGGGCATTACATAATGGTAAAGCGTTCAACTCAACAAGAAGACCTACGTATCCTAAATATATATGTACCCAACACAGGAGCACTCAGATTCATAAAGCAAGTTTATAGAGACCCTGAAAGACACTTAGACTCCTACACAATAATAGTGGTAGACTTCAACACCCCATTGACAGTATTAGCTAGATCATCAAGGAAGAATATTAACAAAGATATTTAGGACCTGAACTCAACACTGGACCAAATGGACCTGATTGATAGATATTTACAGAACTCTCCACCCCAAAATAACAGAATATACATTCTTCTAACCTGCACATGGCACATACTTTAAAATTGACCACCCAATCGTAAGTAAAACATTCCTCAGAAAATGCCAAAGAACTGAAATCATACCAACCACTCTCCTGGACCACAGGGCTATAAACATAGAATTTAAGACTATTTGCTTAAAACCGTACAATTACATGGGAATTAAACAACCTGCTCCTGAATGACTTTTGGGTAAATAAATGAAATTAAGGCAGAAATCAAGAAGTTCTTTGAAACTAATGAGAACAAAGCTACAACATACCACAATCTCTGGGACACAGCTAAGGGAGTGTTAAGAGGGAAATTGGTAGCACTAAATGCCCACATCAAAAAGTTAGAGACGTCTCAAGTTAACAACCTAACATCACAACTAAAAGAACTAGAGAAGCAAGAGTAAACCAACCCTAAAGCTAGCAGAAGTCAAGAGATTACCAAAATCAGAGCTGAACTGAAGGAGATTCAGTCATCAAAAACCATCAAAAGATCAGTTAATCTAGGAGTTTGTTTTTTGAAAAAAAATGAATAAGATAAATAGACCTCTAGCTAGACAAATAAAGAAGAAAAGAGAGAAGATCCAAATAAACACAATTAGAAATGACAAAGGGGATGTTACCACTGACCCCACAGAAATACAAATAACCATCAGAGACTACCATGAATTTTATGTACACAAACTAGAAAATCTAGAATAAATAGAAAAATTCCTATACACATACACACTCCCAAGTCTAAACCAGGAAAAATTAAATGTCTGAACAGGCCAACAAAAAACTTTGAAATTGAATTAGTAGTAAATAGCCTTCCAATCAAAAAAAGCCCAGGATCAGGTAGATTCACAGACAAATTCTTATAGATGGACAAAGAAAACTGGTACCACTTCTACTGAAACTGTTCCCAAATAACTGAGGAGGAGTTGCTCCCCAACTCAATCTATGGGGCCAGCATCATCCTCGTACCAAAATCTGGCAGTGACACAACACAAAAAGAAAACTTCAGGTCAATATCCTTGATGGACATTGATGCAAAAATACTCAAAAAAAAAAATACTAGCAAACTGAATCCAGCAGCTCATCAAAAAGCTAATCCACCATGATCAAGTAGGCTTTATTCCTGACATTTGTGTTGGTTCAACATAAATGAGTCAATAAATGTGATTCATCACATCATCACATAAGCAGAACTAAAGGCAAAAACCACATGATTATCTCAATAGATGAAGAAAAGGCTTTTGATAAAGTTCAACACCTCTTCATGTTAAAAACTCCCAATAAACTAGGTATTGACCAAACATACATGAACATAAATAAAAGCCATCTATGATAAACCCACAGCCAACATTATACTGAATGGGCAGAAGGTGGAAGCATTCCCCTGGAAAACCAGCATAGGACATGATGTCCTCTCCCAACACTCCTATTCAACATAGTATTGGAAGTCCTGGTCAGAGCAATCAGGCAAGAGAAAGAAAGAAAGCACATCCAAATAGGAAGAGAGGAAGTCAAACTATCTCTGTTTGCAGGTGACATGACTCTACATATAGAAAACCCCATAATGTTGGCCTAAAAGCTCCTTAAGCTGATAACGTCAGCAAAGTTTTAGGATACAAAATCAATGTACAAAAATTGCTAGCATTGCTATATACCAACAAGAGTCAAGCCAAAGCCAAATCAGGAACACAGTCCTAGTCACAATTGCCACAGAAAGAATAAAACACCTAGGAATACAGCTAACTAGGTAGGTGAAAGATCTCTACAAAGAGAACTACAAAACACTGCTCAAAGAAATCAGAGATGACACAAACAAATGGAAAAAACAGTCTATGCTTATGGATAGGAAGAATTAATATCATTAAAATGGCCATACTGCCAAAAGCAATGTACAGATTCAATGTTATTCCTATCAAACTACCAATGACATTCTTCACAGAACTAGAAAAACTATTTTAAAATTCATATGGAATCAAAAAAGAGTCTGAACAGCCAAGGCAATCCTAAGCAAAAAGAACAAAGCTGGAGGCATCACATTACCTGACTTCAAACTGTACTACAGGGCTACAGTGACCAAAACAGCATGGTACTGGTACAAAAACAGACACACAGACCAAAGAAGCAGAATAGAGAGACAAGAAATAAGGCCACACACTTACAACTATCTTATCTTAGACAAACCTGACAAAAACAGGCAATGGGGAAAGCCTCCGTATTCAATAAATGGTGCTAGGATAACTGGCTAGCCATATGCAGATGACTGAAACTGGACCCCTTCCTCACACAATATACAAAAATCAACTCAAGATGGATTAAAGACTTAAATGTAAAACCCCAAACTATAAAAATCCTGAAAGACAACTTACCTGGAAGACAACCATTCTGGAAATAGGAAAAAGCAAAGATTTCGTGACCAAGACACCAAAAGCAATTGCAAGAAAAGCAAAAAATGACAAGTGGGATCTAAGCTCTTAAATTAAAGAGCTTCTCTACAGTAAAAGAAACTATCAGCAGAGGAAACAGACAATCTACAGAATGGGAGAAAATATTTGCAAACTATGAATCTCATAAGTGCTAATATCTAGCATCTATAAGAATGCAAAAAAAAAAAACCATTAAAAAGTGGGCAAAGAACATGAACAGGCATTTTTAAAAAGACATAGATGTGGCCAAGAAGCATATTTAAAAACTCAATATCACTGATAATTAGAGAAGTTCAAATAAAAACTGCAATGAGATACCATCTTGTAACAGTCAAAATGGCTATGATTAAAAAGTCAAAAAATAACAGATGCTGGTGAGGTTGCAGAGAAAAGGGAATGCTTATACACTGCTGGTGGGAGTGTAAATTAGTTCAACCATTGTGGAAAGCAGTGTGGCCATTTCTTAGAGAGCTAAAAACAGAACTACCATTTGATGCAGGAATCCCATTACTGGGTATATACTAACAGAATATAAATTGTTCTGTCATAAAGACCAAGGCACACGTACATTCATTGCAGCACTACTCATAATAGCAGAGACATGGAATAAACCTAAATGTCCATCTATGGCAGATTGAATAAAGAAAATGTGGTACATACATACCATGAAATACTATGCAGCCATAAAAAGAATGAGATAATGTCCTTTGTAGAAACATGGATAGAGCTGAAGGCCATTATCCTTAGCAAATGAATGCAGGAACAGAAAACCAAATACTGCATGTTCTTATTGAAAAGTGGGAACTTAATCATGAAAAATACGGACAAAAAGAGAGGAACAACAGACACTGAGATCTACTTGAGGGTGGAGGATAGGAGGAGGGAAAGGATCAGAAAAAAAATAACTATTGGGTACTAGGTTTAGTACCTGGGTGATAAAATAAGCTGTATAACAAACCCCTGTGACATGAGTTTACCTATATAACAAACCTGCACATGCACCCCAAACCTAAAATAAAAGTTAAAAACAATTTAGGTTGGTGCAAAAGTAATTGCTGTTTTGGATCATGAATTTTAAATCATTATAACTAGGCTCAAACACTTATTTATTAACTAAAATAGGAACCATTACAATCAACACATTTTTGTCAATGAGAAATAAGTTTGTTTATTCCAATAGCATAAACATCCGTGCTTTCAGATTCAACAAACTCTTGGAAAGCATTTTTTGCATTCTTTTGGTTGTGGAAGCATTTTCCTTGCAAAAAGTTGTTGAGATGCTTGAAGAAGTGATAACTGGTTTGTGAGAGGTCAGGTGAATATGGTGGATTAGGCAAAACTTCATATCCCAATTTGTTCAACTTTTGTAGCATTGGTTGTGTGACATGCGGTTGGGCACCGTCATGGAGAAGAATTGGGCCTTCCTGCTGACCAACACGGGCTGTAGGTGTTTCAGTTTTCAGTGCATCTCATTGATTTACTGAGCATACTTCTCAGAAGCAATGGTTTCACCAGGATTCGGAAAGCTGTAGTGGATCAGACCTGCAGCAGACCACCAAACAGTGACTATGACCCTTTTTTGGTGCAAGTTGGGCTTTGAGAAGTGCTTTGGAGTTCTTTCTCAGTCCAACCACTGAACTGGTCATTGACTGGTTGTCATATAAAATTCACTTTTCATCACGTGTCAAAATCTGATTGAGAAATTGTTCATTGTTGTTGAATAGAATAAGAGAAGACAACCCTTCAAAACAATGATTTTTCTGATTTTTGCTCAGCTCATGAGGGACCCACTTATGGGCTTATCAGACTTTTTCACCTTTCCAATTTGCTTCAAATGCCAAGCAACTAGAGTGATCAACAATGAGTTCTTTGGCAATTTCTCGTGTAGTTGTAAGAGGATCAGTTTTGATGATTGCTCTCAATTGGTTGTTGTCAACTTCTGATGGTCAGCCACTACACACTTCATCTTCAAGCCTTTTATCTCTTTTGCAAAACTTGAACCACCACTGCACTGTATGTTCATTAGCTATTCCTGGGCCAAATGTGTTGATGTTGCAAGTTGTCTCCGCTGCTTTACAACTCATTTGGTATTCAAATAAGAAAATTGCTCAAATTTGTATTTTGTCTAACATCATTTCCATACTCTAAAGTAAATATGAAATAAACAGCAAGCAATAACTCATTAACAATAAACATAAAGTGAGAAGTGTGCATTAAAATGTTGTATAACATAACCACATTTATTTAAGAATGTATTCCAATATCAAATGGCAAATTTCAACAATGCAAAAACTGCAATTATGTTTGCACCAACCTAATAAAGATTAATGAAAAATATTAGGGAGTACAAAGATAAACCTACATACATATAAACACTTGACTTCTGACAAAGATAAAACTTTGTCATAAGCTGTGGGGGAAAGGATAGTCTTTTCTGTAAAATGTGCTAGGTCAACAGGCTATCCATAGAGAAAAATGAATCTTGATCCCTCATATATACACAAATATATACAGTCATTTTGAGACCAAACATGAAAAGTTAAAAACAGTAAAGCTTCCTAATGATAGCATAATGAAATATGTTCATGACTTTGAAATTGTTCTTTACTTTGAGGCAGAGAATATTTTCTTAAATAGGGCATAAAAATGAGCTAAACATTTTTTCATGTGTTTTTTGGCTGTATAAATGTCTTCTTTTGAGAAGTGTCTGTTCATATCCTTCCTTTGCCCACTTTTTGATGGGGTTGTTTGTTTTTTTCTTGTAAATTTGTTTGAGTTCATTATAGATTCTGGATATTAGCCCTTTGTCAGATGAGTAGGTTGTGAAAATTTTCTCCCATTTTGTAGGTTGCCTGTTCACTCTGATGGTAGTTTCTTTTGCTGTGCAGAAGCTGTTTAGTTTAATGAGATCCCATTTGTCAATTTTGGCTTTTGTTGCCATTGCTTTTGGTGTTTTAGACATGAAGTCCTTGCCCATGCCTATGTCCTGAATGGTATTGCCTAGGTTTTCTTCTAGGGTTTTTATGGTTTTAGGTCTAACATTTAAGTCTTTAATCCATCTTGAATTAATTTTTGTATAAGGTGTAAGGAAGGGATCCAGTCATCATCACTGGCCATCAGAGAAATGGAAATCAAAACCACAATGAGATACCATCTCTCACCAGTTAGAATGGCGATCATTAAAAAGTCAGGAAAAAACAGGTGCTGGAGAGGATGTGGAGAAATAGGAACACTTTTACACTGTTGGTGGGACTGTAAACTAGTTCAACCATTGTGGAAGTCAGTGTGGCGATTCCTCAGGGATCTAGAACTAGAAATACCATTTGACCCAGCCATCCCATTACTGGGTATATACTCAAAGGATTATAAATCATGCTGCTATAAAGACACATGCACACGTATGTTTATTGCAGCACTATTCACAATAACAAAGACTTGGAACCAACCCAAATGTCCAACAATGATAGACTGGATTAAGAAAATGTGGCACATATACACCATGGAATACTATGCAGCCATAAAAAATGAAGAGTTCATGTCCTTTGTAGGGACATGGATGAAATTGGAAACCATCATTCTCAAAAAACTGTCGCAAGGACAAAAAACCAAACACCACATGTTCTCACTCATAGGCGGGAATTGAACAATGAGAACACATGGACACAGGAAGGGGAACATCACACTCCGGGGACTGTTGTGGGGTGGGGGGAGGGGGGAGGGATAGCATTAGGAGATATACCTAATGCTAAATGACGAGTTAATGGGTGGAGCACACCAACATGGCACATGTATATATATTTAACAAACCTGCACATTGTGCACATGTACCCTAAAACTTAAAGTATAATAATAATAAAAAAATGAGCTAAACATAAAGGAAAGGATGAAAAAAACTGGATAATTTTGCAATTAAAATTTTTAATTTATTTGTGTAAATACCTAAACATGAAGATGCTGGGTTCTATAGTAAGTGTATGTTTAGTTTTATTAAGTAAGTCTACAAGTTGCTTTCCAAAGTGGTTGTAGCATTTTACATTCTCACCAGCAATGTATGAAATCTCCAGTTGCTTTGCATCCTCATCAGCACTTGGTATTGTCAGTGTCGTCAATTTTAACTATTCTAATTTGTCTTTTGCTGTAAATAATTGCAGTTTTAATGTGCATTTATTTGATGACTAATGATATTGAACATCATTTTACATGCTTTTTGGGATCGTTTGTCATTCAGATATCTTCCTTTGAGAAGTCTCTGTTCAATCGTTTTTACCATTTTTAGTTGGTTGCTTTTCATATTGCTTTGCAATAGTTCTTTATATAATCTGGATCAAGTCTTTTATCAGAAATATGTAGTCCAAATATTTTTACCTAGTCTGTAGCTTGCCTTTTTATTCTCTTTATGGTCTCTTTTGATGATTGGAATTAAAACATTTTAGTGAACTCCAATTTATCAATTTTTATTTTATAGTTCACGCTTTTTGTGTTCTATTGAAGAAATCTTTGCCAAATCTCTGCAAACATTTTTATCCTCTTTTCCCTAAAATGTTTATAGCTCTAGTTTTTACATTAAGTTTAAGATCTATTTCAAGTTAATTTTTGTGTAATATAAGGTAAGGGTTCAAGTTGTTTTTTCATATAGATATTCCATTGTTTCAGCACTGCTTATTGAAGAGTTTATCCTTTTTCACTGAACTACTGTGAGACTTCAGTAAGAAGAAAAAAAAGAAAAAGAAAAAAAAGAAATCAGGTCTCTGTCCGAGTGAGGTCAGTGTTCCGTCTTTGCTCCCCTGTCTCCTCAGTTCAGTGAGGTCCCAGATGGCTCTACCAAAACCTGTGTTGCCTGTGGCCTGCAGGTACAGGGAGATTTGTAGGGAAGGGGCTGGCACACCCCAGAAGCCAGGAATTATTTTAGGTTTACAAAAAATTGAGTAGAGGAGGGGAACAAGATGGTTGACTAGATACAGTTAGGAGGCACTGCTCCCACTGAGAGAGATCAAATCATCTAGTAACCCAATATAATTTGGGCAGATCTTCAGAGAGAAAACACCGAGGGTGGATTGAGAGTTGACACTCACTGAAGCTGAAGAGAGAGGAAGCTGGAAACCCTGCGTGGGGCACCTGAATACCAGTGCTAGTTCCCAGCCCCAAACAGCTCCTGGGGAAGGGGTGAGTGAGGGGACTGAGGAACAGCCCACTCTCACCATGGTCCTCTGGAATCCTATCTAGAGGGCACCCCATGTCCCCCACATACCTGTGAGCTGCCAGGGGGATCTGTCTGGGGAGTAGGCAGAGACAGGGATTCAGCTGGCATAGAGGCCAGGTGATTTCATGCATAGGGCACCTCTAGCAGAGTGTTGCCATAGGCACCCATCCCCTAGGGCTTCTCATCTACATCCAAGAGGCTGTAGCCCCAGCTGAGAGTTGAACCAGGAGAGAGCAGGTCCAGCTTCCTGCTCTCTATGGAACTGGGGCACCTCTGATGAGCAGGCCCTCTTGCCTGCCAGCCTCTCCCAAGGCCCCTGCCTGGTTGCTCTGCAGGAGCATGCGCACAGTGAAACCTCCATTGCTCAGACTGGGTGCTTTCCTCTCCCTGAGTATTTTCTCAGACATCTGGGTGCATGTTGGATCCCCCAGCACAGCTATAACCCAACCCCGTGGGCTGTCTAGGTATCCCATGGTTGGTGGTTACAGCTCAAGAATGCAGAGCTGAGATCTGTGGCCGGCACTCAAGCATGGGAGGGAGTGCCACTCTCAGGGCACTGAGACAGGTGAGATGTGTGGGTCTGTGGGCCAGTGTGGGAGTGAGGCATGCCTCATTCTGCAGGGCTAGTACGGAAAGAGTGTGACATATCTCCCTGTCACAGCTTCTGCTTGAGGAAGCTCTGAGGTCTGGAACACTTATGAAACATGGGCATGGCACCAGTGATCAGAGGGGGCTGCCCTAAGGCACCCTTGGTTAAGGAGTCATGTCTGCCCCTACCCCCACCACAAAGCACACCTGTAAATGTGAGGAAATACTAAAGAGCCTAGTGGGGCTAAAAGCCTATCTACTGGCTATTACTCTTAAACACCATCTACTGGATCACAGCCCAAATACAACACTAAAAATTATTCTGCTAATATATACCCTTTGTGAAACCAAGCTTGAGAATTCATCTATAAATAAAGTTCCTATACAGACCCTTGGTCCTCTGATAGCATCTAGAAATGAACCAAACTGAGTACAGTCAACTAACACCACAGTTAAAGGAATACTACCTCCCCAGATGAGAAAGAATCAGCTCAAGAGCTCTGGCAATTCAAAAAGCCACAGTGACCCCTTACCTTCAAACGAGCCCACTAGCTCCTCAGCACTGGTTCTTAACTAGACTGAAATAACTGAAATAACAGACACAAAATTCAGAATCTGGATGGCAAGGAAGCTTATTGAGATCAAAGAGAAAGTTGAAACACAATCCAAGGAATCCAGTAAAATGATCCAAGAGCTGAAAGATGAAATAGCTGTTTTAAGAAAGAACCAAACTGAACTTCTAGAGCTGAAAAATTCACTAAAAGAATTTTATGATACGGTTTGAAGTATTAAGAGCAGAATAGACAGAGCTGAAAAAAGAACCTCAAAACCTGAATACTGGTCCTTTGAATAAACTCAGACAGAAATATAGAAAAAAGAATTTCAAATAATGAACAAAACCTCTGAAAAATATGGGATTATGTAAACAGACCAAACTTACTACTCATTGGCATTCTTGAGAGAGATGGAGAGAGAGTAAGCAATTTGGAAATATATTTGAGGATATAATCCATGACAATTTATGTAATCTCACAGAGGTTGACATGCAAATTTTCAACATGGATCTCTTAGATGTTCATCAAGAATTCCTTACTTTATAAGTTTTAATGTTCCTTTTAATACTAGTGAGTGATTCTGGAACATCCTATTGGTATCCTTCAACTTTTCTCTCTAATGTTGCCTCATTTGAGAAGCTTTTCATGGTCCCCATAGACTTAATTAGATGATTTTTCTCCAAGGTGTTTCCATCTCTCCAAGGTGTGGCCACAGATCTTTGCTCATACCTCTGCTTTGCCCCTTGGTAGTATTTTGTCTTAGTTTGATGAGTATCTTCTACCTGACCCTTTTTTAAATCTCTATATTTCTTTCCAGAACTTTAAGGGGAACTCAGAAAATATTTTTCTGATCTATATTATTGATCTCAGGACTCTTGACTGTGTTTGAAACTTCAGCCTTGTCCTCATCTCTTGATGTTTTATGCAATGTTTGACTTTAGGAGAAGGTTATGAGTTTCAGTCACGTGGTCTTCATTCACACTAATCTATGTCCCTGTTCTAAGACTTTTATTTCCTGGGTCCCAATTCCTGTTTGAGTTATCTGTTCATCTCCTCTGTGCCTCTTGGACTGATCTTTTTGTTGCTTTTGTTCCTTGTCGTGCCTACTCTTTCCTTCTCCATTGGGTTTCTGGGTTGATATTTTGCTATTTCATAATACCTGTCTCCTGCCATCTCAGAGTTATCATAGTATCGTTTATCCTAAATTCACTGTTACCAAGGTTGGTTTATCTGCCAGAAAACATGTTAGGGTCCACAATCTTGCTTCTACGTGAAATGACACCTGCTATATCTTCTAATTCCCTTTGAAACTGAGTTAGTACCCTTAGAATGTGGCCCTCCTAAATGGATGGCCTGATTCAGGATACTGACCATTCCCAATGAAACCTGTGCTTTTCCCTTCCAATACAGCTTGTGTTGACCTCTGTCTTTTGGATAAAGGATTATTATTCTGAAGACACGTAGACCTGGCTGCATCCTGAACTCTATATAGTTTTATGCATTTGTTATTTTTTTAACTTTTTCTGTTTTTAAAAAAAATTCAATTATTTTAAAATTTTTTTGTGGGTACATAGTAGGTATATATATTTATGGGGTACATGAGATGTTTTGATAGGGACATGCAATGTGAAATAAGCACATCAAGGAGAATAGGGGCTCCATTCTCTCAAGCATTTATCCTTTGAGTTACAAACAATCCAATTACATTCTTTATTTTAAAATATATAATTATTATAGGCTATAGTCACCCTGTTGTGCTATTAAATAGTATGTCTTATTTATTCTTTCTATTCTTTTGTACCCATTAACCATTGCCACCTTCCCCCCAACCCCACATTACTCTTTCCAGCCTCTGGTAACCATCCTTGTATTCTCTGTGACCACAGGTTCAATTGTTTTTATTTTTAGATCCCACAAATAAGTGTGAATATGTGATGTTTGTCTTTCTGTTGCTGGCTTATTTCACTTAACACAATAATCTCCAGTTCCATCTATGTTGTTGCCAATGACTGGATCTCATTCTTTCTTTAGGGATGAGTAGTACTCCACTGTGTATATGTACTACATATTCTTTATCTATTCCTCTGCCGATGGGCACTTATGTTGCTTCCAAATCTTAGCTATTGTAAACAGTGCCGCAACAAACATTAGGAGTGCAGACATCTCTTTGATATCCTGATTTCCTTTCTTTTGGGTATACACCCAGCAGTGTGATTTCTGAATCATATAATAGCTCAATTTTTAGTTTTTTTGAGGAATCGCCAAACTGTTCTCCATAGTGCTTGCACTAACTTACATTCCCACTAACAGTCTATGAGGGCTCCCTTTTCTCCACATCCTCACCAGCATTTGTTATTGCCTATCTTTTAAATACAAGCCATTTTACCTGGGGTAAGATGATATCTCATTGTAGTTTTGATACGCATTTCTCTGATGATCATTGATGTTGAGTACCTTTTCATATGCCGGTTTGCCATTTGTAGGTCTTCTTTTGAAAAATGTCTATTCAAATCTTTTGCCCTTTCTTTGATCAGATTATTATATTTTTTTTCCTATAGAGTTGTTTGACCTCCTTATATATCAGACTGGTAGTTTGCAAATATTTTCTCCCATTCTGTGGATTGTCCCTTCACTTTGTTGATTGTCTCCTTTGCTGTGCAGAAGCTTTTTAACTTGATTTGATCCCATTTGTCCATGTTTACTTTGGTTGCCTGTGCTTGTGGGGCATTGCTCAAGAAATCTTTGCCCAGATCAATGTCCTGGAGATTTTCCTCATTGTTTTCTTGTAGTAATTTCATAGTTTGCAGTCTTAGATTTAAGTCTTTAATCCACTTTGATTTGATTTTTGTATATGGTGGGCAATAAGGGTCTAGTTTCATTCTTTTCCATATGTATATCCAGTTTTCCCAGCACTATTTATTGAAGAGACTAGCTTTTCCCCAGTGTATGTGCTTGGCACCTTTGTCAAAAATGGATTCACTGTAGGTGTGTGGATTCATTTCTAGGTTCTCTATTCTGTTTCATTGGTCTATATGTCTGTTTTTATGCCAGTAACATGCTGTTTTGGTTACTATAACCCTGTAGTATAATTTGAAGTCAGGTAATGTGATTTCTTCAGTTTTGTTCTTTTTGCTTTGGATGGCTTTGGCCATTCAGGGTCTCTTTTGGTTCCATACAAACTTTAAGATTGTTTTTTCTATTGCTATGATGTTGCTGGTATTTTCATAGGGTTTGGTATGCATTTTTTTCTTGCATTTCCTTTGGCTTCATAGAATAAATTATTTGTCCCTCACCAGGAGTTTCTTCCTACCATTGTAATGTTGTAATGTCTAAATCCTTTATGCTCTTGGATACTTTCCAATAGATTAATCTAGCTCTATTTTCAGGAGGGATTTTTTGGATGAGAGGAAAGTCAAATGTAGGGAGACAGTTAAGATGAGCAAAAGTCGTTGAGTAATTTCACTAAGATTAGAAAGCGTATGACTAGCAATACCTATAGGACTTGGCCTAGCCTTGTACCTACCATTTCAATTCCAGGTATAGGAAACATTTGCTGTTTTCTCCAAACTTATTCTCTGGTCAGGTTCTTCCTTCTTGTAAAGGCTCTCACTTATTAATTCACTCTTCCACCCATGGTCCCACCTGTATCAGTGGGAGTTTTCTAGGGAATGTTCTGTGCTGGTTCTGGGGGTGCCCCTCCTCATCTCCTTGCCTTCTTACTGAACTTCCCTAGATCAGATTTTTCTGGGCCATCAAGCTGGGTGGTCCCACTGACACAGGGCAGGTGAGCCCCAAAGTGGAGCTTAGCCTGTGAGGCTTCACCCAGAAAAAAATTCAAGGGCAAGTTGATGGTAGCGTAGAAGAAAACGGCTTTATTGAAGTGGCAGTGTTACAGCTTTGGCAGTATTACAGCTCTGGAAGTGCCACAGCTCTGTGACTGTTCTGGCAGAGCAGGGATACCCCACAGGCAGTGTGCTGAGAGTAGCAGCTCAGGGCAGCTTTGCAGTCATATTTACAGCTATTTTTTTTTTTTTTTTTTTTGAGATGGAGTCTCACTCTGCCACCCAGGCTGGAGTTCAGTGGTGTGATCTCAGCTCACTGAAAACTCTACCTCCTGGGTTAAAGCAATTCTCCTGCCTCAGCCTTCCTGAGTAACTGGGACTACAGGCATGTGCCCACACACCAGGCTAATTTTTGTATTTTTAGTAGAGAAGGGGTTTCGCCATGTTGGTCAGGCTGGTCTCAAACTCCTGACCTCAGGTGATCTGCCTGCCTTGGTCTCCCGAAATGCTGGGATTACAGGCGTGAGCCACTACACCCGCCCTATATCTACTTTTAATTGCATGTAGATTAAGGAGCAGCATATGCAGAAATTTTTAGGGAAAGTGTAGTAACTTCTGGGTAGTTGGATCATTGCCATGGAAAGGGGCAGTAACTCCAAGGTGTCCTGGCAATGGTAAACCGACATGGCAAACTAGTGGGCATGTCTTATGGAAAGCTGCTTCTGCCCCATCCCTGTTTTAGCTACTCCTCAATTTAGTCTGGTGTCTGAGCTCACCCTCTGGAGTTGAATCCCGCCTCCTACCTCACCGGTCCCCATGACAGGAAGCCTTTCCTTCCTCCTCAGTGCAGGGCCTTGGCAAGGCACCCTGGAGTACGCTGTTCAAAATATTCCCTGCTGGGGCTATTCCCTGGGGCCCCAATAAGAGAAAGAGATCTTGTTAGAACTTTGTTTGAAGAGGAGGCAAAAGTACTCATTGGTGTCTAGGTGATGGGAAATTTGCCTTGTATCCCTATAGACAATGCTTGAAAAAGTGCCCATTAAATACACCTTTCTTCACACTTGACTAGTAGCTTAACTTCTTGTCGCCCTGTAGGTCAATCAATGCAGCTCTTTGGTAAGTAATGGCTAAGGGTAGACCCAAGGAAGAGAAATAAATACAGGTGACATCCACATATTAACTTATCCCTAGCCTCCCCAGATCTGGACAATTTGATAGGCAGTCTGGGGTATAATTACATGCTCTTGATATCACTAGGGAAAATCAGAAATACAGGGAATGCTGTGTACATTGTCAGGAGCTTATCTGGACCTTTGGTATTGTGTGAAACAGGCAAAGATGGGATGGAGTATGTGCGAATTTTTCACTTCAAAGCAGGCAAACATCATTCTAGTCCTGGGTGATCAGTAAGCTATTTGGAAGGCTGCTCCTCTTTGAAGCCTATGAGGTGAATCACAGGGAAACGTTTATGAAAGCACCTAAGTCCTGAGCTCCTGATTCCTGCCCCCACTGCCTCCCTTTACCTACTTCTCTGTTGGAGGGAGAGGAGCTGAGCTTACTGGGTCAAACTTTTCTTGAAGCACAAGGATATAATGAAGGACATTTTCTGGGTCCTGAGGGGATAGTTGGGGAGATTATAGTTGGGAAGGGGAAACTATTCTGCCTGTTGTCCCTGATACCATCCCTCTCCCTCAGTATCAACGTAGATCCAGACATTCTGTTTTACTTACCTCCAAGTTGTAACTGTTCAGAAACTAATTGAGTTAAAGCCTCCAGTTTTTCTTTAGAGAGCGGCCACTGCTGAATCCAAATGGGTGTGTCAGATTTCCATTGTAAAGGAGTAGGACCAGGAGGCGTGGCAGCGGCTGCCACTAGAAAGGATAACCTAAACCCGCCCTGTTTTCTTTTACAGTAACTGGGAGGGGTTTAGTAATCCCTTCATGTTTTGGACCGAGACTGGGTCCAGGAACAAACCCCATGTTTTCCATCATATGCTGACTGGGAGCACCATAAGAGTTATGTGGAATATTAATTTCAGCCCCCTGTTGTGCCAGTAAATCTCTAATTCAGTGTGACCTTGTTTAACCCTAGTAAAAGAAGCAGGAGTTTGGCCTGGGGTGCATAATTTATCCTAAGCTCTCATACACACCTTTGTTACTTGTTTTGTGGTAAGAGCATCAAAGCCTAATTGGGCATAAGTATGAGAGAAACTATTGGAGCTTGTGAGCTGAGCCTGAGTAATTAGAATGCCATTAGTCCGATTTAGCTGAGCCTGGAGACAGGCCTTCTCTGCCCACCAGGCTAAGATGTGGTTAGAACAGCTTTTGCTAAAAGGTCCCAGTCTAAAGGAAGCAAAATGACCTCAGTACAAAGTTTGTAATACCATTTTAACATAAGGAGAAGTAGGGATGTACTGAGTACAAGCATCCTTAAATTCTTTCAAAAAGGTAAGATTGAGAGGTACATAACAATGCAGACCAGTTGAGGAACTGAAATGACAGGAGGGCTGCAGTGGATGGGGGAAGCCCTGGAGAATTACAGGTAAATGGTAGTTTGGTCCCGGAGCCATTAGGTGACGCCCGAAGGCAAATGCTGCAAAGGTTTGTAAAGGGAAGAATTAGCATATATGTGGTCCTGGGCTGTGTGAGTTGGGCCGTGGGAGCTACAAGTACTGGCTGTTTGTGAAAAGAAATAAGGTCATCAGGGGGTGACATTAAGCCAAAGTCACCGGAGTTAGACATTGAATTTTCAACAGTTGGAGGAGGAGTAAGCGAAGGGAGAGACTGAGCAGATAACAAAGGCCATGTGGGAGAGGAAAGTTGAGGAGGTATCAGAACGGCACGTACCAAGGCCCAATCACCCCAAACAGTGATGGGAACATAATTCCCTGTTGAGACCAGTTCCCAGAATGTTGAACCAACACGATCCCATACTTTTACATATACGGTTCCTTTTTCAGGAAACCAAGGACAGTATTTTTCCACGGCCCTGAATACAGTGACCATATTTTCCATGGTTACTCGAACCCTTCCCTGTTTTAACAGGTCTACATCTAAGGTTCCTTTTTCAGGAAACCAAGGACAGTATTTTCCCACTGCCCTGAATAGAGTGACCATATTTTCCATGGGCACTTAAACCCTTTTCTGTTTTAACCGGAGTGTAATATAGAAGAGATAAGTATAATTTTTATACTCCATGTGACCCATAGTTAACCCAGACCATACACAGACTACTCACCAGTCATCAGGGAGTCAAACAAGCATTTATGTGGACCAAACCAATGATGTTTCTCTGCACCTACCAAAAGGAATCGGGTTCCCACATGCATTTGGGAAAACGAAAAACCATGTGGGTGCCAGATATCGGGGGAGCCTGCCCCCGATAATTCATCATTATTTCACGTAGGTTCTTTTCTATTTCCCTAAGTGTTGGCTGGTCTGAGAAATAAACGGAAAGAGTACAAGAGAGAAATTTTAAAGCTGGGTATCCAGGGGAGACATCACATGTGGGCAGGTTCCATGATGCCCCCTGAGCTGCAAAACCAGCAAGTTTTTATTAGCAATTTTCAAAGGGGAGGGAGTGTATGAATAGGGTGTGGGTCACAGAGATCACATGCTTCAAGGGCAACAAAATATCACAAGGCAAATGAGCAGGGCAAGGTCACAAGGCAAAGGTGAAATTAGCATTACTGATGAGGTTCCCTGTCCCACTGTGCATGCATTGTCATTGATAAACATCTTAACAGGGTTCAAGAGCAGAGAACTGGTCTGACTAGAATTCGCCAGGCTGGAATTTCCTAATCCTAGCAAGCCTAGGGATCCTGCAGGAAGCCAGGGCATGTTTCATCCCTTATCTGCAACTGCATAGGGCAGACATTCCTAGGGCAGCCATATTAGAGGCCCCCCCTGGGAATGCATTCTTTTCCCAGGGCTGTTAATTATTAATATTCCTTACTGGGGAAAGAATTCAGCCATATTTCTCTTACCCATTTTCGGTAATAAGAGAAATATGGCTCTGTCCTGCCCAGCCCACAGGCAACCAGACTTTAAGATTATCTCCCTTGTTCCCTGAAAATCGCTGTTATCCTGTTCTCAAGGTGCCCAGATTTCATATTGTTTAAACATACATGCTTTATGAGCAATTTGTGCAATTAACGCAATCATCACAAGGTCCTGAAGTGACATACATCCTCAGCTTACGAACATGACAGGATTAAGAGATTAAAGACAGGCATAGGAAATTATAAGAGTATTGATTGGGGAAGTGACAAATGTCCATGAAATCTTCATAATTTATGTTCAAAGATTGCAGTAAAGACAGGCATAAGAAATTATAAAAGTATTAATTTGGAGAACTAACAAATGTCCATGAAATCTTCACAATTTCTGTTCTTCTGTCATGGCTTCAGCAGGTCCCTCCATTCGGGGTCCCTGACTTCCCACAACAATCAGGTGTAATTATCTATTAGTTTTCTGAAGACAGAGGCTTAAGGATGGGCTGCTTTGGGGATAATTTGAAGCAGATGCTGAAGTGATCAGAGTCATATTTCTTGACACTCCCCATCCTCCTCCCAACACCACACACTGGGGTTGCTGAGAGAAAGAATGTATTATTTGTGTCAGGCCTCTGAGCCCAAGCCAAGCCATCACATCCCCTGTGACTTGCACGTATATGCCCAGATGGCCTGAAGTAACTGAAGAATCACAAAAGAAGTGAATATGCCCTGCCCCACCTTAACTGATGACATTCCACCACAAAAGAAGTGTAAATGGCCGGTCCTTGCCTTAACTGATGACATTACCTTGTGAAAGTCCTTTTCCTGGCTCATCCTGGCTCAAAAAGCTCCCCCACTGAGCACCTTGTGACCCCCACTCCTGCCCACCAGAGAACAAACCCCCTTTGACTGTAATTTTCCTTTACCTACCCAAATCCTGTAAAACGGTCCCACCCTTATCTCCCTTTGCTGACTCTCTTTTCGGACTCAGCCCGCCTGCACCCAGGTGAAATAAACAGCCATGTTGCTCACACAAAGCCTGTTTGGTGGTCTCTTCACACAGACGCGCATGAAATTTGGTGCTGTGACTCGGATCGGGGGACCTCCCTTGGGAGATCAATCCCCTGTCCTCCTGTTCTTTGCTCTGTGAGAAAGATCCACCTATGACCTCAGGTCCTCAGACCAACCAGCCCAAGGAACATCTCACCAATTTTAAATCAGGCAAGCGGCCTCTTCTTACTCTCTTCTCCAACCTCTCTCACTGTCCCTCAACCACCTTCTCCTTTCCACTCTTCAATCTCTCCCTTCTCTTAATTTCAATTCCTTTCATTTTCTGGGAGAGACAAAGGAGACATGTTTTATCTGTGGATCCAAAACTCCGGCGCCAGTCATGGACTGGGAAGACAGCCTTCCCTTGGTGTTTAATCATTACAGGGATGCCTCTCTGATTATACACCCACGTTTCAAGGGTGTCAGACCACGCAGTGATGCCTGCCTTGGTCCTTCACCCTTAGCGGCAAGTCCCACTTTTCTGGGGAAGGGGCAAGTACCTCAACCCCTTCTCTCCTTGTCTCTATCGCTTCTCTGCTTTTCTGGGAGAGGGGCAAGTACCCCTCAACACCTTCTCCTTCACCCTTAGTGGCAAGTCCCGCTTTTCTGGGAGGGGGCAAGTACCCCTCAACCCCTTCTCCTTCACCCTTAGTGGCAAGTCCCACTTTTCTATGGGGCAAGAACCCCCAATCCCTTACTTCCACGCCCCAACCTCTTATCTCTATGCCCCAATCCCTTATTTCTGCACCCCAACATCTTATCTCTGCACCCCAATCCCTTATTTCTGCACCCCAACCTCTTATCTCTGCACCCCAACCTTTTATCTCTGTGCCCCAATCCCTTATTTCCATGCCCAACCTCTTATCTCTGCGCCCCAATCCCATATTTCCGTGCCCCAACCTCTTATCTCTGTGCCCCAATCCCTTATTTCTGTGCCCCAACCCCTTATTTCCATGCCCTGACCCCTTATTTCCATGCCCCAGCCCCTTATTTCTGTGCCCCATCCCTTATTTCCGCACCCTGACCTCTTATCTCTGCACCCCAACACCTTTTCTCACTTTTCTGGAAGGTAAGAACCCCCGAATCCCTTCCCTCCATTTCTCTACTCTCTCTTTTCTCTAGGCTTGCTTCCTTCACTATGGGCAACCTTCCACTCTCCATTCCTCCTTCTACTCCCTTGGCCTGTGTTCTCAAAAACTTAAAACCTCTTCAACTCACACCTGACCTAAAACCTAAATGCCTTATTTTCTTCTGCAATGCTGCTTGACCCCAATACAAACTCGACAGTAGTTCCAAGTAGCCAGAAAATGGCACTTTGAATTTTTCCATCCTGCAAGATCTAAATAATTCTTGTCATAAAATAGGCAAATGGTCTGAGGTGCCTGACATCCAGGCAGTCTTTTACACATCAGTCCCTTCCTAGTCTCTGTGTCCAGTGCAACTCGTACCAAATCTTCCTTCTTTCCCTCCTGCCTGTCCCCTCAGTGCCAACCCCAAGCATCTCTGAGTCTTTCTAATCTTCCTTTTCTACAGACCCATCTGACCTCTCCCTTCCTCCCCAGGCTGCTCCTCGCCAGGCCGAGCTATGTCCCAATTCTTCCTCAGCCTCTGCTCCTCCACCCTATAATCTTTTTATCACCTCCCCTTCTCACACCTGGTCCGGCTTACAGTTTCATTCCGTGACTAGCCCTCCCCCTCCTGCCCAGCAATTTACTCTTAAAAAGGTGGCTGGAGCTAAAGGCATAGTCAAGGTTAATACTCCTTTTTCTTTATCCCAAATCAGATAGCGTTTAGGCTCTTTTTCATCAAATATAAAAATCCCACCCAGTTCATGACTTGTTTGGCAGCAACTCTGAGACACTTTACAGCCCTAGACCCTAAAAGGTCAAAAGGCTGTCTTATTCTCAAAATACATTTTATTACCCAATCTGCTCCCGACATTAAATAAAACTCCAAAAATTAAATTCCGGCCCTCAAACCCCACAACAGGATTTAATTAACCTTGCCTTCAAGGTGTACAATAATAGAAAAAAGTTGCAATTCCTTGCCTCCACTGTGAGACAAACCCCAGCCACATCTCCAGCACACAAGAACTTCCAAACACCTGAACTGCAGCGGCCAGGTGTTCCTCCAGAACCTCCTCCCACAGGAGCTTGCTACATGTGCTGGAAATCTGGCCACTGGGCCAAGGAATGCCCACAGCCTGGTATTCCTCCTAAGCTGCGTCCCATCTGTGTGGGACCCCACTGAAAATCAGACTGTTCAACTCACCTGGCAGCCACTCCCAGAGCCCCTGGAACTCTCGCCCAAGGCTCTCTGACTGACTCCTTCCCAGATCTTCTTGGCTTAGCGGCTGAAGACTGACACTGCCCGATTGCCTCGGAAGCCCCCTAGACCATCACGGACGCCGAGCTTCAGGTAACTCTCACAGTGGAAGGTAAGCCCATCCCCTTCTTAATCAATACGGAGGCTACCCACTCCACATTACCTTCTTTTCAAGGGCCTGTTTCCCTTGCCTCCATAACTGTTGTGGGTATTGACGGCCAGGCTTCTAAACCTCTTAAAACTCCCCAACTCTGGTGCCAACTTAGACAACACTCTTTTAAGCACTCCTTTTTAGTTATCCCCACCTGCCCAGTTCCCTTATTAGGCCGAGACACTTTAACTAAATTACCTGCTTCCTTGACTATTCCTGGACTACAGCTATATCTCATTGCCACCCTTCTTCCCAATCCAAAGCCTCCTTTGTGTCCTCCTCTTGTATCTCCCCACCTTAACCCACAAGTATAAAATACATCTACTCCCTCCTTGGTGACCGATCATGCACCCCTTACCATCTCATTGAAACCTAATCACCCTTACCCCGCTCAACACCAATATCCCATCCTACAGCATGCTTTAAAAAGATTAAAGCCTGTTATCACTCACTTGCTACAGCATGGCCTTTTAAAGCCTATAAACTCTCCTTACAATTCCCCCATTTTACCTGTCCTAAAACCAGACAAGCCTTTCAAGTTAGTTCAGGATCTGTGCCTTATCAACCAAATTGTTTTGCCTATCCACCCTGTGGTGCCCAACCCATACACTCTTTTGTCCTCAATACCTTCCTCCACAATTCACTATTGCGTGCTTGATCTTAAAGATGCTTTTTTCACTATTCCCCTGCACCCCTCTTCCCAGCCTCTCTTTGCTTTCACTTAGACTGACCCTGACACCCATTAGGCTCAGCAAATTACCTGGGCTGTACTGCCGCAAGGCTTCATAGACAGCCCCCATTACTTCAATCAAGCCCAAATTTCATCCTCATCTGTTACCTAACTCGGCATAATTCTCATAAAAACATACGTGCTTTCCCTGCTGATGGTGTCCGATTAATCTCCCAAACCTCAATCCCTTACAAAAGAGCAACTCCTTTCCTTCCTAGGCATGGTTAGTGCAGTCAGAATTCTTACACAAGAGCCAGGACCACACCGTGTAGCCTTTCTGTCCAAACAAGTTGACCTTACTGTTTTAGCCTAGCCCTCATGTCTGTGTGCAGTGGTTGCCACTGCTGTAATACTGTCAGAGGCCCTAAAAATCACAAAGTATGCTCAACTCACTCTCTACATTTCTCATAACTTCCAAAATCTATTTTCTTCCTCATACCTGATGCATATACTTTCTGCTCCCTGGCTCCTTCAGCTGTACTTACTCTTTAAGTCCCACA
This sequence comes from Homo sapiens, assembly GCF_000001405.40. NCBI lineage: Eukaryota > Metazoa > Chordata > Mammalia > Primates > Hominidae > Homo > Homo sapiens. Next base: position 6,071,750 of record NC_000011.10, on the reverse strand, counting down.
ATTACCATTGTTCCTGGCCCGGACTTCAATCCGGCCTCCCACATTATTTCTGATACCACACCTGACCCCCATGACTATATCTCTCTGATCCACCTGACATTCACCCCATTTCCCCAAATTTCCTTCTTTCCTGTTCCTCACCGTGATCACGCTTGATTTATTGATGGCCGTTCCACCAGGCCTAATCGCCACACACCAGCAAAGGCAGGTTATGCTATAGTACAAGCCACTAGCCTGCCGCTTAGAACCTCTCATTTCCTTTCCATCGTGGAAATCTATCCTCAAGAAAATAACTTCTCAGTGTTCCATCTGCTATTCTACTACTTCTCAGGGATTATTCAGGCCCCCTCCCTTCCCTACACATCAAGCTTGAGGATTTGCCCCACCCAGGACTGGCAAATTAGCTTTACTCAACATGCCCTGAGTCAGATAACTAAAATACCTCTCAGTCTAGGTAGATACTTTCACTGGATAGGTAGAGGCCTTTCCTACAGGGTCTGAGAAGGCCACTGCAGTCATTTCTTCCATTCTGTCAGACATAATTCCTCAGTTTAGCCTTCCCACCTCTATACAGTCTGATAACAGATGAGCCTTTATCAGTCAAATCAGCCAAGCAGTTTTTCAGGCTCTTAGTATTCAGTGAAACGTTTATATCCCTTGCGGTCCTCCATCTTCAAGAAAAGTAGAATGGACTAAAGGTCTTTTAAAAACACACCTCACCAAGCTCAGCCACCAACTTAAAAAGGACTAAACAATACTTTTACCACTTTTCCTTCTCAGAAGTCAGACCTGTCCTCAGAATGCTACAGGCTACAGCCCATTTAAGCTCCTGTATAGACTCTCCTTTTTATTAGGCCCCAGTCTCATTCCAGACACCAGACCAACTTAGACTGTGCCCCAAAAAAACTTGTCATCCCTACTATCTTCTGTCTAGTCATACTCCTATTCACCGTTCTCAACTACTCATACATGTCCTGCTCTTGTTTACACTGCCAGTTTACACTGTTTCTCCAAGCCATCACAGCTGATATCTCCTGGTGCTATCCCCAAACTGCCACTCTTAACTCTTGAAGTAAATAAATAATCTTTGCTGGCAGGACTGTGCTGAATCTCCTTAGGCACTCTCTAATCAGATATCATGAGTCGTCCCAATTCTTAGACCTTTTATACCTGTTTTTCTCCTTCTGTTATTCCATTTCATTTCTCAATTCATCCAAAACCATATCCAGGCCATCACCAATCATTCTATATGACAAATATTTCTTCTAACATCCCCGCAATATCACCCCTTACCACAAGACCTCCCTTCAGCTTAATCTCTCCCACTCTAGGTTCCCGCGCCGCCCTAATCCCGCTCAAAGCAGCCCTGAGAAACATCGCCCACTCTCTCTCCATACCACCCCCCAAAAATTTTTGCCGCCCCAACACTTCAACACTATTTTGTTTTATTTTTCTTATTAATATAAGAAGGCAGGAATGTCAGGCCTCTGAGCCCAAGCCAAGCCATCGCATCCCCTGTGACTTGCACATATATGCCCAGGTGGCCTGAAGTAACTGAAGAATCACAAAAGAAGTGAATATGCCCTGCCCCACCTTAACTGATGACATTCCACCACAAAAGAAGTGTAAATGGCCGGTCCTTGCCTTAACTGATGACATTACCTTGTGAAAGTCCTTTTCCTGGCTCATCCTGGCTCAAAAAGCTCCCCCACTGAGCACCTTGCGACCCCCCACTCCTGCCCACCAGAGAACAAAACCCCTTTGACTGTAATTTTCTTTTGCCTATCCAAATCCTATAAAATGGCCCCACTCTTATCTCCCTTTGCTGACTCTCTTTTCGGACTCAGCCCGCCTGCACCCAGGTGAAATAAACAGCCATGTTGCTCACACAAAGCCTGTTTGGTGGTCTCTTCACATGGACGTGCATGAAAATTTGGAAGAATGAAGGGAGAAACATGAGGGAGGATATAGTGTTTTTGACTGGGTTGCTCCAGTTAACTACTACACGTTATCCACCCATGGGATGCATCTATCTGATCACCTTTGCCAAATCAAATCCGTTGTCTCTGAATTTCAAAAATTTCTCTTGTTCTTAACTAAAGTGCTCCCTGTGCACCATTTATTGCTTATAATTCAGTGAATATAATAATAATATTTTCAGCATTTGACAAAGTATTTCCACATATTATATTTCCTTCAGTTCTCACAATGATCCTATGAGGCAGATTTTAGTTTACTCCTTTCACACGTGAAGAAACTAAGGCTTGAAAATGGTTAGATGCTTTGCTGAAAGTCACATGCAGATATATGGCAGAAATAGTACCTCAAACCAGGATCTTGACTTCTATTGTAGAGTTTATTCTATGACATAAGAACTATAGGTCCACATTGATTTCCCATCTTCCCAGCCCTCTCACCGTCTGTTGTCATTGCAGTCTCCTCAGCAGCTGTGGTGGAAGGTATGGGCAATAACTATATGTTCTCTTGGAGAGAAAAGCAAAACTTTGGCCATTTTAAATCTGTACTGTTTCTTCTTACTTAGACTATGTTCCAGGCTGACTTCTGCTCCTTTGTCTCACACTTAGAGACCTCTTCTTGCTGTTATTAAAGCTGCACCTTTTATGCCTAGAACGTGAATCACTTGTCTCGCATTCCAAAGCCCTACCAGGCCCTAGACCCAGGTATATGTGAGTCCTGTGTTTGTCTCTCACCTGAGAGTATTGTGGTACTTGAGGTATTGGGGATATTGGGGGATTCACATGATCCCTAAATCATTCCTTGTTTGCCCTATTATTTGATCACTCTGTACTTCCTACCTTTGGCCATGGGGCCCTGGAGTTTCTTCCCTGGCTCTGCAATAGCCACTGCTAACATGGAGATAGGAGGATGGCTTCCTAGCTTGGAGGTCAGTGGATGTGAGCTGTGGTCTGATTCTGTCACTACAGAGAGCTATAGCCCTGGGAAATGTACTTTTTACAGACCTCAGTTTTCTAATAAATAAAATGAATATGTTGAACGTAGTGTATGCTAGGGACATGAATAATGATGAATAATGTTGTGCACTCTTAATGTAATAACCTGAAAAGAAGAACTGGAGGGCACATCTGCCAAGGTCTCTCATGATCTCAGTAAGGTGGCGGTAGTATAGAATTTTTTGGCTTTCACATTATTGTTATTACCAGAGCTTTTGTTTATCCAGGTCACCACAGCTCTGAACTTTGTGTCTATCCCTATACAACACCAACTTGAAGGAGCAGAAAATACAGGAGGTGGTAAAGCAGACAACCATTGAGATATCTGGTAGAGGAGCAAGTGAAGTGGACAGGAATATCCAAGGAAGAGCCTGATCAGTGTTGGAATTATCAGGGACCATATGTTATTCTGTAAACTTTACAGTCAAATGAAGCTTTGAAGAGTGGAATGTCTCTAAATTAAGGGATTTTTTCAGATGTTAGAATTTTTGGCAATTTTAAATGAGGCTTAGTGGGATAAGACTGGAGAACTATATGAGGTCAGCATTGATTAAATCAAGCACCTGAATTCAAAACTTGGAGATATGAACTTAATGGGATAATTTTTATGCAACAACAAGCCCTGGGCATCTACTTAAATCTGTTTGTGTGAATTTCCCCAGGTCACACATATTGTAGAATATCTAATACTAGAAACTGGTTTCTGAACTTCCTGTCCAATGCATTTATTTGCCACTGGAAAAATCTCACCCAATGCATTTCCCACTAACTTGCCTCTTTTGTGTTTGAAGACCTTGCAGAAATATTGACTAAACTGAAAATTATTTTCTACTCTTTTCTGAGAACTGTAGGGGAGAGTGATGTGGTGGTGATGGTGTCAGTGAGAGCATATGTCCTGAGCTCCCAACTGCTACATCACTGAATTTCACCAGCCTGCCTTTCTCTGCAATGTCACTTTGTTCTTCCATGTGACATGATAACCATGGTTTTTTTCCAATAATTCTGTTCTCTTCCCACATACTTTCTTCCTGGCTGGCATCCCAGGATTGACTGCCACCCACATTTGGATCTCACTTCCCTTTTGCTTTATGTTTTTCCTGTCATTGACTGGGAATGGTGTCCTGCTTTTTCTCATCCGGACAGAATGCAGCCTTCGCCAGCCCATGTTTCTTTTTCTTGCCATGCTCTCCTTTGTCGACTTGGTCCTCTCTCTCTCCACACTGCCTAAGATGCTGGCCATTTTCTGGTTTGGTGCTACAGCCATCAGCTCGCATTCCTGTCTTTCCCAGATGTTCTCCATCCATGCATTCTCTGCCATGGAGTCAGGGGTGCTAGTGGCCATGGCCCTGGACCGCTCTGTGGCCATCTGCAACCCACTGCGTTATGCAACCATCCTTCCACCTGTTGTTGTTGCCAAGATTGGAGGCCTGGTGGTGTTGTGAGGGGTGGGATTGACCATCTCCTTTCCAAGCTTGGCCCATAGGCTGCACTACCATGGCTCACACATGATTGCCTATACCTTCTGTGAGCATATGGCAGTGGTGAAGCTTGCCTGTGAGGCCACCACTGTGGACAACCTCTATGCCTTTGTGGTGGCAATCTTTCTTGGTGGGGGGGATGTGGTCTTATTGCCTATTCTTATGGGCTGATTGTGAGGACTGTAATGCATTTTCCTTCACCTGAGGAACGTGCGAAAGCAGGCAGCACATGTACAGCCCATGTCTGTGTCATCCTCTTCTTCTATGGACTGGGCTTTCTTTCTGTGGTCATGCAGCGCTTTGGAGCACCCACAGCTTCTACTGCCAAGGTCATCCTTGCCAATCTCTACTTGCTCTTTCCCCCAGCACTGGATCCCATTGTCTATGGCATGGAGACCAAGCAGATCTAGGAGCGGCTATTGATGATTCTAAGCCCCAAGCAGATTGAGCTTACCTGAGTATAGTTATCACCAGCTGGACTTCAGGGTCCAGGGTGGCCCTCTCTCACTGGGTGGAAGCCCCATAGCCCAGTCATTTATCTTGTGCAGAGAGTAAAAAGAAAGCAGGGAAAGTTATCCTAGGTGTTTGGAAGTTAGGAAATCTCTTCTGAGGTCTATGGTATTTATACATTGGGATGGAAAACTATTAGAAGGGCTGGGATATCTCAATTGATCAATAAGCAGGAAATCTTTTTGATATTTTTTCTTCTGAAAGTTTATGTTTTATTTGTGTTGATAAGATAAATGCATCAGGTAATATGATGAATCTGAATTCAAGTGTTTTAGGAGATCAGAAAGAGATGAGCTGGACATATGAAAAAAATGGGGCACCTCACACCACCACAGCTCTCACTCACAGCCAGTCCATGGGAAGAGAATGGCCTCTCTACCACCTACTTAGCTTCAGAGAAAGAAGGGTGGCAAACTATGGAGATAATTTTGAGTTCAAATTTATGAAAGAAATACTTTAAAATATTCATGTTCCATCTGACTAGAATTGCAGGTTAAGGTTGTTTTCTCTATTTCCAGTATTTTTTCATTCTGTTTTTGAGATGAATGGCCCTCTATGATACCTGTAGTTTCATTTCTTCATTTTTAGTCTCAGCTGCAAGACTTTGAGTTAATCATACTTGTATGCTTATTGCATGCAACGATTATTGTTCTGATTATTGTTCTGTTTGTTTATTTTCTGTCTTTATTTCTTAATGTCTTGTTCATTTCCTTCCCAGTTCCTACCACTGGCATTCATTTTAATGTGTTTGTGTTATGTGCTTATGTATTTGCATATCCTTGAAATATATTAGTATTATTTGAGTGTTATGTATTCCTAATATACATAAATACTCTTCTTTATTTCGTCAAATATTTATGCTCCCTCCAGGCAGGTTGTCCAGGCTCCTCCTAATACAAATGCTTTTCCCTGTCCTTATTCTTGCTGTTTCTACTCATCTTTCACCTTAGTTCAAACCTCATCTCCTTAGAAAAGATTCTTTTAATTACATTAAATCATTTGTTTTCTGATCTCAGAATACTGTGTGTTTCTTTTATTATTCATTATAATTTATAATTATATATATTTTTGTTGGATAAATAATCTCTGTCTGCATTCCTACTAGATAGTGATTTCTACTGTATTCTTAAAATAGTTCCTGACATATAATATGCTATCAATAAGCATGTGTTAATAAATAAGTCTCATTATTTTAATGGTCACTAGCGTATTTCTTCATTAGTCATATTAACATAGTATGTGCTTTTGAATAAATGACTACAAATATTTTTATGACTGGACATTCAATATATTTTTGTTAAAGCAATGAAAAAACATTGCTGTAACAATAACTACTAACACTATTTTCTTTACTACCATCATCACTTCAAACATCACCTTAACCTCAATAGTCTTTGCAAAAGTTGTAGTTTCAAATGGCGGTATTTTGGATGCTGTGCAGGGGCATTGGGGGGCATAGTTACTATTATAAGACAGAATCACTGCTATAAGGGCTTAGAGGTCTCTAAGTGCTCTGGGCAAACTAGCTCTGAAGAATTCTATCTTGAATATGCTGTATTAGTGAGAAATCTTGATAACAAAGGCAGCTCCTGTGTGTTCAGCTCTTACTACATGGTACCTTGAGTTCTTGAAGTAAAAACTTTGCAGATACACTCTTTCATTTATTGGTCACAAAATGCAAATAAAGCAGGTGCTATAATTATTCCCATTTTATTTCTGATGCAATATTATGCTTCCTACTAAGTGGGGATCATTTAGTTTCTCATATCTCTTCTACTTTTGGCATGGTGGTAAGTTTAGTGTCTTTGTTCTCAAATACAATTTTCAGTTCTTTCCTGTAAAAGCAAACAAACAAACAAATAAGCAAAGACTGGTGCTTCTTTGAGGTTCATGTCACTCACTCATATCATCCTCTATCACTTCTGGTTACTGTTATCTCTCCTCTACTCGCCTTCATTAAATGATGACATGGTCCACATCTTCTCTGTTTTTATTTTGCCACCCATGACCCTGGTGGGAGACATCAGTATTTATGTGGATAATCCATTGAACACTCTGGCTTTTCATATTCTCAATTTCTTTATTCCCAAAGATACCTACCTCATCTACCCATTCTCATGACACATCCTTAAACCTCTGTAGAGATCACTGAATTTTCTTCCCCAAAGATCTCCTGCCATCTATGCTTAGCCTTGGCCTCTCCATTTTCCTAAGATGTCATTTTGTTAATGAGATGTTAATCATATCTCAATCCTCTGCTTAAAATCCTTCATGATTTCCATGGCCCTTTAACATGGCCCAAAAGACCCAGTATGCTCGGGTTCCTGCTTGCACTCCAGGCTCAGTCCTGAGTACTACAATCTCTAATTTTAAAAATTCTTTCAGGTCTTTGAAATTACCAGAGTCCTTTTTCTTCTGCTCATGTTTTGTGTACGCACCCTATCTCCATATTGCCCTTCACTTTAACCAAGTCTTCTGGTCACTAACTTAAATTAGGGAGGGCTTTCCTGAAGTCCCCATACTGGGGAGGTCCTTCTATTATATGCTTTTAAAACATTATAGTTTTAATATATAACACTTATAACTGTAATTAATTCTATGATCATATACTTAACATATATCATCCCAAGACCCATGAGAACCATTTTATCATATCGTTTGTTTTTTCCAAAATCTAGCAGAGTACATGGAATTAGTATATATTTAATATTTATTGAATAAATGAATAAATAGGGCTCCCCACAAGCTGTGAATGAGATACTTGTTGACTGGATGAATGGAAGGACTGTGCACTTGAGGCATTGTTCCCAAGGAGAATATGGCCACTGGGTAGAGTGGGAAGCTGCTTCAATCAGAGATGGAACTAACAGAAGGGTCTATTTATGATGGGAAAATATGATAAAGGAAGCCTCAGCCCATCTCATTGGGAACTTCCTTGGAGGGACTGTTGGAGGAGCCCTATTTATCCCACATGTACCATGGCAATGGGTTTGAGGCCCTTGGGTTTGTCACTATCCTATAGAGGAGAAGCAAAGTGCTCAACTCAACCTGAGGCTGGCAGCATTTGTCTTAGGTTGGCTTCCCCAGAAACAGACTCTGGAGCAGAGATTTGCATGCAGGAAGTTTATTGTGACATATATATGGTAACAATGACTGTCATGGAGTGAGAGGAGTGAAATTAAACTGTCATGGAGTGAGAGGGGCTGAAGAAGAAATTAAACTATGATCGAGTTGTCTCAGGTGACTTAGCTAATCAAATAGGACCTCATGAGTTAGAATGACTCCTCAGTGTTGTTTAAGATGAAGAAAGGGGGCCAGGACTTTGTATTCTTATATCACCAGTCATTGGCTATGAGCTGCTTGGGGAAGGAAAAGTAATCTTAGGCGAGACTGCTCTCTTTAGCCAAAGGAGAGTGACTTAGTTATCAGCTTCCAGAAGCCAACACTACCTGCACCTGGAGGAATAAGCACATTGAGCCACAGCATTCACTAAAGCATTTCCTGGGGTCTAAGATTGTTCTGTGAGAATGAGAAGTCTGAGCTCACAGAGCAATGTGAAATTTCCCAGCTCACTGCACAAGGTTTCCTATCACCAACAGGATGTACAGGCTTAGGGGTAATGAACAACGCTGAACAGATATGGGCCACCTGGTTAGGTGCAGGAGTCACTCTCCCTGCTTGGCCTCTCTGTCCAATCACCCATCCCTGTGGGCTGTAACTTTAGCTCTGTGTTCCTCTAGTCAATCTAGGGGCTACTTTTGGCTTTGCCCAGGTGTGTCTGTGAGAGCTCTGGGACCTGCCAGTTGGTAATAACATCCTGCCTGCCCAGTGCCTTGCTCACAGTCACCATCACTGCCTTGGTAAGGTATCAAGAATGACCTTCCTTTCAGGGTGACGATGACAGAACCAGCGACCCCTGGTGCACAGAAATTCAGGTGTGAAAAATGAGGTCAGTTTTGGGGCTCATGGTGGGGGAAGACTACAGCCAGCTGACTCCTGCCCTTCTCATTTTCCCTGTGACAGAGGTTATTTTTTGGCTTGGCTAGTGTGACTCTGAGTTTCCCAATACGTCTGGTCTGACACTTCTTCGTAGTCTTTATTTCCCCCTGAGTTAAAGTAGTTGCTCTCTCCGGGCCTGACTTCTCAAAATGAAGCCTCTCCTAGTTTCTACCATTTAGATGCTAGTGGGAAGGGAGGCTCTTCTGTGAAATGTGACCTATTTCTCTATCCTTAATCTCCTTCTTAACAGTGGCCTGGACTCTATGACAGTGGGAAAAAAAGAAAGATAAGAAAGAATACAGATGGAGAGAGATTAGGGGACGGCTCATTGCTGCAAGTTAACTTGTGTGCCTACAGGTGCCTACCAATCTCTTTAAGCCTTCATGATCAGCCTGAGGCATTCACAGGACCATTTAGCATGGTCCTAGGTGGCATCCTCACCATCAAATATCATGCATGTAGATACAGTTTACCCATGTGTTGCCAAAGCTAGTACTCATGTTTCATATCTTTGGGAAACTTTAGCTGTACAGACCTCGAGGGATGCATTTGATGTCCTCTTTGGCATTCAGAGACTGCTGTGCAGCCCTTCTGAAGAGAAAGTCCTCTTTATCATTGTTACACATAAGCTAAGGCAGAAGACCATTGTGGAGGTTGAACAGAGGACTCAGGGTGTTCCTGGAGATGAGCAGGGAGGGCTATAACAGAACCTTCCTGAATCTGGGAATTTTCTCCCTTTCCTAGTTTTCTTTGTGCTGCTGAGTCTCCCTCCAGGTTGACCCAAGACTTTAAAGGGCACATCCTCAAAGACAATCCAGAGACCAGTAGGACAGTGCCCTTTGCCAGGCTTACTTTATTGATTATCTATGTGTCTCCGATTTGTGCAGTGAAGCTCTGCCTCTTAGTGCTTGATTTCTGTATCTTCCTCTCTTATTAGGTCATTATCATGGACCCACTATTTCTGTGTCCTCCACTGCTCTTTTTCTGCCTAGGTTCTTGTCTCCTTTCCTCCCGACTATCATAGAGTCCAGATCACTGCTGAGAAAGAGATTAAAGAGAGAGAGAGACAAGTCACATCCCATAGAGGCCTCCCTGCCTGCTAGGAGCAGAAGTGACTACCAGTGACCACAGGAATCCCCTTATTTCTGACACATCTAGGATTTCTTTATCACTTCTTTGCATGCGAGATAGTGATGAATCAGCAGGGATCTTTCTGCCATGAAGCACCCAGAGCATCACTTAAGGTGAGGACTGTCAACACTCAATCAGTAATCCCCTCAGACGGCAACCCAGTGTCTGCTACTTTATTCCTTTACTTAAATTCAGTCTCTGCCTTATCAAATTTTCATAATCTTCAGCCTTTTAAGACACTCATACACTTATTTATTTATTATTTAATCTAATCATATGGATATTTATTCAACCAACATTACTGATTACCGACTGGATTCTAGGTGCTTCTGGAGCTTGCCCTGGGGCTGCTGCAATAAGCAAGGCATAGTCCCTGCTTTTTAAAGTGCAAGGTCATCAATGCAATGACAAAGTGGTAAAGACATCACAAAGGGAAAGAAAAGGAGACACATTATGCTGTCTTACAGAATTCAAGCACAACTTCACAGAAGATAGGTTGCTTAGATTGAATGTAGATGAATAAGTAGTAGTTCAACAGCATCAGCTCTTCGCTAATTGTCCCCTGCTTTCTGGTTGGAGAACTAAATAGAGCTTCACTTTTAGGTTCTTGGGAATAAAGTCCCTTCTGCTTTTCTTCTAAGAATCACAGAGGGATCTCCTATTTACTTTAATAATTAGTGCTTAATAAGCAGATGTAGGCTTTTGCTCTAGTCTCACAAGCCATGCAGCATAAAAAAGAAGCAGATTATATTCAGGTTCGTGTCTCTGCCCCTCTGCTTCACCTTCTGTAGTACGGTTTCAGTCTCACTGCTTTATGCACACTGTTTCTATTAAAGCCACGGGTGCCTTCCACAAACACATACCTGTTCTTCAACTTCTCAGCTATAAAATGAGAAATGAGCTGATGGTTGTAACAGAAGGGGAGTAGCTAAGAAAGAGAATTAACTTCCTCAGTATGTGGAATATTAAGCACTGAAAGGTGATTTTTTTTTTTTTTTTTGCAAGAGTATAAGATTCCCCTGGAAGTCTCAATAAAAATGTCATCATTATTTTAAGTTGACTCTTGAAGAAAGACAAAGGCTGGGAGACATATGCCCACCTAGAATTTCAGAACTTATAGTTGTTATATTGAGAGTTTGGGGGCAATATGATAGTTCCCAAACATTATTGATTTGTAAAAAAGACACACTGAGTGATCTATAGATGCATAATCCACAAGAACTGAGTCATTCTTGACTTTTAAAAATCTTCACATGTACATGTACACGAACCACCACCCCAACAAAGAAAAATATAGTTGTTTCAGACTACATCTGTCTTTTAAGATAAACATACAGACACAAATGTAACCAGTTGCAAGTTTCTTATTTTAATACTTGAGGGGTGAATCCCATGGAGAAGGTTAAACAGACAGCTGTTTATTCAATAGTTCATGTTAACGTGGGGTGTCAGAGACACTGAATTGCTATAACATCATGATGACAGGTAAACATATCAAAAGTTTGAATCAGAGAAGCAGAGTCATGAAGACAAAGAAGAAAGGAAAGGTAATTATAGTTATCTTTTTAAACATTAATAATATTGCTATTAATATTTGCCATTACTTTCAACGGCAAAAATCACAATTACTTTTGTACCAACTTAATAAAAGATGACTAAGAGCTCATAGCCATCTTTTATTAGTAACATTAAAAAAGAACTATAATTTATAGACTATACTTTATAAGGTAACCTATATATCAAGACTTTACATACATTAGTTAAAATTTTTAGTATTTAAGATTAATATTATTTATTCTAATATGAAATAAGGAAATTAAGACTTAGAGAGTTTTAGAAGCCTAGCAAGATTTTATTCCTAGAATATGAAATGGACAGAATTTTAACAAACTTTGCCCGCAAAGCTTGTATTTATCACACTGCATTGTGAAGCATCCATGCTAGCTTATAATCATGACATGTAATGAGATACAGTTCTTTAAAACAAGCCATTAAGATGCTGACAGGATTTCTATGATGGAGATAAGCAAGAAAGTTATGGATGAACAAAGAAGGATCATAACATACAGTGCTCGTGACATAATCACTCTTGACCTAACACAGCCAATGAGTCCTTTTGAGCAGCAGAAGAGAGTAGACTCTAAATTTTCAAGAGTGAGGAAGACCAATTCAGATAAAGGAAGTGGAAGAAAGACTACACAAAAGGCATATGTAAAATAGGAGAGTTTAGTCATATAACTCCAAGAATGTTGGAATGGTTTAGTAAAACATACATGTAGAAATATGTTAACTGTAAGACCAAAGTAATACACAATAGATAACCCTTGAAAACCTTTAATGCAGTCTTAAGAGTATGATTTTATTCCATGCAATAGATTCACTGAAGGATTTTAGCCATAGGCACGACATAACGACATCTGCATTTTAGGAAAAACCTGACTTTAAGGTTGAGAGTGAATTGGGAAGATGTTTACAGCAAAGGCAGAGAGATGTAATGAAACAGTACAGGTGAGAGAAGTTGGATGTTTGACATCGGGGGTTGAAAACAGGAGTGGATATAACAGCTATGTGTTAAAAATGCAGTTAACAGGAATTGGCGAATGGGGAAAAGGGATGAGAGATAAGAATAAGTAAAGATAGTTTCCGAGTTTCTAGATTGGGTTTGGTAGATGGATAGTAATGTAATTCATAAAAATATTGCCAAAGGTAGGTAGGACAGATTTAAGAAGGATAGATGAATTAATTTAGTTTTGAATATGTTGAGGCTATAGTATAGCTATTCAGGAAGCAAATGGAAAGAATGATTTGTGTTTCAGAAAGATATTTGACTTAGAAACACAGATTTGAAAGAAATAAAAGTAGATAGATAAAACTATGAAAGTGGATGAGGTCAATTCAGAGATAATGTACTGAATAGGGAAAAGAGGAGAGGATGGATCCCTGGAATCAACAACATAATGAGATGGAGAAAATGGTGGGACTGAGGCTATAGGAGAAACAACTCTAGAGTGCCACTTCACGGAAACTGAGGGAGGCTAATTTCAAAAACAACAGTTTAATTTACTGTGTTCAGTAACGCCAAGAGGCTAATAAAGAGAACCCTTTGAAGTTGGCAGCTTCAAAACATAAGCAACTGAATGGTTAAAGCTTATGCATCTCTCCCAAAACAGTGTATGTTTACTCTTATCTCTAAAAAAACTAGACCTATTCTAATTCAGACATGTGGATGTCTCACCTGTAAAAAAATTTATCTCCACCAAAGATTTTCTTTCTTGTATCTAACTTTATTCCCTTTGGTTGCAGTTTTAGTCACTTTATTCTTCTCATGAAGATGGTAGACAATGTGATCTGGACTATGTGATAATGTACCAGAAATGCAGAAATCATGAATTTGGATTCTTTTTTCTCTTTCCTCCTCAAGTCATTGATAATGGCGCTTAGCAATTCCAGCTGGAGGCTACCCCAGCCTTCTTTTTTCCTGGTAGGAATTCCGGGTTTAGAGGAAAGCCAGCACTGGATCGCACTGCCCCTGGGCATCCTTTACCTCCTTGCTCTAGTGGGCAATGTTACCATTCTCTTCATCATCTGGATGGACCCATCCTTGCACCAACCTATGTACCTCTTCCTGTCCATGCTAGCTGCCATCGACCTGGTTGTGGCCTCCTCCACTGCACCCAAAGCCCTTGCAGTGCTCCTGGTTCGTGCCCAAGAGATTGGTTACACTGTCTGCCTGATCCAGATGTTCTTCACCCATGCATTCTCCTCCATGGAGTCAGGGGTACTTGTGGCCATGGCTCTGGATCGCTATGTAGCCATTTGTCACCCCTTGCACCATTCCACGATCCTGCATCCAGGGGTCATAGGGCACATCGGAATGGTGGTGCTGGTGCGGGGATTACTACTCCTCATCCCCTTCCTCATTCTGTTGCGAAAACTTATCTTCTGCCAAGCCACCATCATAGGCCATGCCTATTGTGAACATATGGCTGTTGTGAAACTTGCCTGCTCAGAAACCACAGTCAATCGAGCTTATGGGCTGACTGTGGCCTTGCTTGTGGTTGGGCTGGATGTCCTGGCCATTGGTGTTTCCTATGCCCACATTCTCCAGGCAGTGCTGAAGGTACCAGGAAATGAGGCCCGACTTAAGGCGTTTAGCACATGTGGCTCTCATGTTTGTGTCATCCTGGTCTTCTATATCCCGGGAATGTTCTCCTTCCTCACTCACCGCTTTGGTCATCATGTACCCCATCACGTCCATGTTCTTCTGGCCATACTGTATCGCCTTGTGCCACCTGCACTCAATCCTCTTGTCTATGGGGTGAAGACCCAGAAGATCCACCAGTGAGTGCTCAGGGTGTTTACACTAAAGGATTGACCTGAATATATTCTCACTGTTTCCTTCAGAGGCACCTGCCAGGACATAGCCAGGAACTCATGGCTGGTGCAGATTATATGGATGGGGTAATTTTCACAGCGAGCAGTCCTTCTAGTGTCACATATCACAGCAAAGAATATCCAGAGGCACCTGGCTTCACAGCTTATTGGGATGTATCTGGATACCTGAATTTGTGAATAGTTTTTCCATTCTTTCTTTTGCTCCTGATTCCAACATTTTCCTACTCCTGTGTCAGAGAGACTTGAGGACAGTAGAAATGGATGACAGCTCTGGATGTGTCATCTTTCCTGCCATTGCCCAGTGATAGACTATGCAACATTCTCTGGAATGGCAATGGGAAGTCCCACCCTCAGCTTGGTTTTAGGTTTAGAGTGTCTTCCAAACCTCTAAGTTTGTGCTGGCAGCACATTTACATGGTACAGCCATTCAGCTAAATGCTAGTGTTAACCCTTTAGATGAACCTTTTCGTGTCTTTTAGGATGACTTAGATTCCTTTACTTTTCTGCCACATCAAAATGCATAAATTAGGACATTTCTAAAATATTTATTATGCATATTATAAATGACTTTTTTCTTGCATTTACTCTTTTCTTTAAGGGATGAGTTTCTCCGCTTGTTCAGCCTGGTCCTTTCTTCACGATACTAGTTTTTTCTCAATTATTTGTAGATTTTTACTCTTATTTGTTTGTAGATGAGAATTAAATGGTTGGGTCCTCGCTGTGAGTTTTCTCAGAGCCTGTAAAGGTCACTGCTCTTGTGCCCCAATTGTAGGACTTTGTAGGTCATTGTACACGGATTTGCTAACAGACAGAATTCTCCTCAGGCTGTCAAGAGGAAAATGAAAGATGAGCTGCATTCCCTCATCTTTTGCTGAAGTAGAGAAGCTTTTATATCTGCAATCAGAGATAATCTGGTATAGTTTGCTGACCTGTGGAGCTGCCTCTCCATACCTTTTCTCTATTTGTAACTTGGAGAACCAAAGTTACCTTGTAATTGCCTCTGATTACATCTGCCCCACTGCAATTATAGGGTTTGAAGATACAAAGTTGCCTCTTGCATTTTATAGGGAGCCAGGTTTCATACTAAACTGATCCAATTGCTGGAAGTAGAATAACAATAAATTAATCAATGCACTAATTAATTGCTTTCAATTACTGTTATCATTTTATTGATTTTAAACTTGGAGTATCCCTTGGGATCTCTTAAAATTTTTAGATTTTAAAAATAGATTCAGGGGTTACATATGCAGGTTTGGTACAGGGATATATTGTGTAATGATGAGGTTTGCACCCTGAATCTCTTAATGAGAACATTTCCCAGCCCTGCATCAAGCTTTAACTTTTCCAATTCCTCTTCCCCTATAGTTCCCACCCTCCACATATACATAACTACACATTGGTTTGCAGGTTTTTGGGTCCCAGTTTTTCTATGAATCCAATTTAGTCTGATTTATGAATTCCAAAAATTTCTCAAAGTATATGATGCAATCCAAGTATATTTGCTCATATTCTATATTGTTATTGCATTATTTTCATTTTTATATTTCTTTAGCAATTTAATGGGTACACTGGGAGAGAGAGAGGAAGTAAACAGTGTTTGCAATCCAATGTCTTGAATTGGAATGATTACAATTCTAGCAAAATTTGTGATATTACTTGTGCTGTGTATATCTTTCATGCTAGATTGTAGGCTTCAGGGAGGCAGGATTCTTTTGTCTTCCATGTACTTCTCATTACCAAGTGCCTGTCATTTTTCAACACAATATACACCCTCAATAATTATTTGTGATAAGAAATATTATAGTCAATGAATACACAAAATTGATACCTCTGCAGTGAGTGCTCAGTTTTTCCTTTTAATAATTTTTAGTGTCATTTTCTATGTAGGACTAGGGGAACAGATCTCCCATTCTAGAATTAGATCCTTCTCCACCTGGAGGAGACAGGGTACGTTTTTGAGAGGAAGAAGCTCAGTAGTGCTGTCAGAGATTAAAAGTGCAGATTTCTCGCTAGCCCATTCACACTCTTAGCAGTAGCGAATGTCCACAAGGAATTAAATAGGGGTCAAAATCATAACAATTAGAACCCAGTAACTTCCATATCCAGGATTGTCTGGTTATTCATGGTTGGAAAATACAAGTGGGACCAGGGGACAAACAAGAGACCCTCAATTCCCTTCCCTTAATTCTAGATCTTGAGATTTCTTCCTACTCCCTTCCCCTATCCATGAGGAGATTTGACCTGGAAAATTAGGCTCCAAGTATAATTTGCCAGCCATCTGCACGGAGGACTATAGGACCCCATAAACAGAACCCCTAGCAGAACATAAAATGCAATACAGATCACGGTTATCTTCTAGGTTTCTCTCCCTAGAAGGAAAATCATGGGCTTTTCTGCAGGTGAGGTTATGGTATTCGAGTATAAAGCAAAGGAGTCCACTGCCATCCTTACATATCCATGAGGCAGGCAGTGAAACAGGTACAGCATGTTTCATACCATTGCAGCCATTGCTTCCAACAATCTCTTCAATTGTATTAGTGATCCTTCTTTCCATATGGAAAAGCAAGCAAAGGAAGGGAGAAGAGGAGAGGAAAGAGAAGTATTCACTCCCATGTTTCCCCTTGTGGTGAGAAGAAAAGCCTCCCTCCGTGGAAGTGTAAAGTGGAGGAAATGAGATTCTTCCCTAACTGGCAGAATGTGGGCTCTTTCTCATCCTTTGGGTGAGGGAACTTAGAGCCTGTTGATAATGTTACATGGGGACTTGGAAAGCCACAAGGAGGGGGTGGGGCATTTTTGTGTGTGTTTGCTCATAAATCATATCTCAATAAATTCCAAAGGAGTGAAATGTTACAGAATATATTGTCTTACCAATGCAGAATTAAATTGAACAACAATAACAACAGGATGGCATGAAAAGCCCTAAACATTTGGAAACTAAACAAAATATACATAAATAATCCATGGATCAAATAATAAATCAGAGGGAAAGTTAGAAAATATTTCAAACTGATTGATAATGACATATAGCAAAAGTTGCAGGATGCAGCTAGAGAGAAAATAGAAGGACATTTATAAATTTAAATGCTTATGTTAGAAAAGAATAAAGATTTAAAATTAATTACCTAAGTTGACAACTTAATAATTTAGAAAAGAAACAATAAATTAAACCCAAGGTAAACAAGAGTAGGGAATTAATAAAGAGAAGAGCAGAATAAATAAAACAGAAAACAGAAACAATAGATAAAATCAACAAATCTTTAATTTGGTTTTTGGGAAAGATTAATAAAGTTGATAAAGCCCTAGTAAGACCTATCAAGAAAAAAGAAAGAAACACCAAGAATCAAAATGATGATTTAAAAAGGAGTTACTACTACAGATCTTACTAGACATTAAAATGACAGTAAAAGAAATGTTACAAGGAACTTTAAACCAGTAAAAACAGTACTTTACTTATGAGCTATGAGGACACACATGTTATGTGAATTCCAGCCATCAAACACCATAAGTGCAGACTTGTGATTAGGAATTCTCAAGGGGTAGTCTCTCCTCCCCTCCTCCCCTCTTTCCTTTTCTCCTCTTCTCTCCTCTCCCCTTCCCTTATCATTTCCTTCCCTTTACCTTGTTTCCTCTCCCTCCTTCCTTCCCTGCCTCTCTCTCATTCTCTAATCTAGTGCCAAATCCAAGACAACAGGTATCCCTATCATATTCATTTTCTGTAATTCCTCTATTTTTACCCACTAAGAATGTCTTCTTTCTCAGGTCCTGGCCTTAAAGGGCCCTCTGATATGGACTCCTAGCTTCCTCAGGCTCCAGGCTTTGAATCTTATTTCCAGCAAATGTTATCTGAAAAACCCATTCTGAGCTCTCTCTATGCTGATGACAGCATAATGAGAAAAAACCCCACATATTAGAGGAAGACATAAGCATCAGAGGTAGAACTTTATATTTTTTAGTTAGTTCCAAACTGGAGAAAAGTCTGAAGCATGTGTGAGGAGTCTCTACCCAAAAGAAAAGATGAAGACTCAAAGGAATTAACATGAGTTACATATAAAATCGTGCAACTGATAATAGTTAGCTCATATAGTGCTTCCTATGAGACCAGCGCTGTTGTAAGTGCTATTTATATATATATAGACTCTTAATCTTCACAAGCAATCTACAAGACAGGTCACTATTATTATCTTCATGTTAAATACGGAAACTGAGACCCAGAGAGGGAAAGTGATCTGTCCAAAGTAACGCAGCTAGGAAGTGATGGTGCTGGAATTTTAATCCAGACAGCCTACAGTCTTTCTCACCATAGGTCCTTGCCCTCCACTAGCCTGCCTCCTATGCGCACTGTTGATAATTTGCATTATCAAGATGCCACTCCATGCTGCATTTTAATGTTTCAGTTTGCTCTGGCAAGTAGTTTTCCACATATCACCAAATATGTAAATAACTCAGTCCTAGCATCCCATTTGGAGGGTTTGGTATTGAGTCCCCTTCTGTTACCAATTACTGTATCATTTATGATCTAAGCAGGAAAGAGGGAATACAAGAAAAGGATTTCACGAAAAGGAGCTTAATAAAGGGATAATTTGTAGAGGTGATGGGAGGGTCGAGGAAACCAACAAGAAACATCTAGGAGCTAGCAAGAACAGGAAGCACCTCCAGACCTAAAGGGCAAGGACAGGCAGCAACATTCCTTAAGCCTAGGGAGCCCTGGAGCTGTGTAAGAGATGCTTCCCAGTAAAATTTCTGGCTATAGAGAAACACAGCCACTGACAGAACTGCATAAAAACAAAGGGGTCCCTCTTTCTCTTTCCATATCTCGATCCCTTTCAGGTGGCCCCTATTGTTTGAACTGGAAGCCAGGGAGTCATGTTAGAAAGCCCAGCTGAAGCAGGCCACAGAGATCAGCCTCCTCAAGCACGGAGCAGATAAGAGAAGAAAATGGATTTGTAGTCAAGTAATAAATAAACAGCACACTGGGTTAAACCCAACTGTTTGCCTTTTCTAAGGTTGGACCTAGGAATTAAAGTTAAGAAAAAAATCACATAATGCAGCGATTGGCTTCAGTTTAACTTCATAATCACAAACCCTGAAAAGGCATTAAGCAATGACTATGGTAGAAATAATCATTCACTGAAAAAGTGGTTCTGAATACACTGGAGAGGTAAGAGGGAGACAGATGTATGATCTTGAATAATTAATTAGGTAGAAGTGTCTTGATTCTACTGCATTGTAAACATTGTACTAGACACCATGTTAATGGGGAACAAAATTGACATGGATCTAATCCTGATGAAGCTTACAGTCTAGTTCATGTGTAGTTTTGAGTAGTCCCTAGTAGGAAAGTTGGTTTTGTTTTATGAACAATGAGAAACTACTGATACCATAATGTAATGCAATTACTGTAATAAAATTTTGATGAGGGCAGGGACTGTAACTACTTTAGTCACCTTTTATTCCTGTGACTAATCTTGTTCTGGACATATAGTTGACGATAATGAATAGGTATTTATTGAATGACTGAGATTTATGTATAGTAAGTTAGCTACCAAAATTCATGCAGAGATCAAATAGCAGAGTTGAGTTCAGGATTCTGTAAGAAGAAGGGAATTGTATAGGTATATTAAAAATTCTGGCTGGGTGCAGTGGCTCATGCCTGTAATCCCAGCACTTTGCAAGGCTGAGGCAGGCAGATCACCTGAGGTCAGGAGTTTGAAACCAGCCTGGCCAAAATGGCAAAACCCCATCTCTACTAAAAATACAAAAATTAGCCAGGCGCAGCGGTGGGCACCTGTAATCCCAGCTACTCAGGAGGCTGAGGGAGGAAAATCATTTGAACCCAGGAAGCAGAGGTTGCAGTGAGCAGAGATCGCACCATTGCTCTCCAGCCTGGGCGACAGAGGGAGATTCCGTCTCAAAAAACAAACAAACAAACAAAATCTGAAAAGATTTAATATAAGGAAATCTATCAATATAATATTTCAAGATGTTGAAAGTAGAATACGGAAATGTTTAAGAGAATGGTCTGTGTAGTCAAGCAGATAGATACAGATTGGAATTTCAACAAGCTAAAGTCCTGTTCCCTGCATCTCAACCACAGGCACTCAGTAGCCCCTTAATATAAGCTAAGAGGAGGGCCCCTGCAAGGGAGCCAGCTCATCAGCTGCTGAGTCCCAGTCTCCCAAACTACTGCTTTCAGCTAGCTTGTTGAAGAGGGTGGGACAGTGTGACGAACTGACTGTCCATCATAAAATCCTTTAGATTCTGAAGCAGTCTCAGCTCTGGTTACTGGATGCAGTCCGCTGACTCCTCAAGCAGGACCCAATCTGTTGCATCCTCTGTGAGTTCCAGGGCTAAGGGAGGGGAGCATCACTGCATTGGGCCAGTAGATACTGGGTCACCAGAGGACTCAGAAGAGAAAATTTTCTCCTCACGCTTATACTGGCTCCCATGAAAAAAGAAAAAAGTCTAGGAACTGTGGTGCTGGATGCACTAATATTTAAAATCCTGTATTCCTCCTGGAAGGCCCTTTTATACTCTCAGCAATCCCATTAGTGTTGCGTACAAGGGATCCCATGTGTTCTGTGGCTGAGAACTTTATGCAAGTGTGCCCAGAAAAGCATTCTAGGGATTTGAGAGGGAAAGAATGGTTCTAGGATAGCATTTTGAGTTTAACATGACACAGGGCACCCAGGTCCTTGAGGCTCAGCACAAGAGCTGGTGAGGAAATGTACTCATTGCCTTCTCCCAACATGTTCCAGTGTTAATGGGAGAGAAAGCTTCCTCTGATTATTAGACATGATTTATAGCCAGCAGGAACAGACTTCCCTGTGATTTTCTCCTAATTGCCCTAGTTTTCTCCTCTTCCCCTTAAAGGTCAGTCATATATTGGGAAGGTGTCGCTTAGTTAAAACATCTACACTTTAGTGAAATGTTTCTCATAATGAGTTTTTAATGTCTTCTTTATCCTGGGCACTTTTTCTAGGTGGTACAGTTTTAAATTGGTCCTTAAATCAGGGTGCATTGAATTGGACACAATATTCTAAGCATGGTTGAACAAGGGCAACATGAAATAGAAGTTATTTTCCTCTGATCACTGTTACTTCTGTTAGTACAGTATTCCTTTCTAATATTTCTCATTAACACAACATCAAAATTTGACTCGTATTCTTGTCTATACTGCCACCTGACAATACATCCAGGTATCTGACCACTTTTTCTCTGCTCCTATTTCTTTTTGTATCCCTTCTCTTATCCTTTATATTATGCGTGATCTTCTTAATAAAATCTATGTAGCAGAGGATGAGCTTAACTGGAATAATTTCCCACTATGTGAGGAAGGAATGAGGACTTGAAGAGGATGGATCAGAGTCTGAGAATTGTAAAGCACAATCATAGATGGGGACTACACATAAAAAACTGGAAAAAAAACATGTCAAGGAAAGAATCTTTCAGAGATAGTGGACTAAAGAAAAAAGAATGAGCAGAGGGTGAGAAATAAGGATATTGTAGGGTGAGGGGATATTGTCTGCAGTGAAGGATTGCAAGATCTCTAAGGTATTCTTTTTCATAAAGAAGGTAGTTTGGTGGTGCTGTGTGTATAAAGAAAAAATCGCCAGTAGGTCAGAGGACTGAATCAAGGATATCCCTTCCACCCCAAAGATTTGGGCTTTTGGGGCCACAGGGCCCTTAAATGGAATGACTTGTTTAAGATCCTCAAGCTTCCACAGGAAATTTGTGCCATTGCTGTCCCCACCTCTGGCTCACAGCTTGCTCAGCTCTTATTTATATTTTGAGTTCTTTCTTGTGGTTTGCCTCAATTCCTCCATCAGTTCCCTTGGTTACTTTGGTTAATGTTTTCGCATTAATTTTTTCCTTTTTGAATTATTTGAATCTTTTTTGAATCAAGCCAACAGTCACTTGTCCCCTTTTAGATGTCCTTTGCTGCTTTTGGTCCCTTAAGTTTGGGTGTGAAAGAGGAAGAAGAGATATATTTAGTATACTTCCCCCCAAAAATAAAATCATGGTCTTTATACTAAGTGGGGATGTGGGATAGATAAAGAAAATAATTAAGATATGACAGACTTGGAAAACTCAAAACTGTAAACTTGAAATATTTATCTCACTAGCATTTATTAAGAATTTATTGGCTGGGCGTGGTGGCTTACTCCTCTAATCCCCAGCAGTTTGGGGGGCTGAGATGAGCAGATCACTTGAGGTCAGGAGTTCAAGACCAGCCTTGCCAACGTGGTAAAACCCTATCTGTACTAAAAATACAAAAATTAGCCGGGTGTGGTGGCATGCACCTGTAATCCCAGCTACTCGGGAGGCTGAGGCAGGAGAACTGCTTGAACCCAAGGAGCAGAGGTTGCAGTGAGCCAAGATCATGTCACTGCACTCTAGCCTGGGTGACAGAGTGAGACTTTGTCTCAAAAAAAAAAAAATTATTGAGTGCTAGGTACTGTAAACACAGCATGGGATAAAAAGATGGAAAATATATCACATGTACTTTAGTGATTTTATAGTGGATTGGGGAAAGAGATGAGGAGAAAGGCCAGTGACGTGTTTTATACTGTATGAAGTAGTAACAGTAGTTGTTTCCCCAAGGGCTGGTCCTTTAATTATCTTTCTTTTTATCATTTATATTTTTCTTTCTACAGTCTTTAGCCCCTTAAACATATTCAAATTTCTTTTATTTAAAAAAAATCAACACAATCCTCTTTTTAACATAGGCACTTCTACCTGTGCATTCAGTTTTCCCTTCGTGTGAAGCTGTTTGCTGAAGTAAAGAATCTCTGACAAGGTGATCAGTCCTCCCTGTGTTTGTTCACTCCAGGCCTGCTGTCTCATTGTCCTCCCGCATCTGTTTCTCTCTTCACATGAAACTGTTTGCTAGGATCACCAATGATTACCTAATTGCCAAATGCAATGGATAATCTCTTTCTCACATTGCTGAAATTCTTTATGTGAGCATGTCTGTCCACTCCATTGGATTTTCAATTATGTCTCTGTTCATTCCTTTTCAGTTTCCTTGCAATCTCTTTACCTCTTCTGGTCCTAAGATTAAGGGTAGGTGTTTCATAGAATTTCATTATCATGTTTTATTTTAAATTTACATTTTTCCCTTAAGTAATTTATTCAGTTCTATAGTTTGAATTATACATGATGTGCTGATGATTTCCAATTCTCTATCTTTGAGCTTTCACATGAAATCAAACTACTTTCTACAACATTAAATGTCATATATATTGTGATAGTTTATACACCCAATAAGCTGAACATATCAAAATTGGTTCTATAATTTCTACCTCTGCAACATACATCAAATCTTTTCAAAGCCTATTTTTTTGTCTTGTGAAATTTACTTAGTCATTTAAGTCAGATTGGACAGTGCAGTTTTAGAATCCTACCCTCTTTTCTTCTATACAAGTAGTCTAATCGCTGTCTGTCATATTTATACCTCTAAGATATGCCCCTTTCCCTCATCTTCAGAGCCATCTCAGAGCCATTTATTCACTCACTGATCACTTCTCAGTTGGACTACTGAAGCCAACAGTCACTTGTCCCCTTTTAGATGTCCTTTGCCTCTTTTGGACCCTTAAGTTTGGGTGTGAAAGAAGAAGAAAGAGATTTAGTATATTTCCCCCCAAAATAAAATCATGGTTTTTATACTAAATGGAGATGGGGGACAGATAAAGAAAATAATTAGGATATGAAAGACTTGGACATTTTGAATATTTATGGGAAGGATTTAGGAGAAGTTTAATACATAGGGAATGGGCAGGATGATTCGTAAGTCAAGGTTCCTAAGGTCAAGGTAGATAGCATCCAAATGTGAGGTCAAGGATAGCTATTTGGAGGAGGGATAGATCCTTGATTCTACTGATGTAATGAAGAGATCAAGGATGTAGATGTTGATGGGTTTATGAATCTATCTTGGGAAGTAGAGGACTTGCATCTGATGTTTCTGCTGTCTTTATGAAGTGGTTAGAGAGTTATCTGAGAGAGGAGGAGATTTTGTATTTCAAAAGAACTTTGAAAATTTGAAAAGTTGCTTGAAATGGGTTGAGGAATGAATTAACCAGAGAAGATTATTGTGATGAGTATGTAATATGTATATTAAGTACTCATTTGAGGTTGGCAGTTACACATTTTAATGAGAAGAGCCTGTCTTTGAGCCTAACTTTCTATAGAAACAATGAATTGCACTTGTGCAGGCTTGGATTAAGTATGTCCAGGATGAGTTGTGTCAGCAGTACAGGAAGTCAGAATGACAGAGGTTTGAGTGATTCTCTTTTATATTTAATCAGTGTTTAACTTAATTTTCTTCTACTTTATAATAGGATTGGGAGTATATCATACATTTTTCCATTTCTCATCTATATCTCCTATCAGTATCTCATCAATTTTCTGGATGAGAAAGTGTTAGCAAATATTTTGACAACTTTGTTTTCCATTGACCTAATTCATGTGTCTTATCATACAAAAATCCAGGTGAAATTTTCTCAACTGAGAATTTATTTCATGACATTACCCAGCGATGACTCCACTGTCCCAGTCTCTGAATTCCTCCTCATCTGCTTCCCCAACTTTCAGAGTTGGCAGCACTTGCTGTCCCTGCCCCTCAGCCTCCTTTCCTCCTGGCCATGGGGACCAACACCCACCCCCCCCATCACCATCCACCTGGAGGCCTCTCTGCACCTGCCCCTGTACTACCTGCCCAGCCTCCTCTCCCTGCTGGACATCGTGCTCTGCCTCACCGTCATCCCCAAGGTCCTGGCCATCTTCTGGTTTGATCTTAGGTCGATCGGCTTCCCTGCCTGCTTCCTTCAGATGTTCATCATGAACAGTTTCCTCCCCATGGAGTCCTGCACATTCATGGTCAAGGACTATGATCATTATGTGGCCATCTGCCACCCACTGCAGTACCTGTCCATCATCACTCATCAATTTGTGGCCAAAGCTAGTGTCTTCATTGTGGTGCAGAATGCTTTGCTGCTTTCACCTGTTCCTATTCTCTCTGCCCAGCTCCATTACTGTAGGAAAAATGTGATTGAGAACTGCATCTGTGCCAACCTGTCTGTGTCCAGGCTCTCCTGTGATAATTTCACCCTTAACAGACTCTACCAATTTGTGGCTGGTTGGACCTTCCTGGGCTCGGATTTCATCCTCATCTTCCTCTCCTACACCTTCATTCTAAGAGCTGTGCTTAGATTCAAGGTGGAGGGGGTGGCAGTGAAGGCCCTGAGCACATGTGGCTCCCACTTTATCCTCATCCTCTTCTTCAGCACCTGCTGGTTGTGGTGTTGACAAATGTGGCCAGAAAGAAGGTCCCCATGGACATCCTGATCCTGTTTAATGTCCTTCATCCCTTTAGTCCTCCTGCATTAAACCCTATCATATGTGGATTTCAAACTAAAGAGTTAAAGAAGGAATTTTAGAAGTTGCTGCAGAGGGGCCTTTGAAAACACGGAAGGGACTCTCCATAGAAGCACCTATTACTGTTTCTATTTCAGAAGCTGTGATTCCAGAAAATAAACTAATGCTTAAATACTGAGTATTTCCTACCCATTTCTCTCTCTCCAGTATCAGGAATTAGTGAGGGCTCCTTAGTACCTGACATAAATTCATTTGCCTAGCTCATGTAACTAACATTCTTAGAGATTTAACTTTGTGTTTAGATATTTACATATTTGAACAATCTCATCCTCACAAAAATTCTGCAGGGTAGGATTATTATTCCACTTTATATATTAGAAAACACAAGTTTAGGGAGAAATACTGACAAAGGTCACATCTGATGAGTGGTGGGGCATCAATTCCTCAGACACCATTGAAGCCCTGGTTCTGCTCTGTAGGCCAGGATCTCTCCATCATTTTTATGAATTTGTTGCTGTCAATAGATCTTCTCTAATCACCCTCCACCTTCAGAGTCAAAAAGAACCAAACAGAGGAACAGAACCCAGAGATGTTGCCAATCTTTTTCTGACTGCCCAGGCTTCTGTCACCAAAAGATATTAATCATAGTACTAGTTTATGCCCAGTGGAAGGCTCACAAACCTTGAAATTCTTTATGACAAGACCAGGACACTGAGGATCCAGCTGGCAGAGGTAGGAATGAGAAGACCAGCAGTGTGGGAAGTGGTCAAACTGACTGTGGTGATTTGGGGGCATTCTGTGTACTCAAAACCACACCCCATATGCTTTGGAGCTCAAGAACCAGGAGTGTGGGGAATGTATGTATGGCATATTGTTAAATTTCTGGATGTCATAATCTGGTGAAAATGGGTGAAGAAACAACATATTATTGTAGATGGTAGGCAACGCTGTCATTATTTACATGGGTTATAGAAAACTGAGGTTCAGGCTCATTTAAGAACCTTACCCAAAGGTAAGAGATAATTCTTATTTGCAAAATTCCATAGGCTGAAAGCAAGGGCCACTGTATTAAGAGGTCCTTAAACACCAGTTCTGGTGAGTAGATCCCAAAAGTATTAACTTAAAAGCATTTGAAACATAGGCCAGGCATGGTGGATCATGCCTGTAATCCCAGCACTTTGGGAGGCCGAGGTAGGAGTTCGAGACAAGACTGGCCAACATGGTGAAACCCTGTCTCTACCAAGAATACAAAAATCAGCTGGGTGTGGTGGTGTGCACCTGTAGTCTCAACTACTCAGGAAGCTGAGGCAGGAGAATCACTTGAACCCAGGAGGTGGATGTTGCAATGAGCTGAGATCCCACCACTGCACTCCAGCCTGGGTGACAGAGCAAGACTCCATCTCAAAAAAAGAAAGAAAGAAAGAAAAAATAATGAAAGAAATGTAGAGGGTACTAAATCCTTGTTTTCATCAAATATAATTTTTTTTGTCCTATCAAATATCTTTTGAATTGCAAATTGCAAATATGGAATAAATAGATATATGCTATCTGGCATTAGAGTATAACAATATCTTGGTGAATGGTGGAAAGCAGGGGAGTTGCTTGATTCCTTTAATTGTGAAAGGAATGGAAAAGTGGTTATAAAGTATTTTAAAGCAATTTATTTAAAAGATGAGCAGAGCTTGGTTATCAATTGGATGTGTGGAGTAGATGAGAGGAAGAGAAAGGTGATTACATTTTCAAGTTTGTATGCTGACACTTCTGTGGGTTTTGTCAGCTTCACTCTTTGGTTATTCAAGAAATATTGATATAAGCTTCCCTTTTTTATGGGCTAAGACAGAGATTGGGCTCTCCAGAACCAAACGAAGTCAGAGATAATTCTTATTTGCAAAATTCCATAGGGTGAAAGTAAGGGCCACTATAATTTAATCTCTTGTTTCCATCAAATATGATCTTCTTTGTTCTGTGAAATATCTTTTGAATGTAAAATTGCAAATATTAGATGAACTAAAGCTTTAGCTGGGAAGAGATCTCTGCTAACTGTGGAGATGGATGAGGCTTATGCAGCCAGAAATCCAACCATGAGCCCAGTGAGAAGACAGTTGCCCTTGCTGGCCCTTGCTTTCACTCTATGGAATTTTGACTTGGAGGTTGTGCTTGCTTAGCTTCCTGAGAAAAGGTTTATAGTTACATGGTCTTCCCTAAGACAGTCTCGTTAATTCTGGTCACACATCTGATTGCACACACAAGAAAGAAAGTTTGGGTAGACGTTTTACTTAAAAACATTCAAATGCCATTCTTAATCCTGAAGGTCCTGCATTAGTTGCATTTCACTTGATTTCCCATTTCTGGATGCTGCTGCCCTTTTCCTATGCTAAAATTTATTTTTATCAAATGTTTTAGATACATTTTGGAGTCCCCAAATCATTCTGACCTCAGGTTCCTACAGACGTATATTTTCTTTCACTGTGATGCATAGTCCTTCTAAGATATGAAAGCTTCAGCTGTGAAATAGAACTCTATTTTATTTTATTTTTTTAGACAGAGTTTCGCTCTTGTTGCCCAGGCTGGAATGCAATGGCTGGATCTCAGCCCACCACAACCTCTGCCTCCCAGGTTCAAGAGATTCTCCTGACTCAGCATCCTGAGTAGCTAAGATTACAGGCATACGCCACCATGCCCGGCTAATTTTTGTA
The DNA here is from genome assembly GCF_000001405.40 of Homo sapiens. NCBI lineage: Eukaryota > Metazoa > Chordata > Mammalia > Primates > Hominidae > Homo > Homo sapiens. Next base: position 6,043,196 of record NC_000011.10, on the reverse strand, counting down.
TTTTTAGTAGAGACGGGGTCTCACCATGTTGACCAGGCTGGTCTAGAACTCCCAACCTCAGGTGGTCCACCCACCTCGGCCTTCTGAAGTGCTGGGATTACAGGCATGAGCCACCGTGCCTGGCCTGATCTCTCTTGACTGTGGAGAAGGATGAGGCTCATGCAGCCGCAAATCCAACCATGAACCCAGTGAGGAGATAAGAGTTAAATTGTGCTTTGATATGCTGGTATAGCATGATTTTATATACTCAAGAGGGACTTTAGCTGGTCAATATGAAGTAACAGGAGCTAGATTACCCTGTCACTTGAAATAACTAAAAGACTGAACAAAATATGTGAAATAATGTTTCTGAAGGCACTGGACATCAGGCAATGGAGGACAGTGATCCCCAAGAGATAGGAAACAAAAAAGGTGAGTCTTGTTTACTGGAAAGTGATTGTTTCAATTCGTTAGGGAGAGATTCCATGCTACGTCAAAGAGAGGGCAAACTCAGCTGCAGCCTGGCAATCTTTCTGTGTCGAGGAGAAGGGGAAGGGAGTCCAAAGAAGCTAGAGTTCACAAGGCAGAGTATTGAGGAAGAGAAAACTCCATAGAAAGAGAATCCTAAAGATTTATAGAAATTCCCCCTTGAGTGTTCAGCAATGTACTGATTAGCATATGCATGTGAGGGAACTTCATGAAGGGCTAAATATCTGAAATAAATTAGATATCTTCTATCAAGGAAGAAATGGAGAGGGGATGATAGTGAGACGGAAATGGGTGTTGAAAAGACAACTAACAGAGTCAAACATATAAGAAAACAACAAAATTCTGCATAATGTTCTGAATAACTTTTATGCCAATGAATTTGAAAAACTAAAAATTTAAAAATCACCAGTAGCTTCAGATAATAAAACTCAAATATATAAATAACCATTAAAAATTTGAAATATTAATTAAAGACCTTTTCCCAACAAAAGCTTCAGTACACTATGGGTTTATAGGTGAGTTCTAAAATTTTAAGAAATAGATCATCTCTATCATGCATGCATTCTTCAAGATAATAGAAAAAGATGGAAAATTTTTACCAACTTATTTTATGAAGCTAGAGTAACCTTGTCTCTAAAACTGGATAATGACAATTCAAACTGTGCAGTGTTTTCACCATGCATTTCATTGCAAGGCAACCCAAAGCCAATCAGTCCATTGTGTAATCAGCCCATTCCCCTGAGAGTCTCACCTCTCAGTAGGAGGTGGGTATGTTTCCATATCTTCCAGGTGGCCAAGGGCAAGCTTCTCTGATCCAGGCATGTAAAGAGCCAAGTATCTCTCCATAACTGCCATTAGCCATCCCTTAAAGTATATTTCCTACCTAGTTATTACACACCAAGGCTAAAAGCTCTCCCATAACACAAAGTAATTTTTGATACCCCCAAAAGTCAAAACTGTCAGGTAATACAATGCAAAACAGAACAGTGTCTTAGATTTTGAGAGGGATCTATTCTCTTTCCATTCTTGGGCTTCTGTGACGAAAACAGAGGTTTTTCCTAGGTTTTTCTGTGGTGCCTCCTCTGCTTTTCCCCAGGAGTCCCAGGCTGTTAGAATTTATCTTAGGTTCTCTCATGTGGGCATCAAGAGTGGGAAGAAGACAAAATGGAGAAAAACAATTCAGTCTACTGAAAAGAAAAAAACTTTCAGAAGAACATGATTCCAGAAGAGGAAAAAGATAAAGCTCTCTTAAATACATTTAACTTGGATATCTGTTTTTAATTAAGCTGATTTTAGCCATAGAGCTATTTTTTTCTAAAAAGAAATTCTTTTAAATCTTTTATTACCAGACTCTAGCTAGAACAGCCAATATTTCTGGCTTTTGAATTCTGCCATAGGTAATTTCCCACATGAAATTAATTAATAAGTTTTAACTAAGGTTAACTTAACTATGGATGCATAAGATATCTCAAAGAGACGGTAAGTAGTTTCTATTTTTACAAGATTTAGAATCTCCCCAAGGGTAGTTCAGGGAAAGGAAAATTCAAGACAGGAAATCAGAGGCTATCCATGGGCGAAAAAACCCTCAATAAATGGCAAAGTTACACAAATAACAAACCAGGAAGGAATGCTTCCGGAAGCCAAGAATTGAACCCTTGCCACAATTGTCAAAAGATAAAGCGTCAGCTACTGAGCTACACAGCATTGAGCAGTTTCTATTGCTCTTTCCAGAAGCCTAGAGCAGCCAATTTCAAGCATGAAAAGGCTTTTAACTGCTCAAGATAATTTTTAGGGCTAACTATAATGTGAACCCCCAAGTTTCTGTCCTCTAGATGGTGGAGACCAAGAGAAAATATCCCCACACAGTCCCAGGGTTAAGCTCTTAAGGACACAAAACAAGACGAAATTTCATTTGGTATTGGTTTCAGGGACACGCAACAAAGTTTGTAGCTGATTAGCCTGCTGGCCTGGCTTGAAAGCAGGGTTATACGGATCTCAAACCCACATTCTATCCTGTGATACCCCTGTCTCCATTACAGAAAGAAAAATTCTTAGCACAACGTGCATCAGATTTGCTACAGCCTAAGACTAGTCTCACAAATCCTTTTTTCTATCAATCAAACTCTTGCAGAGAAGACAAATAGTGACGTTTACCATTTATACACACACACACACACACAGAGTCAGAGAGAGAGAATAGAGAGAGAGAGTCAGAGAGAGATAGAGAGAGAGACACACACACACACACACAGAGGGAGAGAGAGAGAGAGAGAATGAGACGAGAAACTTGGCTGGTAAGAATTTCTTACCCTTTTTGCCAGCATACCAGGTTTCCAGGTTCCCTTTCTCTGTAGCTTCCAGAAGAATGGAGCAGCTTTTGATGACCCTGCTATCTGTGCCATAGCTGTGAGGGTCAAGCCACTTTACAAAAGAAAATTCTGTTTGATGAAGCCATGGAGAAAATATTCTCAATTTTGCAAGATGTTGCCCAATGGGCTACGTGGGGAAATGAATTAACATTTTCAATTCCAGCAAAATACACATAACAAAACAGATACTAGCCACCTCATTCAGCACCCAATATCAGCCTGGCAAAGCTCAAACTTTCTCCTTTTGGTCCCTGTTGTCTTTGATCCACTCCAAGTGAGAAGGGATGACCTCTGAATGGTAACTCACAATGGGTGGTCTCTGGGCAAGGCACAGAGCAAATAGTCACCCTGAGACAGGCCTGTTGAGCTTCCTTTAGGGCTCAACAAATGTGACCAGACCAATAAGGAGGGTTTTCTGAGTTAGGCCTGCTGAACTTCCATCAGCAAGTCCTTCTGAGGTCCCCTCCACATATATACACATATACAAAGACAAGACGGACAGAAGGCCTTCCAAATCAGATCCCTAACCAAGAACTCCAAGCGTATCCCTTCCAAACTATCCTGCTATTCTCTGTTTAAGAAATCTCCCCAAAACCTTCCTGAATAAGGAGAAGTCTCCCAAACCAAGACTTTACTAGTTAGGGAGAGCCAACCGAAACCCCCCAGGTTCTGAATTGAGACAGACATCCAGCAATGGGGCTACAGACAAAACGAGACCCCTGAAAGAGCCAAACCGAGACAGACACCCAGTAGCGGAGCTACAAACAGACACCCCACCATGGGGCTACAGACAGATACGCCACCATGGCGCTACAGAACCAGGAGAAGGAAGGAGGCACTGGCAGCACCTAGGATACTCACCAACCCAGACACACTGCAATGGGGCTACAGACACCCCACCATGGGGCTACAGTCAGACAACCTGTGATAGGGCTACAGTTATGGGAAATCTCCCCAGGACTATTTTTCCACTGCATTTAAATCCATACACATTGGGTCAGCAGTGCCCTGCTGGCAGAGATGGTACCAGAGTCAGCCTCTAGTCCAGGAGAACTAGGCGGCTGCTTGGGCTGGCCTCTGCTTGGGCTGGCCTCTAGATCTGTTGCCAGAGGGGAGACTATGGAACCATGGGCAGGTAGTCACAAGGACTATCCCAGACAAGCCCCCAAATTTGTAACCACCCAGTGGGTTCACATTGCCCGCTGCCTAGACAGAGCAGATTTATCAAGACGGGGGAATGCCAATGGCAATAGGAAATGAGTAATTCACACAGCCAGCTGTGGAGGAGACTGGAGTCTTATCGTCAGTCTCCATTATTTTAAAATAATGTTTAAAGTATTTAAGTGAAGATTGGTGGGATTTTGTTGGATATTAAATGATATACAATATTATATAATTTGCATTTTAGGATATTGACATATTATTTTGTAATCAGAGAAAAAATTAAAAATTATTATTGATTGTGCTGTATTGTTCAGAGTGGTAGTTCAAAGGATGAGTATTGGATTGATGAGAGAAATGCATCAGTATTTATAAGTAAACAATGCATCAGTATTTATAAGTAAACAAATGCAAGAACTGAATGAATTCATGGACACATTTAAAACTCTTCAGCTTGGAACCTGTGGAAAACAGAAAAAAATAAGAATGGGAGAACTGGGAATTATAAAGCAGCCCTTTCACTTTTTATTGGCTCGATTGTAGCCTCCCTTTTGAAATTTCAGTTTTGGTTATCAGTCTGTTCCAGTGCTATCTCTGCACAGCCCCATTATGTCCCAGACGCATACATCCCAGCAAAAGTGAATAGGGCTGTGCTACTAAGCTCTCTGCAGAAACAGCTCTTGCCCTGCTTGCCCACTGAGTTGTCATCACTTTGTTTTCCTCTCCGTATCTATTACGGATGGGCCCATTCCTTCTGCCCAACAGAAAGGGACAGGGAGTTCCACCGAAGCAGCAGGTGACAATTACACCGAATACAAACGAATTTACAAAAGCCACCAGGAGAATAATTTTCTTCCCATTTTCTAGTTCAGGTATCTTCCAGGCTTTGATGTCTATAGGTGGATCGGATGAGACAACAAAGACATTAAATAAATTATTACCTAACAAAATAATTTGTCTAAAGTCAGTGGGATATACTATAGGCTAAGCATTAAAACAGATCTAAAATTGTTTCTGAACATATTATTTGCTGAAGTTTAAACCACTTCCAAACTCCCCTCAGATTTGCCTTAAATTAAGTAATTGTACTGTATGTAGTTCCTCCTATAATTATAAATTACTTAATTTGTATGCTTTTCTTTTTCTTTTTTTTTTTTCAACTTCTAGTTTCAGGAGTACATGTGCAGGTTTGTTATATAGGTAAATTACATGTCACAGAGGCTTGGTGTACAGATCATTTTGTTAACCAGATAATAAGCATTATACCCAATAGGTAGCTCAGTGATCTTCACCCTTGTCCCAACCTCCGCTGTCAAGTAGGCCCTGGAGTCTGTGGTTCCCTTATTTGTGTCCACGTGTACTCAAATTAGCTCCCGCTTATAAGTGAGAACATGTGGTGTTTGGTTTTCTGTTCCTGCATTAGTTTGCTCAGGATAATGACCTCCAGCTCCTTCCATCTTGCTACAAAAGATGGGAACTTGTTTTTTTATGGCTGCGTAGTATTCCATGGTGTGTATGTACCATATTTCCTTTATCCAGTCTACCACTTATGCTCATCTAGGTTGATTCCGTATCTTTGCTCTTGTGAATAGTGCTGCAATGAACATACAAATGCATGTGTCTTTATGGTGAAACTATATATATATTCCTTTGGCTCTATACCCAGTAATGGGATTGCCGAATCAAGTGGTAATTCTGCTTTAAGTTCCTTGAGGATTTGCCAGACTGCTTTCCACAGTGGCTGAACTAATTTACATTCCCACTGGTAGTGTATAAGCATTCCATTTTTTCTCCACAACTTTACCAGCATTTGTTATTTTTTGACTTTTTAATAATAGCCATTCTGATGGGTGTGAGATGGTATCTCATTGTGGTTTTTATTTGCATTTCTTTAATTACTGGTGATATTGAGCATTTTTTTCACATGCTTTTTGGCCACATTTTCTTTTGAATAGTGTCTGTTCATGTCCTTTGCCTACTTTTTAATGGAGTTTTTGTTTTATGCTTGTTAATTTGTTTAAGTTCCTTACAGATGCCGGATATTAGACCTGTGTCTGATGCATAGTTTGCAAATATTTTCTCCCATTCTGTAGGTTGTCTGTTTACCCTGTTTATAGTTTGTTTTGCTTTCCAGAAGCTCTTAAGTTTAATTAGGTCCCATTTGTCAATTTTCATTTCTGTGGTATGCATTTATTTTTCATCAGAATGTCATTGGATGAAATGAGAATGCAATGGGAGTCCCATTGCTGATAAAACTGGAAAATGTTTGTGCGCTTAGTTCAGCCTGCACCCAAAACTTAACCTTTCTTGTTTACACTCCCAGTTTTGACTTATCTCATCTTTGTGGGTAGTTCCCTCTAAAATTTAGATTTGAAACACTGTACACTTTCTAACTTCAGACTCAATTTTTCAGGGATCCCTAGCAAAATTGCAATTGCTGAATGTCAAGACTACCAACTCATCCTTCTCTTGTCTTGAAGTTATTTCTTGCTTAGCTTAGATTGTATGGCCCACCATTTCATGACTGACTCTCCTGGAAATAGCCTGACTCTCCTGGAGAAGAAATAGCCCAACTTTTTTTTTTTGCTCCCTCCATTGTATTATTTGAAAACACCCAAATTCTGTTTGAATACAAATACCTGTCTCCTCTGTGAGAGTTTGAAACTTGTCAGAAAAAAATCCCTTAATAAAGTTATTGGTTTCACATTAAATATATCATCACAAACTTCAGATGTAAATTCAACACTATTCAGAAATCTTACTGTGTGATGTCATTAAGGTAAATGGGCCCATATCCACCAAGTTTCCCAAGATGGAATCGGAAGAATCATATTTGATTTCTACATTAATTTCTTCGTTTCTTCTTCACCAGTATATCTGCTTGACTGTTCTCCCCAAATTTGTCTACTCCCTTTCATTTCCTCTGCCACCAACCTGCTTCAGGCCATCTCTTGCCTGGATTAAATGACAGCCTTTCCCTGATTGCCCTGCTTCTGCTCTTGTTTCCATATCTCTCTGTGCTAAGGCCTTTTTGACTCACTTGACCTGAAATGATCACCGCATCAGGATTTCATATATGTCCTTTTGTATAATTACCAAAGGTTTCTGAATTTATGTGTTTTATATTTTATTTCTATCATCAAAATAGTAAAATCTAAAACTTAATTTAGAAATACATAATATATGCACATGGTTCAAATTTTAAAAGCTAAAAATGTTATTTATTAAAAGTAATTCATTCTCTGTATCAGTTAGTATTATTTTTGACTGCACATAATAGAAAGCCCAAATAGCAGTGGCTTAAACAAATTAGAATTTTCTTCTCCTTCGTGTAAAGGAAGTTCAGGGGTGGACATCTAGAGCCAAAATCAGATCATCACAAAGACATCAATGCCCCAGTTTATCTATTTCTGCTTTGTTATGTTCAGAAGATGGTGGGGCATATAATCTTCATTTCTCAGCTGAGTTAGTTCACATCAAAGAGTCTTCTTGGAGGCTCCACCACATGACATCAATTAACATCTGGAGTCTGGGAAGTGTCATATTTTTGCAGTATATGTGGGTACCCCAATAAAATCATGATGTTTGTTACTAAGGAATAATAGGGAATATTGAGTAAGCAGTTAGCAATCTCTAATATACTATTCTATTTCTGTCTTTCAAGCACACATTTGTCCTTCCCAGGGCCAATTATTACAAATTACTTGTGTCTCCTTCCAGAAGCAACTTGATTATACATAAGAATATGAGACTATATACACACATACTTATGTATTTTTATATATAGAGTATAAAAATATTTACATGTATTGGATGTATTTGTATCTATGGATACATACACTTATGAGTTCATTTGTGCAGCATTACAACATAATTTTGTGTGGCTTTCTATGCTCTGTTTGTTCTTCTCGCATCTCTGCTGAACAATATATCTTAGGAATTATGCAAATACATTTAGAGATACCTATTTTCTTTTAAAAATCACATAATTAGAATAAAATCTTGTTGAAGGCAGGAGCCATGCTTGTCTTATCACCATTGTATATAATGTCAAAGTTTGAAGAGCTTAGTACATAATTTCAGAGCTGGGATTCAAATTTGCATTCAAATTGAATGACTTTATTCCTATGCTTATCCACAACCTCAATATAATAAACAAGGTTGGTAGATTTGTCTGTATTCAACTCTTTTCACATTCCTTAGGAGATAAATATATTTGTTAGTTTAGAAAAGTTAATAGTTTACTGAACTTGATTTTCTAAAATCTTGTTTAGAATTGCAATACGTATAGTCATATTCATCAGTGTAAGTGGAGACTAGAGAGGAGTCATTTAGAAAACAGACATTAGATCAGGTAGAGGAGGTTTAAATGTGGCTGGCTATGTGATTTGGGGCAAGGCTTTCTCTGTCTCTCCCCTACACAGTGGGGATAATAGTTTCTAACCTGAAGAGTTGCTTTTTCATATCTAAGGGAGATGATTGAATGAGAAAAAAGTACATAAAACTTCAGTAATTTAGGTCACTCAGAAAGCACTCAAAACATTGGAGTTATTATAAAGGAGTTGCTCTATAATCTCTTTTTCTGTATTTTCATCCATGTCTGTGTGTCAGACTTACATACCAGATTCCTGGATTCTGGGTTCTAGAGAATTTATTATCTTAGTTTCAAACCACTTCATCCCTCACACCCCCACTTCCTACCTGTTGGAGCACAATAAGACGGGTTTCCCCAGGGACACAGTTCCTCCTCCTCCAAGTCTCTGCTTCCCAAGCCATGTTTTCCCAACTGTGTCTAAGAAGACGGGTAAGAGAGGGTAAAGAGTTCATAAAACCCTCATGATTTATTCACCAAAATCCTAGCATGGCCACCCCTGCAGCAGTTACAACACTAAGAGCTCGTTCTTTTGCATCCTCTGTAAGTCCCAGGGCCAAGGGAGGGGAGCCTAGGCTATATTGGACCTAGATAGGAAGAGTGACCAGGAGGATACGAGGCAGGCAGGGATCCTTTCCTTATAGGCAGAGAGGTGGGAAGTGTGGCAACTCGATGCATTTTGATCCTGAACACTTCAGTAAACAGCCTCGTAGATTGTATTTCTTCCTTCTGCCTTCAGATAAGAGGGTTTGATTTTCTTACTTGGGTAGGGTATGTAGTGCAAGTGAAAGATTGGGCTTCATCTTGCCTGACCAGGAACAGAAGGTCTATAGATCCCACAATGGGATAAAGGGTATAGAGATAGAGCAGAGCCAGGCATGCTGGGTCAATTATGTCACTGGTCACCTGGATCATGGGTTCAAAGAAAGTATTGATGAAGAAGCTGGTCAATATTTCCCTGAATTCTGTCTCAGAAGAGCAGTTTAAAATAGAAAAATATAACTTTCTTTAGACTGTTAGAACATTCTTCATATTTAATCAAGATCATTTTTTCTGTGATTTCTCTCTAGTGGTCCTTATTTTGCCCTTTTCCCCTAATAGCCATTCATAAATGTTAATGTTATCATTGATATTCTTGTTTTCTGGAGGCCACACACATACAATGTAAAAATGACCCTCCTCCTTCAGTAGAGAGCAATGCCTCTTATCATCCTGTGACTATATGACTGTGTCTCAGTTTGCCAAAAAACTTTTTAATGCATAGTGCCCTGTATTGGATAGTCCACTCCAGATGTACTAATTGGAACCGGATTGAGAAAGATTCTCAACTACTTTGCTCTTGGCATTGTACTTCTGACATTAAATTAATACACATCAAATACTCAGAAGAATGTCTGGTACATACTAGATACTTGGTTCATGTTGGTTAATATTGCCAATCCAGTTTTAGAAACAATAAATTAGTTTTTACTCTATGGACCACATTATTGACTTATGTTTATATACGTACTTCCACTTGCTGGAACATCTAGGAATCTGTTCCCTTTTCTTTTCCTCCTGTTCCAGACTTTCTCACTCGTCCACACCCATTTTCCAATGTTCAGTAGTGAAGAAATGGACTTTAACAGAGTTAGAGCCTAGGTGATAACACTGGATGGGTGGAGGCAAGTGTCCTGGGCTCATTCAGGCAGTAGAGCTTTGACTCTTCATGAGTAAAAGGCTAATGTGTGATGACTGGAAGCAGATAGGAGGATTGATCCACAAATGTCATCTGAGGAGCATGAAGAGATATGAAGATTATGTCAAACAATGCTAGAAAAGGACAGAGCATTAAGGGGGATGTACCTCAGGGATGGTAAAATAGAATGTTGGGGGATGAGGTTCAAACAGAGGGAAGACTCACATAGGAAGATGAGATTTCTGTTTGGATAAATTGGTAATGATTTTGACAGGATGAAATTCAAAACAATTCTTACCAACATTAGGAGCAAGTGGATCATTTTATGTTTATATTAGGAAAAGGAGAAGACCCATTAAGTCAGAAACCTAGCACAGGGCTTTTTCATCAAGTAAGTGGGTGAATCTTGGGGGGCACCTGTGAGCAGTGGCATAAATAGATCCCTGAGTTCCATCATGTATTCTGTGCCATGCCCCGCTTCCCTCTAGTCCACCAGACAACCCCCCTGTGGCTACCCTTTACAACACTGATCAGAACTGCCCCTCAGCCCACTGAAACTGTGGTTAATTCTCCTTTCTCATTCTTCCTCCTTAAAATTTTCTATCTATGTTAAACACCAGGGCCAGTAATGCCAAAATATTTTTCAGTGGGCTTTTATTAAGAATCTATGGGGTGTTAGAGAATGTAGTATGTACAAATGGAAAAGTACCCTTTATCTGCCCTCTATTTCACAGCAGAGTGGAGGGAGATAGAGAGGTACAAAAACAACATGCTAAGGTTTACAGATAAAATTTATTAATAGTAGAAGTGGCTTCCTCAGTGAAGTAGCTACCTCAATTATCTTACTTTCCTTCTGAATATTTACTCTTTCCCTGAACATATAAACATACCACAGTATCTTTCATTTCCGCCTTGCTTTTTCTTCTATTATAAGTTTGAAATGGACTTTAGCTACACAGTCAACTTTCCCCATCTACACTTCCTCACTTACTAGTTCTCCAGCTCCCTTCATTCTGGTTTCTGTTGCTACCAGTCAAATGAATCTCTCTTGGCCAGGTTACCAATGACACACCCTTATTATAATATTTAATGAATATTCACTGTCCTTATGTTATTGAACTTCTACTTGACTAACAAGTTAGTAAAACCCTTCTTGAAATTTTCCCCTTGGTTTTTTCTGGGGCATCTTATTCTTAAGATTTTCTTTATACCTTTCTAGCCCTTCCATTTATGTCTCCCTTTTCTTTTTCCACCCCTTCAATGTTACTATTTTCTAGGGTTCCAATCTTAGCCTTGTGCTATTCCAACTCTACAGGCTATGTTCTAATGCTTTCTGAATTTATGTCCTAAACTACGATCCTTCTAATTTTCTCAAACTCTTCAGTTTGAAACAGCCGAAAACAAATCTATGTGTGGCGATTATAAACACCTCGTTCTTGACATATCCCAGTACACACTAATCTTACTCATTTAGCTGTATTTTACATCTTGGTGATGCAACTTATTTACTCAAGCTAGTAAACCGGGGGTCACTCTGGGCTTCTCACCTATTTTCTCCTTTAAAACAAATCTGTCAATAAGTTCTGTCTATATGACTTCTGGAAGATTCACCTTCTTCCCATCCTCAGTGCCTCAGCCTTTGTTCAGTTGCACGTCACTTCTCACCTTGGCTATTGCGGCCGCCATTCTTTCTATTTCTGCTCTCTTGCCTTACCCAAGTTCATGCATAATAATGTGTCCAGAGTGATCTTTCTGTACGTACCCTAAATCTGGTCATGTCTCTCTTCTAATGGAAATATTTTTTTCCATTTCTTTTCATCCATATGACTAGTTCTAAAATCTTCAGCATAGAAAATGTACTTAAGATCTGGCTTTTTCTTTTATCAACTCCATTTTTGGCTCTTTCTTTCAACTCCTCATCCTTTTGGCTCCAGTCAGATTAAATATTGCATAGAATTTCCTTCCAAAGTTATTCTCAGACTCATCTCCATGCTTTCACATAATCCATTTTTTATATCTTCAATACACTACACAGATTTAATGCATGTAAATCCTCCACATCTATTGAAATAAAACTCAGCTAAGTTGTTAGCAGCTTTAGGAAAGCTTCTCTTTTCCTCTAGGGTTGAGTTCAGAAATTTTCCTTTGTGCCTTCCTATTATTCTGCTCATATGTCTAATTAACTCACTCTACAAATATTTTTAGCCATTTCATGTCAAGCACTGGGCTAATTGATGTTATTTTCATGGCATGAAATGTCTAATTGGGCATTGGAAGAAGGAGTATGTAAGCAACTTATCATATAAATGTATAACTACAGATGATGAGGATGGTTCAAAGTACTACAGAAACATAAAATAGGAGGACTTGATCTTGTGTAAAGGGGGTTAGAACAAACCTCTCAGAGAAGAGAGTATTTGAATTGAGATGTAAAGGATGAGGAGAAAGTAAGTGTTGTGTAGAAGCATAAGATGCACAGCCTTCCAAGAGAAGTGGGATCAGAAAGCTCATGTAACGTTCGAAGATCTGAAAGGACGGTGTGGCTGAAGCTCAGGGAGCAAGGGAGATGGGGTGTTAGATGGAACTGGAAAATGAGGAAGGAGGTAGATAATATATGGCATTGCCTGCTTTCCTTCCTCCCCTCCCTCCCTTCCTCCTTCCTTTTCCTTCCTTCCTTCCTTTCATAATGTAGTCAGTTAACTATGTGTACCTAGCAATCTATCTATACCCTGTTTATATAGTGATGATAAAAGAAAAACCACACATGGTTTCTTCCCTCATGAACTTATGGTCTCATGAAGTTCAAGTAAAAAATTTCCTTTTTATAATATTAGCAATGAGAAGCCACTGAAATATTTTAATCAGATGACTGGTAATATTTATATTTAAAAACATTTCCTTGATTTCAATGTAGAGAATGGTTTATAAAGAAACCTAGACTGCATTAGGAGGCAATATTTACTTTTTACTCGAGGTAATAGTACTTGGATGGTGAGAGTGGATATGGAGAAGTGGATGGATTCCAGGGCTAATTAAAAGGGAAAATGACATGTCTTAGTGGTTTCATCATGTACTTCGTATCATTTTCAATGGGTAGAATAAATGTTCAAGACATTTTCTGGGCGCTGGCTTCTAAAACTGACAAATATTTACACCAGTCACTGAGATGCTGGCAAAAGACCAGGTTTTTAAATTTTGGACTTGGTGAGCTTTGAATATCTTTGGGAAACCCAGGTTGATACATAAAGTAGGCTTCTGGAGAGGTCTAAGTAAGAAACATAATTCAGTAATTTAGTAATAGAGATGGTAATTGTCTAATGACATAGACAAGATAAAAGAAGTGGAAGAAGGGAAAACAGAATATCAGAGAGGAAAGAAGAAAAGCGAAGAAAATGTAGGACTGAAGCTTTAAACTGACGTCAAGGTAGTGGATGATGGATGTGTTCGAGAAAATGAGAGGGAGTGACCAGGAGGTACAAGGTAAACTAGAAGTCTGTGATATATGAATTAGGCCAAAGAGAGTGTTTCAAGGAAGAGGATTTGATCAACTGTTTCAACAAGATTTAACAATAGGGAAGCTGTAGGTGATTTCTGAGAGCTATTTTGTGGAACTAATGGAGATGGAAGCCAAATTGAAGTGAGTTGTGGAATGGATGTAAGGTGAGGGAATGGAGACAGTGAGTGTAAATGCTTGTGAGAGGTTTGTGCATGAAGGGAAGGGGAGAGTTAGAGAAAGAGCCAGAATTCAAAGCTGGGAGAGATGGGATCAATTCTTGAAGATGGACAGATTATTTATTTTAATGAAAGGAAACAAGAAAAGGATGAGAGTATATACACATTATTTATAAGTCTTACAAAATTTTATATAAATTTATAGGATCAAAGTGCAATTTTGTTCCATGCATAGATTGTATAGTAGTTAAGTCAGGGCTTTTAGGGTATCCATCACCTGAATGATGTACATTATTCTCATTAAGTAATTTCTCATTATCCACCCCCTCTCACCCGCCTCACCCTTCTGAGTCTCCATTGTCAATCATTTCACTCTCTACATCTATATGTACACATTTTGAACACATACTTATGAGTGAGAACATGCAATATTTGTCTTTTTGTGTCTGGCTTGTTTCATTTAAGATAATGGCCTCCAGTTCTATCTACGTTGCTGCAAAAGACATGATTTCATTCTTCTTAATAGCTGAGTAGTATTCCATTGTGTGTATGCCATATTTTCTTTATCCTATCATCTGTTGTTGAACTCTTGGGTTGATTCCATATCTTTGCTATTGTGTATAGTGCTGTGATAAACATACCAGTACAATTATCTTTTTGATATATCGTTTTCTTTTCTTTTAGGTAGATACCTAGTAGTAGGACTTTTGGATGTAAGGGTAGTTCTATTTTTATCTCTTTCAGGAATTTCCATACTGTTTTCCTTTGAGGCTGTACTAATTTACATTCCCACCAATTGCATATAAAAGTTCCCTTATACATGTTGGCATCCTTGCAAATATCTGTTATTTTTTGTATTTTTGATAATAGCCATTCTGACTAGGGTAATATGTATCTCACTATGATTTTAGATTTGTAGATTTTATTTTGAAAAGTTGAGGAAAATTTTACTGATTACTTTCTACTTTCTCCATGACGTGGTATTTGATGTCACCTTCTGAAAGAAGTAGAGTTTCAGGTTTGAAAAAAATGAAGACATTTGGGAAATAATTTTTTCTAGAGGAGAAAGTTGATTAGGGAAGATTTGTAGGGTGCAATATTTATTGAAGGCACATTTAAGGTTAATGATCACAAATTTATAGTAAAACTAGCCTCTTCTTTCCTTTTTTTTTTTTCAGTTTTATTCCAGGAGCACTAGGATGTTCAGGCTCAGGTTGTGGGAAATGAATAGTTATATTCATATAGATTGAAGTTTTAGCAAAGGGATGACTTAATCAAATTTATATTCTATTTTCTTCTAGTATACCATGAGTTTGGGTAAGAGATGTAACAAAAATATCCATCTCAAATTATATTGGTGTATAGTAGAAAGCAAAGACCTAATTAAAGCTATTTTTCTCCAAAATGATTTATTAAAAAACTTATCATCTACCATTGCTTTTCTTACACTGGTAACATACTGGCCTAATTTGTTGCGTGTTTGTAATATGTTTTAACATATAGTGAGGTTACTGCCTGTCACTACCCTTTTTTTTTTTAAACTTCATAGGTTTTTCATTCATTCATTTTTCTTCATAGACCACACCATTATTTATCAAGTCTCACAATTCTACCTTTAGAATATTGGCTGAAATTTGCCTTACTTGGCAAAAGTGAACTACCTATCATTGGCTTCCTAAAGAGTAAGTGAAAGGGATACTTTTCAAAGCAATTTGTAAAAATAACCTCTTGTATCTGCCCATAAACATAGTCATCAGAAGCCTACTCAGCTCATGATTCAGCCTATGGCGTCACCCAGCAACAGCTCCACTGTCCCAGTCTCTGAATTCCTCCTCATCTGCTTCCCCAACTTCCAGAGTTGGCAGCACTGGCTCTCCCTGCCCCTCAGCCTTCTCTTCCTCCTGGCCATGGGAGCTAACACCACCCTCCTGATCACCATCCAGCTGGAGGCCTCTCTGCACCAGCCCCTGTACTACCTGCTCAGCCTCCTCTCCCTGCTGGACATCGTGCTCTGCCTCACCGTCATCCCCAAGGTCCTGGCCATCTTCTGGTATGATCTTAGGTCGATCAGCTTCCCTGCCTGCTTCCTCCAGATGTTCATCATGAACAGTTTCCTCCCCATGGAGTCCTGCACGTTTATGGTCATGGCCTATGACCGTTATGTGGCCATCTGCCACCCACTGCGGTACCCATCCATCATCACTAATCAATTTGTGGCCAAAGCTAGTGTCTTCATTGTGGTGCGGAATGCGCTTCTTACTGCACCCATTCCTATCCTCACTTCCCTGCTCCATTACTGTGGGGAAAATGTCATTGAGAACTGCATCTGTGCCAACTTGTCTGTGTCCAGGCTCTCCTGTGATAATTTCACCCTTAACAGAATCTACCAATTTGTGGCTGGTTGGACCTTGCTGGGCTCAGATTTATTCCTCATCTTCCTCTCTTACACCTTCATTCTAAGAGCTGTGCTTAGATTCAAAGCAGAGGGGGCGGCAGTGAAGGCCCTGAGCACATGTGGCTCCCACTTCATCCTCATTCTTTTCTTCAGCACCATACTGCTGGTTGTGGTGTTGACAAACGTGGCCAGAAAGAAGGTCCCCATGGACATCCTGATCCTGCTGAACGTCCTTCATCACCTTATTCCTCCTGCATTGAACCCTATTGTGTATGGGGTTCGGACCAAAGAGATAAAACAGGGAATTCAGAAGTTACTGCAGAGAGGGAGGTGAATATGTAAAGCATTTCTAATACCTCCTGTTCTTCCTCTTCAGTGATTTTACCTAGGCAGCGAAGTAGAGAAATGTCAGTTAGTGAGTGTTTATTGCATGCACTGAGGCTCCCTTCATTACTGAACCAGATTCCTTCCTTTACTTTCCTTGCCTAGTTCAGGTGGAGGTAGGCAAGGGGAAGAAACTCGTATTTATTGAGTGGCTGCTTTGAACCTTGGCAGTTACATTTAAGTAATTTAATCTTCAACACATCTCTGCAGGCATTGTTACTTTCATTTCACATAGTAGAAAAAGAGATGCTTTTAGGAAGGGAAATGACCAAAGATCACATATGTGGGAAGCAAAAACAATAAAACCTAGGCTCTTTCTACATAGTTGAAATGCCTCATCAATTGCAATTGAAGCTCAAGACCAGCCTTTGCTTTCCTTTGACCTGTATTTTGTCTTTCTGGATGTCGACAGGTATTTTCTGCCTATTCTTACTTCTTTGAGACCAAAGGGACTTCTCAGAGAAGGCAGAGTCTTGCTTGACAAAACTTCTGCTGGGCAAGAAGAAAAGAACTTTATAACAATATAAAGCAATGTCAGCTTTCTATTCTATCCTATACAGCCTCATCACCTTAGAGAGAGTCTTGAAAGTGAGGATGGATGCAGACAGGTAGAGGGGACCCTAAGAGAGTAGGAAACAGGAAAGCTGACTAGGACATTGTGTTGGCCACTTTCCCTATATGTTTAAGCTACACATTCAGTGAACTGAATATCAAGTCTTACTTGATCTGTTGACTGCCCAAGTGCTGTAGTTGAATGTGGAAAGATATGTCATAGTGTCAGGTTTCTGGATAATAATGGTTCCAGTTAGGTGAAAAAAAACCTTACACTGGTTATTTACAGATAATTTAATGTAAACAATTGTTTAAGTGGGTATTGGAGACAATGATGAAAAAAAGGAGGTTCAAGTAACAGATAAACAGTATCTATGGGAAGAAACCTCCACTTGGAAAGAGGTTGGGTCATTAGAACCTAAAAGGCTAGGAAGTGGCCCATAGAACTGGATCTCAGATATCTGAGGAAGGATGCTGTCCCTAATTGGTACTTATGCCATAGGACCTCAGAGGATGTGGCCCTCAGAGCTGGGACTAAAACCTTTGAGGATGGGACACTACCTTGATGGTGCTGGTATTTTTGAGAGAGTTCAATAAGGCTGGGAGTTAAACAAAAACCAAAACCAATCAACCAACCAACCAATCTGGAGACTAGAATCAATTCCACTTCCAAGATAAAGAGTTGCTGCTAAGGAATACTGACAAGACAGGAACAGACAGAAAGAGCAAGTGTCCCTCTCCATGTTTCAACCTTCTAATGTTTCTGTTGCTCTCTGTAGGTAGAAACTCAGAGAGAGACAGCTGGCAAAGAAGGGTTTGACTCCCAGTGCCAGCATGACAGAGTACAGTATGGACGGCAGGCTTGGGACTGAGAGATAAGTGTTAGTAACTGGCGCAGCTCCAATCTTATGTGGGTCTGAAAGCTTGTGACTACTGAGGAGCACCTATAACATCACCCTGCAGTGCACTGTTCCTACCAGGGAATTAGAGTCAGAATCAAGTCCCCTAGTGCAGGTGGGTGGAGAAACATGACATCATGTTTAGAGGCAGCATTCATAGCTATGAAGGAATTGACATGAAGCTGGTAAGAGGAGTAAGATCAACTGCCCCACATTGTGGGGATTAGATAAAGTAACTGTAACCCAATGCTGGTGTGGGCTCTAGGAGGAGAGTTTCTTCCAGTCACTCAACAACAGTAGGAAAGAAAAATTATACCCATTGGCTTACAGGAAGGGGCTCTTAGTACCTTCAGGCTTGGCTCTCATTGTCTCAAGCCAGAGCCACAGGTTCAACTCAGTATTTGTCATATTTTAAGCACAGAATTCTCTAATAGAACTTCTCTCCATTTCACAGTTGCTAAGAGAGTTTTATCTCTCACTGTTTTCCTATTGTCCCTTAGATGATATAAAGGCCAACTTCACCACTGATTTTCTAAAATAATACTTATAATGAAAATCCAAGTTCATGTGTTTTGAGCACTTGCAATATACCAATGTCTATGAATAATAATATTTAATTTTCATAAGAGCCTTCTATACGTGATCATAAAAGTGAGTTTTTAAAAAGGAATCTAATAGGATATAATTCATAGGAATATAATACATCTGTAATCAGGTGATATTTTCAAGCATTTGGTCAACTCCATTCGTCTTTCCAGGAGTGCTTTCCCTGCATCTGCCATGATTTCACCCGGAAGCAAGCCCAGAATGAACTCAAAGAGGAGTCTATGTTATTTGGCCAAAACTCAGATCTTAATTCCCGAACCAGACTTCTGTAGATCAATGCAAATGGCCAACACAATTATGAGATGCTTGACTCAAACTGGGTGTACATAGGGATAGAAACTACCAACTTTGTTGTAGGGATTTGTAAAGGATGGAGGGACCAAGACAGCAGTGGGACAACAGTGATCACCCCTCACAGTAACTAGCACAGCTCTCACATATTGAGGGGCTCAGTAAACATTTCCTTACTTATGATATTGAATTGGCTAAAAGAAGAGTTGAAAAATCATGTCTATCTTTAATCTCTAGTTCCCCAGTAGTAGAGTCCTAAACGTAACAAATGGATAAACCACATACTTGAAAAGTTGGCTCTCTGCTCTGGTTCTAAGTATAGAGGTTTAGAGGACCACAGATTTCTCACAAAATTGTCAAGCTCACTGCAAGTGGTAAAATAACTGGTCTCAAGGGTCCTAGATAGGCTTTGAAGTAAATCCTCATACAGATGATAAAGGAGCAAGATAACCAAAGAATCAGACCATGAAGGGCAGACCCAACTCTGCTGTGAAGTTCCCATAGCAAAATGTTAAAACATGTCCTCTCTGTAAAGGTTTTCAAGCACTGTCTTGAGTGGATATAATGAAGTAGTATAAATTAAAGGCATTTTAAATGGATGGGGTACCAATGTTTTGTCAGTTTTTCAAAACTGAGGAAGTCTATGAAGATTTGCTTTGCTGATACAACCTGAATATGTTCCAACTGCATTGGAAGAGGGTGCATTCAGAACATGAGAAGAGAGACAGGAGTAGCTTTCCAAAGGTCACTCCCCTCACTCCCTGGTTTGCAGGTTAGTCATATTTGTGTGAGGAACACAGCCTCTTGAGCAGGAAGATCTGATATCATTGCACATTGCTATTCAATACCATAGCTGACTTAAATCAAGGCCAGTGGAAAGAAAGAATAGCAAGTCCTCTGGAATTAAGGTGGAAAAAGAAGGGACCCTATGTTGGTAGCCAAAGCTCAAAACAAACACCTAAGTATTGTTGAGGGAACAATACTACACTTTCCATTTATCACAGAAAGCTTTTTAGTGCCTAGCCATCCTGATACTTTATTATGCTTTGGTGTATATTCTAGGCAGTGAGAGTTCTGAGACATCAGAGAAAGTTTATAGCATCAAGACTGCAACTGTAGAACTTAAACAGCAACGTCTGAAGTTAAGCAAACTCTTCATAGTTGGCAAGTCAACATTGCCCCTTTGTGGCTATTTGTGGGAATAACGGTACTGTATTGAATGCCAGTTCTCAGTCTCAGGTGTTTGAAAGAGAACGTGACAAGTCCGTTTAGAAAACTCCTGTACTTCCTGCTCATAGGGCACATAGGGACTTGAGTGATTAATTTAACAAATAAAAGAGACATACCAATTTATACCATGATTTTCTTTTCTTCAGCAACATTTAAAAGTCAATACCAAATCACTGACATGAGTCAGGTATTCATAAGAATAGTGAATATCCTTAGTGTTTCATAACATATTACACTATCAGCATTTGGCTGAGTACTGTATATAATAACAACATTTCTGCACCTATTCAACCAAAAATTAGTTATTGAGTTCTTTACGTGTGATTAGCACTCTGAACATACAGGAAAACTAAGTTTTAGAGAGATTATGGTCAAAATAGCCCATGAATTATAATTCCCATTTTTGCAGATGAGGCAACTGAGCAAAATGATAAATTATACATAGTCATTTAATCAATAGGGACCAGAGTTAAAATTGAGAAGTAAGGCATTTTGCTACATAAACCCATTTTTGCTTCTTCAGAGTCTAGGGATTGAGGTATATTTTTAATCTTTCACTGGATAGCTTTGTAGTTTCCTAAGTTTTTCATACTCCAGATTATAGATATCAAAGGCAGAGTACACTAAAAACCCACACGCATTGAATTAGTCAATGCAATTAAAGTTAGCTACTGTAACAATGATAGCACAGTGGCCTAACACAATAAAATTTACTTCTCACCCACACCTCATTCCAATGCATGAGGGCTTTGCTCCACATCAACATTTAGGGACCCATGCTTTTTTTATTATGTGGATCCTCCATGTTCTGGGCTCTTAGAGACCTTCACTGGTGCTTCTGAATCTGGGTGGCAAGCCAGAAAGAGAAAGAATATGCAGGATTTTGTAAGCTTTAGGGCCCCAAACTAGGAGACACATCACTTTCTCTATCATTTCATCGGCCAGACTCCTCACATAGATCCAGCTGCTTGCAAAAGAGCCTTGATCATAAATTTTCATTTCTCTTTTTCCTACATAGACAATAGGCTTACCTCCTTATCAAGGGAGACCACCCAAGCTCTCATCTGATTACTCTATGCAGCAAAAAATCCAAGACCTACAGATGTGTGTGGCCTTCTCCATCAGATCCCATTGTGATTTCTCTTTCACCAGTGATATTCTGTCTCTCTATTAATGGCGGAGCAGATGATTTCCAACTGGAAATGAAGTGTAGAATTCAGTTAGCAGTAACTTAATAGTAATGCGAGAATGCTTTAGGAGCAGATATTGCAATATTTTTACTTACTGAGAGGGGGACAAGTTTCTTGACTAGACATTGTTTGCGTTCTCTAGGAGGAACTCTCCTGATCATTGTTTTCAATGTCCTGATCATTGCTTTTTATTGTTTTTTTAATGCCATCTGCCTTTGGGGGTTTGTGCCTTTATTAATGTTCCCATTATCCTAAATGTGCCTTTATTAATGTTCCCATTATCCTAAATGAAGCAGGCATCGAACAATGTGACTTCTTTTGGAGTGACACTGCATTTGAACCTACTTTCTACTTATAAAATATTAGTATCAGTACTTTAAATAATTTTTTATTTAATTATTCATTTTAAAATTGATACATAATAATTATACATATTTATGAAGTTACATACAACGTGTAGTGAGCAGATCAGGGTAATTAGCATATCCATCATCTCAAACATTTATCATTACTTTGTGTTGGGTATATTCAATATTCTTTCTTCTAGCTATTTGAAAATATACAATATATTGTTGACTATTATCATCCTTTAGTTCTGTAAAACACTAGTACTTGTTTCTCCTTTCTAATTGTAATTTGTGTAGGATCAATACATTTTTTAAATTCTAAAGCAAAAACTTTCTTCAAAAGTCAAGTTCATGTTTCTTTGGCAATAAACCCCCTCGAAGGCCTAATAGGTTTTTGATCTATCTGTATCAGGTCAGTTCAATGTGCTAGTGATCACACTCAAAGGATTTTCTTAGGCATAATTTCCATTACTTTTCTTTTCTATATTGTCTTCTCCCTTTCTCCATGCCACTCTTTTTCTACTTAATGATGTTTATTTTAAGGCTGTCAGACTTGAGAAGGACTGCTATACACATCATCTAACTTTTTCTCAGGCTGGATTTCTGTGAGTCTTCTTTACTCAAAGAAATTCTAAAATTTTCTCTTAACTTTTGACCTCCAAAATGGGCAAAAGATGGAAGCATTCCCCTATAAAACTGGCACAAGGCAAAGATGCCTTCTCTCACCACTTCTGTTCAACATAGTATTAGAAGTCCTAGCCAGAGCAATCAGGCAAGAGAAAGAAATAAAGGCCATCCAAATAAGAAGACATGAAGTCAAACTGTCTCTGTTTGCAGATGACATGATTCTATATATAGAAAACCCCACAGTCTAGGCCCAAAACCTCCTCCAGCTGATAAACGTTAGTAAAGTTGCAGGATACAAAATTAATGTACAAAAATCACTAGCATTCCTACATAACAACAACAGCCAAACTGAGATTCAAATTAGAAAGGCAATCCCATTCACAGCTGCCACACAAAAAATAAAATACCAAGGAATACAGCTACTCAGGGAGGTGAAAGATCTCTACAGTGAGAATTACCAAACACTGCTCAAAGAAATCAGAGGAGATACAAACTAATGGACAGACATCCCGTGCTCATGGATAGGAAGAATCAGTACCATTAAAATCACTACACTGCCCAAAAGCAATTTACAGATTCAATGCTATTCCAGTCAAACTACCAATGACATTCTTTACAGAACTAGAAAAAACTATTTTAAAATTCATATGAAACCAAAAAAGAGCCTGAATAGCCAAAGAAATTCAGTTCCTAGTTTAGGACTGTTCAAACATATACTTGAAATCTGCCTTGACATTCTGCTATGATTATGTTAAGATCCTGGTATTTGATTGGAAACAATGTATTTTCTGCTTAGCTTTTGAGTTTATGCAGAATTCTTGTGGTCTGTCAAGAGATGCCGTTGTTAGTATGTGGTGGGGGAGGAGAGATACCTGAGTCAATACTCTTGGAAAAAATAAACCTTGATACATTTTCTGAAAAAGTCACTAGAGCTCTTACATTTACCAGGATGCTTATAATAGAATTAAGACTGTGTCCTATTTAAGAAAGAGGTTGAGAGACTTTCCTTAAACCTATGCTTATCCCTGGAAAAGTAAATGCTGGTTTGCCTGTGGATAGAGCCAAGAGAGGGATCAAGGTCTCATTTTTACTTGAATTCACAGAGTGACTGACGAATTGAATACTGTGCCTAAATGCTTTTGAGAAAAAGCCTTCTGACATTCACTTTTGGCTTAATGAGAACTTGAATTTTAAGTTTAGAAGTCAGGTTTAGTATCTTAGTTATGCTGTTGCCTGACATATTGTCTTTTTAAATTGGAAAGACAATTGGGAGGCAATTTAATTATGGGGGTGGGTCTTTCCTGCACCCATAATTCTCATGATAGTGAATGAATCTCATAAGATCTGATGGTTTAAAAAAACTAGAGTTTCCCTGCACAAGCTCCTCTCTTTTCCTCCCACCACCCATGCAAGATGTAAGTTGCTCCTTCTTGTCTTCTGCCATGATTGTGAGGCTTCCCCAGCCATGTGGAACTGTAAGTCCAATTAAACCTATTTCTTTTGTAAATTGCCCAGTTTCAGATAAGTCTTTATCAGCAGCATGAGAAAACGGACTAATACATGATGTATCACATTTATTGATTTGCATGCGTTGAACCATTTTTGCATTCCTGGGATAAATCCCACTTGGTTATGATGTATTATCTTTTTGATGGGTTGGTGGATTTGATTTGCTAGTATTTTGCAGAGGATTTTTATATCTATGTTCATCAAGAATATTGGCTTGTAGTTTTTTTTTTCTGTCGTGTTGTTGTTTTTGGTGTCAAGGTAGTAGTAGCCTTGAGGAATGAGTTAGGAATAATTCCCTCCTCTTTAATTTTTTGGAGTAGTTTTAGAAGAATTGGTGTTATTTCTTCTTTACAAATTTGGTAGTATAAGGCAGTAAAACTTTGTGTCCCTGTGCTTTTTTTTGTTGGCAGGCTTTTTATTACTGATTCAATCTCATTACTCACTAGTGGTATTTTCAGGTTTTCTATTTCTTCCTTGTTCAATCTCATTAGGTTGTATATGTCCAGGAATTTGTCCATTTCCTCTAGGTTTTCTAGTTTGTTAGTATATAGTTCCCAATAGTCACTGATAATATTTTGTATTTCTATGGTATCAGTTGTAATATCTTCTTTTTTGTTTCTGATTTTATTTGCATCTTCTCTCTTTTTCTTTTGATTAGTCTAGCTAGAGGTTTATCAATTTTGTTTATCTTTTCCAAAAATCAAATTTTCACTTTATTTTTTGTCTTTTTGAGGCTTTTTAAAGTTCTATTCTGATTTTTATTGTTTTCTTTTACAAATTTTGGATTTTGCATGTTTTTGCTACTCTAATTTCTTGAGGTGCATTATTAGGTTGTTTACATGAAATCTTTCTACTTTTTTGATATAGGCATTTACTGCTATAAACTTTTCTCCTAGCACTGCTTTTGCTGTATTCCATAGTTTTTGGTATATTGTGTTTTCATTTTTATTTGTTTCAATAATTTTAAAAATTTTATTCTCAATTTCTTCATTAACTCAATGATCATTTAGGAGCTTGTTTAATTTCCATTTATTTGTACAGTTTCCAAAGTTTTAGTTTTATTCTACTGTGATCTGAGAAGATTTAAAAAATTTGTTGAGATTTGTTTTGTGGCCCAATACATATTCTATTTTGGACAATGTTCTTTGTGCTGATGAGATGAATGTATATTCTACAGCTGTCGGATAAAATGTTTTGTGTTATTTCAATTTAGTCTAAAGTGCATTTGAACTCAATTTTTCTTTGTTGACTTTCTGTCTAGATAATCTGCCTAATGCTGAGAGTTGGGCGTTGGCGTCTCTGCCTATTATTGTATTGGTGTGTATCCCTCCCTTTCAACCTAATAATAATTACTTTATATATCTGGGTGCTACAGTGTTGAGTGCATATATATATATATATATATACACACACACACACATAATTGTTATATTTGCTTGCTGAATTGATCCCTTTGTCATCATATAATGACCTTCTCTGTCTCTTTTTACTATAATATTTATGACTTAAAATCTGTTTAATCTGACATAAGTATAGTTACTCCCGTCCACCTTTGGTTTCAATTTGCATGAAATATCTTTTTCTATCTCTCCACTTTCAGTCTATATTTATTGTATAGGTGAAGTGAGTTTCTTGTAGGAAGCCCATAGTTGGGTGATTAAAAAATCTTATCAGCCAGTCTACATCTTTTAAGTGGAAATTTAATTTGTTTACATTAAAAGTTATTACTGACAGATGAGAACTTATTCCTGCCATTTTGTTAACTGTTTCCTAGTTGTTTTGTATATCCTTTCCTCCTTTTTTGGATTTGTGTCCCCACCCAAATCTCATGTCGAATTGTAATCTCCAGTGTTGGAGGTGGGACCTAGTGAGAGGCGATTGAATTATGAGGGTGGTTTCTTGGTTAGCAGTATTTTTCTTTCAGCATTTTGAACATAGCATTCTATTCTCTCCTGACCTGTAAGGTTTCTGCTGAGAAATCTACCCTTAATCTGACAGATGCTCCCTTAGATGTGACTTGATGCTTTTCTCTTGCTATTTTTAGAATTCTTTCTTCGTTTTAAACTTTTAGTAGTTTAACTATAATATATCTTGGAGAATACCTTTTTGGCTTTTATTTATTTGAGAATATTTGAGCTTCCTATATCTAGATATCTAAATCTTTTGTGAAACTTGGAGAGTTTTCGGCAATTACTTTGTTAAATAGGTTTTATTTGCATTTGCTTATCTCTTCTCTCTTCTCTTTCTAGAACACCTAAAATTTGAATATTTGACCATTTAATGGTGTCACATTTATCACAAAGGGTTTCTTCATCTTTCAGAATTTTTTTTTTTCCTACAGCACCCAATATTCCCAGGAGGTCTCTCATCCAAGTACTAACCAGGCCTGACCCTGCTTAGCTTCCAAGATCCAATGAAATTGGATGCATTCAGGGTGGTATGGCCATAGACTAAAAAATATTATTATTTTTTTTGGTCTGACTGAATTATTTTCAAAAGCCTGTCTTCAAGTTCTGAAGTTATTTCTTCTGCTTAACCTAGTCTATTGTTGAAACTCTATTGTGTTTTTTATTTCTTTCACTGAATTATTCAGTTCCAAGTTTTCTGTTTCTTTTCTTTTTTTTTTAATGATATCTCTTTGTTGAATTTCTCATTTAGATTCTGAATTGATTTTCTGGGGTTTTTTTTTGTATTATTTATCTGTGTTCTCTTGTATCTCACTGAACTTCTTTAATAATATTATTTGAAATTCTTTTTCAGGCATTTAATAAATTTCTTTTTCATTGGAATCTGTTGCTGTAGAATCACTGTGTTACTTTGGAGATGTCATGTTTTCTTGCTTTTTCACACTTCTTGCTTCCTTACATTGGTATCTGCACATTTGGTGTAACAGTCTCTTTTTTTCATTTTTTTTAAGATTCACTTTTGTAAGGAAAGAATTTTTGTGTGTGTGCATGTAACTATAGTGTTAGTTGGGTAGGGCACTTTAGCTTTGATTTTGGGTGCTTGCAGTAGTGTAGTCTCCCTAGGAGTTCTTCAGTTGTAATCAGTGAGTATTAGTCCATTCTTACACTGCTAGAAAGAAATACCTAAGACTGCGTAATTTATTTAAAAAAGACATTTAATTGGCTCATGGTTCCTCAGGCTGTACAAGAAGCATGGCAACCTCTGCTTCTGGTGAGGCTTCAGGGAGATTTTACTCATGGAGGAAGGCAAAACAGAAGCAGCCATCTTACATAGCAAGAGCAGGACCGAGAGAGAGTGGGGAGTTGCTACACACTTTTAAACAACCATATCTCATGATAATATTTACTATCATGAGAACAGCACCCAGGGGGATGGTGTTAAACCATTCATGAGAAACCACCCTCATAATTCAATCACCTCTCACTAGGTCCCACCTCCAACATTGGAGATTACAATTCGACATGAGATTTGGGCGGGGACACAAATCCACACCATAGCATTCCATCCCTGGCCCCTTGCAAATCTCATGTCCTTCTCACATGGCAAAATACAATTATGCCTTCCCAACAGTCCCCCAAAGTCTTTACTCATTCCAACATTAGCTTGAAAGTCCAAAGTCCAAAGTCACATTTAAGACGAGCCTAGTCCCTTCCACCTATGAACCTGTAAAATCAAAAACAAGTTACTTCCATCATACAACGGGGGTACAGGCAGTAGGAAATTGGCCAAAGGAAAAGTGCTACAGGCCCCATGGAAGTCTGAAACCCAGCAAGGAAGTCATTAAGCCTTAAAGCTCCAGAATAATCTCCTTTGACTCCATGTTCCACATCCAGGGCACACTGATGCAAGAGGTGGGCTCCCAAGGCCTTGGACAGCTCTGCCCCTGTGGCTTTGGAGGGCTCAGCCCCCACTGTTCTCACAGGCTGGCATTGAGTTCCTATGGCTTTTCCAGGCACAGGATGCAAGCTGCTGGCAGCCCTAGAATACCAGAATCTGGAGGATGGTGGCCCTGTTCTTACAGCTCCACTAGGCAGTGTCCCAGTGGGAACTGTGCGAGGCTCCAACCCCATATTGCACTCTCTGAAGCAGTGGCCTGAGGTATACCTGAGCCACTTTGAACCAGGGATGGAGCTAGAGCAGCTGGGATGCAGACAGCAGTGTCCCCAGGCTGTGCAGGGCAGCAGAGCCCTGAGCCTGGCTCACAAAACCGTTCTTCCCTCCTAGGCTTCTGGACTTGTGATGGAAGGGGCTACTGTGAAGGTCTCTGAAATGCCTTTGAGATTTTTTTTCCCCATTGTCTTGGGTATTAGCACTTGGTTTCTTTTTACTTATGCATATTTCTGCAGCCTGCTTGAATGCCTCCCTGAAAATGGGCTTTCCTTTTCTACCACATGGCCAGGCTGCAAATTTTTCAAACTTTTATGCTCTGCTTCCCTTTTAGATATAAGTTCCAGTTTCAGGTCATTTTTTTTTTTTTTTTTTTTTTTTTTGCCCATGAATATGAGCATAGGCTGCATCTTGAATGCTTTGTTGCTTAGAAATTTTTTCTGCCACATACCCTAAGTCATCTCTCTCAAGATCAAAGTTCCACAGATTCCTGGACAGGGGCACAATCCAACAAAGCTCTTTGCCAAGGTGTAACAAAGGTGACCTTTACGCCAGTTCCCAATAAATTCCTCTTTTCCATCTGAGACCTCCTCAGCCTGGACTTCATTATCCATAGTACTTTCAGCATTTTGCTCACAAAAATTTAACAAATCTCTAGGAAGGTCCAAACTTTACCTCATCTTCTTGTCTTCTGAGCCCTCCACATTCTTCCAACATCTGTCCATTACCCGGTTCCAAAGTTGCTTCCACATTTTCAGGTATCTTTATCAAAATGCCTCACTCTTTGGTACCAATTAGCTCATAGTTACACAGGCTGTACAGGAAGCATAACAGCATCTGCTTCTGGTGAGGACTCAGGGAGCTTTTACTTATGGAGGAAGGCAAAGAAGGAGTAGGTATCTTACATGGAAGGAGCATGACCAAGAAAGAGGGAGAAGGTGCTACATACTTTTAAACAAACAGATCTTATGATAACTATTGACTATTATGAGAGCAGCACCCGGAGGATGGTGTTAAACCATTCTTGGAAAGCACCCCCGTGAGTCAATCGTCTCCCACCAGGCCCTACCTTCAACATTAAGGATTACAATTTAACATGAGATTTGGGTGGGGACACAGATCCAAACTATATCATAGTGTCATTAGTTTTTGTGTTTTTTTCTCAGTGGCTTAGGCTGTGGTTGTTATTGAAGACTTCAGGCTTTGCTGGGGACAATGATGTCAGATGTGCTGGGCTTTGAGCATCAGTGGTGGCAGTAGTGGGCTGTGTTTTCCTGTCTTTGGGCCAGTAGGCAGCATACGTGGACTCTGGTGTTAGCAAGTTGAGATGGGCTGATTCTTAAACCTTCAGGCAGCTTGTTTGGGTACTGGTAGTGGCAGTGGTGGGCCAGGTGTTTGTGCTGATCCTTGGGCCTCTGGGTAGCATGCATTGTGTTGGCAGTGGTAGCAGTGATTGCAGGGCATCCGTCTGCTTCCAGGTGGCATGCACAGGTTGCTGGGAGTGTTGGTGACAGGCTGGGAAGGCAAGTCCTCAGGCCCCCAGGTAGCACATATAGGTGGGTGCCGGTGGTGGCAGACAATGCTGGCCTGACTTTAGGCTCTCTGATGGTGCACATGGGCACAAGCTATGATGAGTGGGGTAGAATGATTTCCAAACCCCCAGATGTGTGCTTGGGCATCAGCCTCAGGTTTTTGTTTCATTATTAGGCTCTCTGATGGTGCACACATGTGCCAGAAGCAGAAGACAGAGTGGGTTGATCCCTAGGTTCCTGGACTGCACAGCTGAGTGGGCCCAAGCAAAACTCAGGGTGCCATGCCCACCCTGCTGAGGGCACTGGGTTCCTGCACCTCAGGAAGATGCTCTGTGCAGGGCTACCTGGGGCAGTGTCCCCAGATTCCACCCCACATCAGGGTGACTGCCAGGCCTGACACTCCCAACAGCTGGGCCTGGGGCCCATGATCTGCTCCTGGAGGATCCCCCCAACAATTGCCTCCCCCTGCAGGGCCGCGAGCTGGGCAAGGGGGAGTTCTGGGCTGCCCTTGACCATCAGGATCACAGCGGGAGCTTGTGGAGATGTCACCCCTGCCTCCAATGCCAGCCTGTGCCCAGCAAGGGCCTGGAGCCCCTGCCACAGGCTGTGAGGGGATGTGGCTGAGGCTGCATGCTCCATGGAGCTGATAGGAGCCAGGAGCAGGCAGCAGCCCCACCCTCCCAGGCATGGCTGCAGCTGCCCAAATCAGAGCTGTGGACCTGGACCTCCCTGTGCTCTTGGGCAGGAGTCCCACACCCCTGGGCACAGATGCAGCCACCCAAGTTGGGGCTGTAGACCCGGGCCTTTCTGCGCTCTTGGGGGCTCAGGAAGGCCACCCTCTGCCCTTGCAGGCTCAGAGGTGCCTGCTCCTGCTGCATGGCCTCTCCACACTCCCAGAACCTACACAGATCTCAGAGCAGAGTTGGGGCTGAGCTTGGGTGCTATCACAGCCCAGCTGGTGTGCACATGCTCAGGCCCTGCCACCTTGGCTGCCCTGGACTTTGGACACTGACAAGTGTTGGAGGAAAGCTGAGGGAGGTGCTGAGGGTGGCTTGGCAGTGGCCTAAAGGTGCCCCTTGGTGCAATTAGCCTGAGCACCATGGATGGCGGCAGGAGGCAGATGGACTGGAGTGAGGACTTGTGGTGCCTTTTCTGGGCTTGCCCCCGGCTGCCCATGGACCAGTCATGCACACTTCCTCTCCTATAAGGCCCATAAAAGCCCCTGGATCAGCCAGAGCAGAGAAGAGGATCGAGAGATAATGAGATGACCAGCTGCAGGGAGGAGCTACCCTCTCCCCTAAGAACTGCAGACAATGGGATGACCTGCCTGCAGAGAGGAGCCACACACTCTATGCCTCCTCTCTGCTGAGAGCTGCAGACAACAGGATGACCAGCTGAGGAGCTACCCCCTCTGCTGATAACTGAACACTTGCTGGGATGACCAGGTGCAGAGAGGAACTACTTTCTCTGCTGACAACTGACAATTTGTTGGCATGACCTATCTGCAGAAAGGAGCTACCCTGTCTGCTAGAAGCTAAACACTTGTGAGGACACCCTGGCTACAGAAAGGAACTGCCCACTTCAGGTCTTCTCTGAGCTGTTCTATTGCTCAATAAAGCTCCTCTTCATCTTGCTCAACCTCCGCTTGTCTGTATACTTCATTCTTCCTGGTCACAGGACAAAATCTCGGGACCTGCTGAATGGCAAGGCTAAAAGAGTTGCTGTAACAGAAATAGGGCTGAAACATGCTCCTTGCTCACCACATTGCAGGTGAAAAGAGGAGCTACAGCCCTTTCGGGAGCCCAGATCTGGGAGCTCCCTGAGCCGGGGCTGTGACTCCCTCTTTGGGGCCCTATGGTTCCTGGTGTCTCCAAGCTTCTGGGCACCACCACATTCCCTGGTGCCAGCCGGGGAAGCTGCTTGCAGTGTGCCTAGTCCAGCTGCAGCCACATAGAGAGCTGGTGCCCATCCTGGCACCTGAATCTGTCTGCCCGTGGCAGCAGCTGGCATGTCTGACTGCAGAGTGGCCAGACCCCATGCTCGCTCACACCCACCCCTCACTGCTCTGTGCCTGACTCCAGTCTCCCTTGGAGGTGTGGGATCCAGGCTGGTAGCATGAGTTGAGTGTAACCTGCCAGGCCAAATGGACAGAACGAGCCGAGTGGGCCCAGGCAAAACTCAGGCAAAGGCACCACTGGCCAGAAGTTTCTAGCCATAAAAGCGACACCCCAAAGATCCCATAACATTGTCATTGATTAAAATGCCATCATCTGTCATTTGCCACATGATTGTACTTTCAGGATGAATTGAATGCTCTGGATAATGTCAGGACATGTTTTGAACTGAGGCAGATAAAATACAGGTATCTAGATTCATTACCTGTCCAGCTTGATCCAGAGAAAGAGAGAAAAATTGCATGAACAGAGCTAACAAGGGTTTAAAATGCAAAAATTTATTGTTTAAGAACATTTTCCAATGTCTCACACTGAAGGTTTATTCCGTCCATTACATTAGTATATGAGTGCTGCCCTCCATATAAAGAGCATTCCTGACTTCCTTTTCATGGCAGACTATGCAGCATAAAAAATTCCCCAGCTGTTAAATAAAATATATGTGTGTATATATATATATATATAAAATAAATCTCCTCTCAAAAGCACAGTTATGTTTGCAAGAAAGTAATTTGCTAGTTAGTGATCAAAAAGTGATGAGAGATGTAATAAGACTGATAGACATTGTATTTATGGCTGTGATAGGAGCATTTATTAGTTTTTACACAAAGGGGTTTGCATTTTAACTTTTTGACTCTTTTATAATAACACAGCTTAAAACACAAACACATTTTAGTGGTTATACACATACAGAAAATAAGAATTTGAATACTCACAAGGGGAGGAGATAAAATTAAGGCACCCAGATACTCACAGTACCAGGGATCAGTACTTTTAATGAAGGGGCAGACAAAAGAAACCACTCACACATTCACGTGCACACACACACACACACACACACACACACACACATTTCTGTCTTGAACTAGGCATTAGAAAGAATAAAAAAATCCCTCAGATAGGTATGATTTGATATTTATAATATATGGTCTGGGGAATCCCAAGGGGAGAAATTAGTATGAAATGTCTGTCTTAGATTGTTCATGCTGCTATGACAAACTACCTGAGGCTGGGTAATCTGCAAAGAATAACAATTTCTTTCTCACACTTCTGATGGGTAGGAAATCCAAGATCAAGATACTGGCAATTTCAATGTCTGATGGGAGCCTGGTCTCTGCTTTTAAGATGACACTTTTAACACTGTTCTAACATGGTGAAACTGCAAAAGGAGGCAAAAACGACCTAGCTAGTTTCCTCTAGCTCTTTTATAAAAGCACTAATCCTAATGAGGGAATATCTCTCATGCCCTAATCACCTCCCAAAGGCTACACCTCTTAATACTTTTGTATTAGGTAGGGATTGAGTTTCAATGTACCTTTTGAAGAGGACCCAAACATTCAAACCATAGCAGTGTATTTAGGGTGATCCTAAGAGATCTAACAGAAATAGCTTTGTTGATCATAAGGTAGCATTTCAAAATTACAAAGTCGGCATGAGCAAGAGTCAGTAGAATTAGATATCAGAATTTTGGAAAACAGGATTATCAGTCACAAGTTATATATAACATAGCTATGTTTAAAATGGTTAAATAAATTAAAGATGGAGTAAAAAAGCATGAGAAAGAAGTCCTAATTTATTGGAAAACCAGGTATTTTTTTTAAAAAAACACCTATGACTTCTAGAATATCTAAAAAATGTAATCACTGACATTAAGACAAATTACAAAAGATGGATATAGCTTAGTTGAGAACTGATAAAATGGAGCTAAAGTTGAAGAGCTTAATCTGAAACCAATACAATTTGAAACAGAATGGAATGGGAAATAGAGGTTAAAAGATAAAGAGAATTTAAAAAGAAGGTTCAATATAGATGGAACTGGATTTGCACAGAAGAATGTAGAAAATAGGGAGGAGGAGAAACATTCAAAGGGATAATGGCTGAATTATCTTCAGATTCAGGAGCTTAATTAATCATAAAGAGAATAACTTTTAAAATAAATCTAGACTCATTTACTAACATCCAAAACCCCAAAGACAAAAAGTTCTGAATAGAGCCGGATAAATAGTACATTACCTATAGAGGAGCGGCAATTTGACAGACAATGCAATTCTTAACAGCAATAGACATCAGAAGTCTGTGGAAATATATAATGTATTATGTGTGTGTGTGTGCATGTGCTCACACGTATGTGTGTGTAACTCAAATAAATTGAAATATATTGAATTGAATATATTAAATTTGAATACACATGTAAAATACTTGTCAATAATCAGATTTTTATCCAGCTAAATCATCACTATAAAAGCTGCTTGAATTAATCAAACATAAACATATTTGTAAAAGCACTGAAGAGTTAAGAAGGAAAAATCAAAATTTTGGAGCAGTTAAAAACTGAGAGAGAGAAACCCTGGATTTACAGCTTCATTTGTTCTGAAGACTTTTGCCAATCTAGAAGAAACCAGTATGAAATGGAGCAAAAATTTGGCAATTTCCTGGCATGAGGAAAGAAAAATCAACGGCAGAGTCTGATGGGATCTTGGTAAATACTCTCAGGATGTGGTTGAACTGGAAATGTATCAGTCTTTGTGTTAACTGGTGACTTTTAAGTTTATTACATCTGCAAAGACCCTGTTTCCAAATAAGATTACATTAACAGATGCTAGGGGTTAGGACTTCAACATATCTTCATTAGGGGTACAATTCAACTCACAACATGCATTACTTAGATTCTACATCAGTAAATTGTGGATTATAATAATATATCTCTCATTTGGTTAATATTCGGATTAGATGAAATAACAGGTAATAATCAGAATAACATGACCCATTAATATCTCAATGAAGATTTATTATGATAAATACATACAGGATATATACAGGATATAAATACAGGATAATACAATCCTTGGTGTAATTATATGTTACATTTTGGTCTCCCTCTAAGATGGCAGGAATGATTCTTTGTTGTACTGCATTTATAACATGTAGTATAGGGCTTAGTAAATTATAGAGTCAAGATTAATGTTTGTTAAATGAAAAAATAAATTGAATTTTATCCTCGCAACTACCATGTATTGAAAGGTTCATTATCCTCATATTTCAGATGAGGAAATTGTGGTTCTGAGAGTCTCTAACATTGCCCAAGTAGAAGCGGCCAGAAAGTGGTAAAACAAGCATTCGAACAAAAGCATCACATTTTCTCTTCCCAACCTTCCCATGATCTGAGAGTGGAGAGGAATTATTTATTTATAAGAAATTCTGAGGATAAGAATATTTTGCACAGTTTAAACTGCATGCTCTTAGCAATATACATTTCCTTGAGCAATTATTCACTCATGAAATAGTTTTCTTCATTTAGCATGTCTACTAACTTTATTTGATGCTTCCATTGTCCTTGGAGCTTTACCTCAGACACCTACATAGCAAGATAGAGATGCGGCCAGAGTTACTGTATGTAAGGAGTGGGATTATATTCCATCTACATTTTTGCCCTAATGTCTCCTTCTCAGAAGTTGTGGGGAGGAAACCATGAGTCCTAGAAAAAGACTTGTTCTTCTCTCTCTAAGATTCTTATGCCCAAAGCCCACATGATCCTGAATATTCTTCAGGAGAGCCTATATTCTAGGTCCTATTGTGCATGAGTGGTGACTGTTCTGGTGACCATTCCATTTGTTTTTTCAAGGAAGCAATGCCAGGCATTGCTCTATGGAAAGTGAGTATTGTTAACAATTGCATTGTCCGAAACCACACTTACGAAACAAAAAGTTTAGACAAAGAAAAGCCATGAAGATAAAATCTTGGACATGACACCATGAGCATGAAGAGGGCCACTCCCAGGGATCTCTGGGGTCCAGACCACTGATACTCCCACTGCATGAGAAAGGTTCACAGGAAAAGCACTCTCTGCTCCCCTCAACTGGCCACGGTCCATGCTCCTTTCATTGGTGGGAATGTTCCTCTAGTACTTCCCTCTAGAGTTACAGTGCTGAGGATAGCCTGATTCAGTTTCTTCCTTACTGGTGTATTCAGAGAAATTATCCTGAAAGAATTCCCATCACTCAGTTTCCTTACACTTTTTTTTTCTAGGATTTCTTTTTCTTTTTCTTTCTCTTCCCTCCTTTCTTCCTATCTTTCCTTTCTTATTTTTAAAATAAAATTATATATAAAGTGTAAAAAGTGATGTTTTGATACACATAGAGTGCATCACACTGAATACTACAGTCACACTAATTAGCACATCCATTGCTTTACATCGTTACCTTTTCTTGTGGTGGCAAGTCTTAAGATCTATTGTCTTAGCAAATTTTAACCATATGATAAAATATTATTCCCATCCCCACACTTCACATTAGATCTCTAGAACTTATTCATACTTGTAACAGAAATTTTATATCCTTTGACAAACATCTCTCCATTTCCTTCTCTCCCTGCCCCTTGGTAACCACCAATCTACTCTTTGCTTCTGTGAATTTGACTTTTTAAGGTTTCACACATGATGTGAAATTATGCAATATTTTTCTTTCTGTGTCTGGCTTATTTTACCTAGATGAATGCCATTTTTGTTAATTAGACTTCCCAAGTGCCTTTGAACTCTTTCACCCTCACTCTACTCCCAATGCTGAACACCTTTCACAACATACTCTCCTGGGACATGGACCATAGGGCCCCAGGATCCAGGTGCCTAATAATGGCACTAACTCTTGTGAGTAGTGTGGAGGGAAGGGACTAGTGGAGTCAGGGTCCATAAAATCAGCCTCTGCAGCTCCTGTAGAAAACAGCAAGAAATAGCAGCAGTACAGCCTTCTGAATTTGGTGAGTCTCAAGGTGGGGCCAAGGAAATTATGAGGAAGAGGATGCTGATGAGTGGAGGGGGAATCCAGGAGCCTGGTGTGAAAAGGATATAGAACTCTTTCAATAAGGCCTAGTGTAGTAGATGACAACCTTGCCACAGTACTTAGGTTCTGGTACAAGCATTACTGACCTATGGCTGTGATTTCCTTCAGAGCTGAGGCTAAGTCATTTCATGGCTTGTAGACTGAAAACTTCTGTAGGCTCAAAGACTCCTAACTATATCATAGCTATGAGGTCAAGGCTCTGTGCCTAGCTAGGTCATAATCTTCCTTTCTTCCCTACATTCATCTATGAACCTAGGTGACTGCTTCTTCTAGGCAATCATAGCTGGGCTCAAATCTTCCATTGCCATTTTGGTTAGTTCAGAATCTGTCTGACTTTTCCAGACTGTTAATGACTCATGGTCAGATACCATGTTTTGCTCATTGACACCTAGAATGAATAACCACAATGACCACTCCTTTGTGAATATCAGTCTAGGGTATGAACTGATGGAGTTGGCATACTGAAGATCGAAAACAATGCCCCAGATGGTCAACAATTCTTCATTTCTCAGATTAGGAGGCCTCAATTTCACTAAGGAAAATTCAGAGGGAGGAAAAATCATTCCAGCTATTAAGGAATTACAAGGTAACTATGAAACAAGGCTGAAAATATATTATTACCTGGAAGAATCTATCAGTGCTACTGGAAGTCCAAAAGAACATATGTCTTCCTGTATTCGTTAAAAAATCTGGGAGGCATTCCTGACTGCAGCCTTTCTCTGTCTCCTTAATCTTTCTTACACTGAATTTTCTTGTAGCCCTCCTCACCCCTCAAAATTACTCTTTCTTCTCCATTTACATGGTTATTACTTTTGTTCAGATCTTAATCACTTTTCCTTTGAACTATTTGGGACTCTCCAAAAAGCCTCCCTACCTTCCACGATTCGCCTTTGA
The DNA here is from genome assembly GCF_000001405.40 of Homo sapiens. Taxonomy (NCBI): domain Eukaryota; kingdom Metazoa; phylum Chordata; class Mammalia; order Primates; family Hominidae; genus Homo; species Homo sapiens. The sequence continues at coordinate 6,005,940 of NC_000011.10, read as the reverse complement.
CCTATCTGCTATGGTCTCAGTGTTTGTGTCCTCGGAAAATTCATATGTTGAAATCCTAACCTCCCTCCCACCTCCAAGATGATGGTATTAGAAAGTGGAAACTTTGTGAGATAATTAAATTATGAGGGCTTATGGTTGAGACTGATACCTGTATAAAAGAGATGGTAGAGAGCTAGCTAGCCCCTTTCACCATGTCAGGACACAATGAGAAGGTGCCACCTCTGAACTAAGAAATGAGCTCTAGCCAGACAAGGAATCTGCTGGCACTTGGATCTTATACTTCTTAGCTTCCAGAACTACAAGATTTGAATGTTTGTTGTTTATAAGCCACCCAGTTTATGGCATTTTGTTTTAGCGGTTAAAGTGGTCTAAGACACCATCTATTGCATATCACGTTCCTTTTCAAATATTCTGTGATTTCCTACAATGTACGTGACAATGCCTACCATCAGACAGACTTCTAAGGATCCTCTCAAGGCTGCCACTGCTTCCCTTTGAACATCTTTTGACACTCTACTCTCCCGCCTCCTTTTCCCCAAAGAACTTGGGATGCAGTAGCCCCTAATGCCTAATTACTAGTCATTACTTAACATCCATGAAGGCAGGTTTTTTTGTTCTTACCTTTGCCTAAAAGGACAGTCTTTATTCTCCCCCACGAAATGTTACCTCATTTTTTTTGTCCTTTGATGCTCTTAGCTTGTTGCATCTTTTGACCTAACAGAACTTCAGAATATGACAGCCCCTTTCCCCTCCCACAATAACACCTAAAGTTACGTATCATTTATTCTATTTCATTTGTGAGAAAACTGGGCAATATGGAATTGAAATAGCTTTTAGGTTTACATGATCAGTATAAGAGCCAGAATTGTCATTTGTTTCTGCTTGAGGCTAACTTTTAAACCACATTACACTGCTTCATTATGTGAAATATTGTCTCCTTATTTTATGATTGTCATTATTAGAGCCACAACTGTATTGCACTATAAATGTTTGCAAGTCAATTTTCTCTACTAATTAGGTAAGCTCTCAAAAGATAATGGTTTTTGCTTAATTATGCAACGTACTGCTGTCTTTAGCATTCTGACGAGGAACTAAGAAAACACTATTTTCTCACTTGTTCAAATAGATTAAGCCATTCAGAGTAGCTATACTTGAGATTATTGGAAAGGAGAAGGCTTTACAGATAAGGTGAATTAGTTCAATCTGATTTCTCAAATTCACACTGAGGGTCATTTTCCTAATCAGATATTGAAATGCAGGGCAGAACTGATGCATAATTGTGCCTATTCCAGTTTTAACTCCTGAATTCTTGGTTTGTTTTAAGGCCCTACAATGGGTAAATTTTTTTAAATAATGTATATTGTATAATTTATGTTTAGAAAGTCTGGAATATTCAAGGTGAAAATTCTTGGATTAAATAAATACTTACATTATCTTCTCTGGCAGCTAAAGTCTTCTAATATCTTCTCATGCACACCTCAATCCTCTTACAGAAGACCTGTCAGATGGGACAGGGGTGAAAGATCAGTCATTGTAGCTATGCTGATTACACACTTCCTAATCTCCCTCTCTTTTTTCTTTTTTTTCTGAGATGGAGTCTCATTTTGTTGCCAGGCCGGAGTGCAGTGGCGTGATCTCGGCTCACTGCAACCTCCGCCCCCCAGGTCTGGTTCAAGCAATTCTGTCTCAGCCTCCCAAGTAGCTGGGATTACAGGCATGCACCACCACACCCAGCTAATTTTTGTATTTTTAATAGAGACGAGGTTTCATTATGTTGGCCAGGCTGGTCTTGAACTCCTGACCTCATGATCTGCCTCCCTTGGCCTCCCAAAGCTAGTCTCCCTCTCTTATCCTGCAATGACTCCCTGGCTACATTCTGCCTCTTTGACTGTGACAGTCATTGCTGTTACCCTTCTTAGTATTTGGCCTCTTTCTCTTTGTTTAGTAGTCAGGGAAAACAAATGATACCCCACAAAAGAAACAGCTGTAATCAAAGCAGATGAGTTTACAGAATGTAGATTACATATGCTAAGGATAATTGGATCCTGGTCACAAGGAAGAATAGGTAATTTTACTTACCAGGTAAGTGGGTTCTTGCATATATTTACTTGCCTAAAACTCACTCTCTGACTTCTATTCCATCTTTGGTGAACTTCAGCTCATTTGATTACAGCAGGTCCTCATGTAACATCATTTCACACAACGTTGTGTCATTATAACACTGACAAGGAAAAAAAATGGATTTCAGGTGGGGGCCACTGTCTGTGTGGTGTTTGCATGTTCTCTCCATGTCTCCCTGAGTTTTTTCTAGGTACTCTAGTTTCCTTCTACATCCCAACGATGTACTGTTTAAGTCTAAATTGTCCCAGTGTGACTGAGTGGTTGTGTGTGTGAGTGCTCCCTGTAATGCAATGGCGTCCTGGTTCCCTGAGCTTCTGGGAACCAACCCAAAGCTGCTGGGATAAGCTTGGCCCACCTGTAAACTTGAACTGGAATAAGTGGGTTGAGAAATGAATGAATGAATGAAAATCATTGTAAAGTAAATATTAGTAAAGTGTACTGAAATCATATAAACGCACAACAATAAATGATACTTGTGATTGCTGGTTTTTAAACTGCGTGGTGGTAGAAGATTCTTCTTACAATTTTCCCTTATCTCTATTTTATTACCTGTAACATTAGGATAACAATATTAATTACTCCTTAGTATTTTTTAAAAGGATGAAATGAGATAATGAATATAAAACATTGTGGCTGGCATATGATACATACTTGGTTAAATATAAGGGAGGATGATGACAGTGATTTTAAAAACTTTATTGGGACAGATACAGGGCCTCAGTGGAAACCCACACTCTACTACGTCTAGAATGTACTTTTTATGTTTCTGTACTTCTCTACTACGTTTTAAGGTACACTGGGTCTCCAGATTGATCAGGAAACTTTACATGGCATCTCCCAGCAATGACTCCACTGCCCCAGTCTCTGAATTCCTCCTCATCTGCTTCCCCAACTTCCAGAGCTGGCAGCACTGGTTGTCTCTGCCCCTCAGCCTTCTCTTCCTCCTGGCCATGGGAGCTAACACCACCCTCCTGATCACCATCCAGCTGGAGGCCTCTCTGCACCAGCCCCTGTACTACCTGCTCAGCCTCCTCTCCCTGCTGGACATCGTGCTCTGCCTCACCGTCATCCCCAAGGTCCTGGCCATCTTCTGGTTTGACCTCAGGTCGATCAGCTTCCCAGCCTGCTTCCTCCAGATGTTCATCATGAACAGTTTTTTGACCATGGAGTCCTGCACGTTCATGGTCATGGCCTATGACCGTTATGTGGCCATCTGCCATCCATTGAGATACCCGTCTATCATCACTGACCAGTTTGTGGCTAGGGCCGTGGTCTTTGTTATAGCCCGGAATGCCTTTGTTTCTCTTCCTGTTCCCATGCTTTCTGCCAGGCTCAGATACTGTGCAGGAAACATAATCAAGAACTGCATCTGCAGTAACCTGTCTGTGTCCAAACTCTCTTGTGATGACATCACTTTCAATCAGCTCTACCAGTTTGTGGCAGGCTGGACTCTGTTGGGCTCTGATCTTATCCTTATTGTTATCTCCTATTCTTTTATATTGAAAGTTGTGCTTAGGATCAAGGCCGAGGGTGCTGTGGCCAAGGCCTTGAGCACGTGTGGTTCCCACTTCATCCTCATCCTCTTCTTCAGCACAGTCCTGCTGGTTCTGGTCATCACTAACCTGGCCAGGAAGAGAATTCCTCCAGATGTCCCCATCCTGCTCAACATCCTGCACCACCTCATTCCCCCAGCTCTGAACCCCATTGTTTATGGTGTGAGAACCAAGGAGATCAAGCAGGGAATCCAAAACCTGCTGAAGAGGTTGTAAGAATAAAAAGGATTAGATCCACCTTTAGAGTTGTTAATTGTTAGTGAAAATTGGGAAATAGGGAATTAATTTTATGTTGGAAAGGAAATTTCACTTTAAATCCTGCCTGAGTTCGGATTCTTCTGTTCTCAATATCTCAGGCAACAATGAACACATTTATTTGTGAATCTTTGTTTTCTGTTGCTTGAAAGGAAACCTCCCTTTTCTGGATTCTATGGTTACTTTGGAATTTTTCCTGATCTAATCTGCAACAAAGAATCTTGCCAAGACTTTGACAAATGGAGCTGTATTAGAATGGAAGTGTTTGACCACTAAAGAAACAAACTTTATATAATGCCCTTAAAAAGATCAGCCTGTTTTTTGATTTGCAAATGACACTGATTCCTTCCCTGTCTCTGATTCAGCCTGGTAGACGGCTACCTGGCTTGTGTGCGATGAAGGCATGGCTTGGGTTAAGTCCAGATGTCCACCCTGGAACAACTTGGGGTTGAGTGCCTTGCCCTGAATACCCCGACTCTCTTCCATGGCACCTGAGGCAGATGTGCTATTCACTGGCTCCTAAAATTCTCCTAGACCCAATTAAGATATTCAGTCTGTACCACCTCTCTGAGGGCAGCGTTTTCTATTCTTTCTCTCTACTTAGATTTTCTTTCTTCAGTTTTTGGTTTGTAAATGAGGTTGATAAAGTTTTAGGATTTTTAGGTTGGGGAGGAGTTGTACTGTTTGAAGTGCTGTATGTTCTTTTCTTCATCATCTTCATCTTCATGTCGTTATAATCCTAGTTCCTATCTCACCTTGAAGTCCCCATCCTAGGCACAAATGAGCCATCCTGTTCATTCCCTCTGATGCTGTTTGCTGCATCCTCCCTCCTGAGCTGTGGCTGGCAAAGCTGCCAACAGTTTCCCAGACATGAAAGTTCTAGGTTTGTTTTTCACAGAATAGTGTATTCTACTATTTTGGCATTTCCTTCTTAATGATGCCACACAGTTCAGTATCTCCAAGGAATATAAACAGTCTTAATCTGTCTCTTTTGGGGATGCAAATTCAGATTTCAAGTCCATCATTTGTCCAGGCATTGTTTGACAACTGTCCCAACTGGACTATCCTACTTCCATTTGTACTGAAGCTTATCTTTGCTGAATGACTTGCATTAAAATAAATATCTCTACAGTGTTTAAAATGTTTAATATGTTACAGCATTTTTTATTACAGACCTGCTATATTCTAGCCCTAACATACTTTCGACTTATCTTAAACTTTGTTTTCTCTGCCACTGTAGCCAAAATGAGCTGCTCATTATTTCTTGAAAATTACTTATTCCCATTTTGCTCTCTCTCTTCAATCATTTGATGCTTCTCACATCAGCCTTCTTTTACCATTATCACCATTTGCCAAACCCCATCTTTCCTACCAGGTTTTTTTATTTTTTATTTTTTTATTATGTTTTAAGTTTTAGAGTACATGTGCACAATGTGCAGGTTTGTTACATATGTATACATGTGCCATGTTGGCGTGCTGCACCCATTAACTCGTCATTTAACATTAGGTATATCTCCTAATGCTATCCCTCCCCACTCCCCCTAACCCACAACAGTCCCCGGTGTGTGATGTTCCCCTTCCTGTGTCCATGTGTTCTCATTGTTCAACTCCCACCTATGAGTGAGAAAATGCGGTGTTTGGTTTTTTGTCCTTGCGATAGTTTGCTGAGAATGATGGTTTCCAGCTTCATCCATGTCCCTACCAAGGACATGAACTCATCATTTTTTATGGCTGCATAGTATTCCATGGTGTAGATGTGCCACATTTTCTTAATCCAGTCTACCATTGTTGGACATTTGGCTTGGTTCCAAGTCTTTGCTATTGTGAATGGTGCCGCAATAAACATACATGTGCATGTGTCTTTATAGCAGCATGATTTATAATCCTTTGGGTATGTACCCAGTAATGGGATGGCTGGGTCAAATGGTATTTCTAGTTCTAGATCCCTGAGGAATCTCCACACTGACTTCCACAATGGTTGAACTAGTTTACAGTGCCACCAACAGTGTAAAAGTGTTCCTATTTCTCCACATCCTCTCCAGCACCTGTTGTTTCCTTCCTACCAGGTTGAATTCAAATGCCATCTCCCACAGTAGGTCTTCCTTCCCTGATCCTCCCGACTGGAATCATTATTCTTGCATCTTGTGTGGCTGTATTTCTTTCTCTGACACTGTCATAAGCTTCTTTTAGGTTGAGAGTATTTTATTCATCTTTAAAATTCTGCATGGCTACTTTTACTGTCTCTTATACATACAGATAAATTTAAAATAAAAATGTGTTGAACAAAATCTGTAGAACATTTTATAAGTGATCTCTCATCTCTCATTTTCTTTAATAACTACTTGGAAACAACAATAAAATCTTATACTATTATATGTCCTTATAGTACCTAACAGAGAGCCATATTTTTAGCCAGCACAAAATGAACCTTTATATAGTGAAGACCATTAGGATTGAGACAGTCTGGAGAACTGGAATTTTATTCTCAGATAAAATAATTTGGCTAAATTTGTGTACTCCGCTTTTGTGAACTTTGGTTAAACTCATAAATTCTGGCTTAATTACCTTGAAAATGGTGTTAATTTATTTTTTATTGTTTTTTCAAAGAGTGAATTAATAAAAGTTTTTGTACAGTAAGTATATACACATTAAATTATATACACATTGAATGATTTATCATTATTATTATTTCCCCAAGCTTGCTGCTTCCCCTGCTGCCCTCTGAATAATAGGCTGACCGTTATTGCACACCTTATTTACCTTGGGGCATTAAGGTATCCATGGAATTTGAGTCCTCCTCTTTCCCTCTAGTTATTTTTGTCACTAGTTTATTTTCTTGAGAAGTTCTCTTGCTTATGTGAGGGTTATCATGTAGGAACTCCAAACTATTGGGTGCCCCATAAGACCTTTAGTTGAACATAGCCTATTTATATCCATTTCAGTCTGGGTGCACCACGAGGCTCTCCACAAGCATCCCTTCGGAAACACGTAGGGACAGCCATTGAAGATATGTGGCTATAATACCACTCCAGTGCTCACATTCTTTAAGGCTACCAGGCTTCCAATGCCACTTGCCCCTCCAAATTGTACCAACAATCCCATCTTGTATGTTTGAGAGAGCATGACACAATAATCATAAAATAGGAAACTGTTTTCACCATGTCCAAGCAGCTGTCTTGGTAAATTATCTTCGTAATTCATGACCACACAGTGTGCAGAGGCTTGACTGCTTTGCAATCCCTGCTCAAAGCAGTGTTAAGAATCCTCACTCTCAGTTTACCTATAAAATAGCAAATGAAACAGAGTCCATAAATGCTGTCTTACATATTTTCTCCAGAGTGTCCTATTGGGTTCTTATTTTAGTCCAACTTTTCTTCTTGGGGTAGAATAACTTCTGCAACTTCTCTCAAAATCAGGTGTCACTTGGCACTTCACCTGAGAAAAACTGGTCGGTTATTACTCGCTGCTTCTGAAATATTTTCAATAGAAAAGAGTGATAGTCCCTTCCCTTGGTGTTATCACTTTTGTCTGCCGCTCTCCCTTCTATCATAATTTCCCCTTTTTTTGCTTTATTATCCTTCCTAATTTAGACTCTTTCTAAGTGAGGGCCTCTGATTCAGGCACACAGACAATACATAAATCAGACTCTAGCAGGAGTCTCCCTGGGATCTTTTCTTTTCTCTAGGAAGAGGTGGTAGGGTTGGAAGGGTAACAGGTAGTGTGTAATGAAACCATCTCTATCCTCAGGCATTATTTATGGTCAGTCATAGCTTGGCCAGAGGAGGTGAGCTGATACCCAACCCAAGGTTTCCTTTGGAAGACAGAGAGAGAAGTTCAAAGTGACATAGGTAAAATCTCACCCAGTTATGCACCATTGTCTGCAACACAATTGTCATCCCACCATCTCATTCTTGGAGCCCAGACTTGTGAGGTGAGACAGAGGATTGTGTCTCAGCATCCTCTCCAGTTTCCTCACTCCTATTGCTGGTACCGAGAGGCTTTCCAAGGCATTTTTCCTTCACTGTCACACACATTTGGACAAATCTTATACCTGTCCAGTGAGTGAGTTGGATTTTCATGCTCTTATCATTAATAACAAATATTCCACTTGCCCATTCCAATTTTGAAGCCATTGTGATGTAGGTAATAGGGAAATGATATGTCTGTAATATGTTAGGCTTTATAGCCCATTTTTGTATACTGGCTATAATAAAATGACCCCGGTTTATGGATACTGTGTAATTCTCATTTAAACATAATTTTCCTAAGAGTATACCTAAAGTCTGAAATGAAGCTCTCTCTCTCCTAAGTCTAGAAATATTTGTTTTTCAAGTATATAAGATTTTAATTTTTATTTGTAATGCCTCAAGTCTCCGTGATGTTTCCTCAATTTTCTTCCTGTTAATCACTATCCCAATATTGGATTTTATCTTCTGTGTTTTCTACCCATGCCTCCCTGAAGAATAGGCCTATGCTCTAGGTTCAGATGCCTAAAATAGCCTTAGCCCTGGTGGGCTGTGGGGAGGGAAGTGGCAGAGTGGAGCTTAGGACAGGAAAATAGCTTCTGGAACCTCAGAGGGGGTAGGTCTGATGGTGCATTAAACAGTCACAAATAGCAATTACAGTACAGCATCCTTGAGCTGCTAGGTCTGCTTTGGAACTAGGAAAATAATGAGCATGAGAGTCATGTAGGGACCCAGGTGTTCCATATAAGCAGGAAGCATTCATTCTTCTGGTAGAAATGCAGCAAGTCTGGGGTTGAAGATTCAGATTCTGCCAATATTGCCAATATCCCAAAATCTGCTGTAGCCCTGCTTTCCCATGGGGGCAAAGTTTTTTAATGTGAGCTGTACACTACCCATTTAAACAGAACTGAGATTTCCAGAGTGAAGGTTCTTGAATTCGTTCATTCTTGTCTATGACAGCTGTAGACCAGGAGACTCAGTGAGTTTATGTTATCAACTATAATTCACCCCTCCTAGAGAAGATTGCCATGGAAGCATCAGAAAAGATAGGGCCATTAATCTCAGCTACCTTGATTTCTCCCTCCTGGGCTTCCCATCTCATCCTGCCTTGCTCTCAGTGCTCTTTCCTGCTTCTCTGTCTGGGACAGAAAACCTTTTCCATTGCTCAAGCGACTATACTCCTCAGAAAATTTCAGACTGGGCATGGGGTTAATTTTTATCTTTTGTTCATTGCCCCAGCAAAAAGAATATAATAACCAACTGGAAACAAAGCCAATGTCTCTAGAGAAATAGACTTATTTCTTTGGAATCTGGCCACAAATAAGTTTGTATAGTCTGACTATTTGGATGTATATCTGAAGCTGTAGTTGTTTCTAATTCCAATTCTACCTTTCGTCATCCTTTGTTAACAACATCTAGTTGTAGTTTCCAAATACATCTTATGTGAAAGAACGGTGCTCTTATTACCACATTTGGAGGAATCTAGAAATTTTGGAGTTCTTTACTGAATAGCCACATTGGTTCTAAAAAAAAAAAAAAACTTCACTGGTTTAAGGTAGGAGTAGAGGAAGAGTAATATCTACCCTAAGACAAAGAGGCTGGGCTACAGGTTACTGGAAAGTCCTAATGCCTGGTAGAGATTCTGTGAGGAGCTAAGCTGGGAACTTTGGATGTGTTGATTATCTCTGTTCTTAATGAGGTCTTCCCATTATGAAATCTGAAAGACCAGTCTACTAAGAAATCTCTGAAGGATTTTTGTTGCTATACTATTCAGCCACAAAATATTTGGTACATGTAATATATACACACACATATATATACACACATACATATATGTGTATATATTACATGTACCAAATTTTCTTTCCCCATTCATCTGTTGATAACATTAGGTTGACTCCATATGTTGCTATTGCAAATAGTGCCGCAATAAACATGGGAGTATAGACATCCCTTTGACATACTGATTTAATAGGGAAACAAAATCCTGTCATGTGCTATAGTATGGATGAGCCTGGAGGACACTATATTAAGTGAAATATTAAGACAAAAAGACAAATACCACATGATCTCACTCAAATGAAGAATATGAAAAAGTTTTCTATAAAGTCTTTGAGAGTAGAATGGTGGTTACCAGAGTCTGGTAGGTGGGAGGGAGGGATTGAGAGATGTTGGTCAAAAGATAAATAATTACAGTTAGATTAGAGGAGGCTGTTCAAGAGATCTATTGCACAGCGTGGTGACTATAGTTAATGATGACATATTGTATTCTTGAAAAATGAAAAGATAGTGAACGTTTGGTGGTGTTCTCACCACAAAAATGATAGTTATGTGAGGTAGTGTATATGCTAATTAGCTAGATTTAACTATTCCACATTGTATATATACTTTAAAACATGTTGTACACAATAAACACATGAAATTTAATCTGTCAATTAAAAACATACTAAAAGAAATCTTTAAAGGAACCTTGATGGGTAGTATTGAAAAAGACAATGAAAACTGTAATTTTGAGCTGACCCAGAAATCGAACCAAACTAAACAAGTTCCTGTATCCTGTCCAACTCAAGAGTCATGGTGCCATGTGACCATCACCAAGATTAAATTTATATCCTAAGGAAAATAAAAGGAGGTGTGTTTAGTTTCCCATAACTCTAGACCTCTGCTGTTCAACACAGTAGTTAAGAGCCATATGAACCCTTGAGATGTGGCCAGTCCAAATTGCAACACGCTATAAGTGTAAAGTGCACATCTGATTTTGAAGATTTAGTGCAAAAAGAATGAATAATACAAAATAGCTCTTCCACACTTTAAAATATTGGTTACATGTTAAAGTGGTCGTCAGCTAAGTCTGAGTCCTGTTCTCTCACTCTCCTACCTGCACAGCAGGAGTTTCACCACTCACTCCACCTTCTCCACCAACTACCGGTCCCTGGGCTGCGTCCAGCCGCCCAGCTATGGCACCCGGCCAGTCAGCAGTGCGGCCAGCGTCTATGCAGGCGCCGGGGCCTCAGGTTCCCGGATCTCCATGTTCTGGTCCACCAGCTTCCAGGTGGCTTGGGGTCCGGGCGCCTGGCTGCAGGGATGGCCGGGGGTCTGGCAGGAATGGGAGGCATCCAGAATGAGAAGGAGACCATGCAAAGCCTGAATGACTGCCTGGCCTCCTACCCGGACAGAGTGAGGAGCCTGGAGACTGAGAACTAGAAGCTGGAGAGCAAAATCCGGGAGCACCTGGAGAGGAAGGGACCCCAGGTAGACTGGGGACATTACTTCAAGACCTTTGAGGACCAGAGGGCTCAGATCTTCGCAAATACTGTGGACAATGCCCGCATCATTCTGCAAATCGACAATGCCCGTCTTGCTGCTGATGACTTTAGAATCAAGTATGAGACAGAACTGGCCATGTGCCAGTCTGTGAAGAGCGAAATCCATGGGCTCCACAAGGTCATTGATGACACCAATGTCACTCGGCTGCAGCTGGAGACAGAGATCGAGGCTCTCAAGGAGGAGCTGCTCTTCATGAAGAACCATGAAAAGGAAGTAAAAGGCCTACAAGCTCAGATTGCCAGCTCTGGGTTGACCATGGAGACAGATGCCCCCAAATCTCAGGACCATGCCAAGATCATGGCAGACATCAGGAACAATACGACGAGCTGGCTGGGAAGAACAGAGAGAAGCTGGACAAGTACTGGTCTCAGCAGATTGAGGAGAGCACCACAGTGGTCACATGCAGTCCGCCAAGGTCGGAGCTGCTGAGATGACACTCATGGAGCTGAGATGTACAGTCCAGTCTTTGGAGATAGACCTGGACTGGATGAGAAATCTGAAGGCCAGCTTAGAGAACAGCCTGAGGGAGGTGGAGGCCTGCTATGCCCTGCAGATGGAGCAGCTCAATGGGATCCTGCTGCACCTGGAGTCGGAGCTGGCAGAGACCTAAGCAGACAGGCAGCACCAGGCCCACGAGTAGGAAGCCCTGCTGAACATCAAGGTCAAGCTGGAGGCTGAGATCACCACCTACTGCAGCCTGCTGGAAGACAGCAAAGATTTCAATCTTGGTTGTTGCCTTGGACAGCCCCCAACTCCATGCGAACCATTCAAAAGACTACCACCCGCCACAGAGTGGACAGCAAAGTGGTGTCTGAGACCAATGACACCAAAGTTCTGAGACATTAAGCCAGCAGAGGCAGAGTACCCTTTAGGGAGCAGGAGGCCAATAAAAAGTTCAGAAGTTAAAAAAAATGTTGGTTACATGTTAAAGTGATAATACTTTAGATATGCTGAGTAAAATAACATATTAAATTCATTTTTACATGTTTTCTTTTACTTTTTAAAGATGGCTACTAAAAATTTAAAATGACATGTGGTTTGCATTATATTAATATTTCTCTTATAGTCATTATAGGGCTGCTATAGAGTATAGGGAAAGTTATATTAGGCAAAATGGAAGGGCCAATTTGTATCTTCCAACCTATATACATTCTTATATTTACATTTAATTCTCACCTTTGAGAAACAGGTTTTTACATTCTCAGAAAAGAGAGGAAAACTGAGTCTAGGAGGGTCCAACACTCATTAGGAAAACTGCCATTGTTGATGAAAAAAATGGGTGAGGGTGGACTTCCTCAGAGTGTTAAAGAAAGAGTATCATCTTTCTAGAGATGGCTGTATTTGCTTTTTAACAGGCCTCCCACCATCTATGCTTGACTTCTTCTCATCCATTCTCATAGGATATTTTGCTAATGAGATTTTGATCATGTCTCAATCCTCTGCTTAAAATTCTTCATGGTGCTCCACGGCCTTTTGACATGGCCTAAAAGACCCAGCATGCTCCAGTTCCTGCTTAAACTCTAGGCTCAGTTCCTGAGTACTAAAATCGCAAATTTTAACAATCCTTTTAGGTCTTTGAAAATACCAAGGTCCCTTTCCTCCTGCTTCACAGGTTTGTATCCTCATCCTATCCCCACACCTCCCTTCACTTTTAACCAATTCTTATGGGCACTAACTTGAATAGGGAGGGCTTTCCCGAACTTCCCAGACTGGGAAGGTCCTATGTACTTAATATATGTCATCCCATGACTAGTGAAAACCTTTTTATCATATAGATATTTATGAACATCTAATAGACTACCTGGAATTGGTAGATACCTAATCTACCAATCTACCATCTGCTTATTTATTCCCAAGGAGATTGTGGCTACTAGGTGGAGTGGGAAGCTTCGCTCCACCTAGTGGAGAAGCTCTGTTATTTCAGTGGGAAGCTTGTTACTGGGTAACAGATGGGACCAAGGAAAAGATCTGCTTGGTGATGGAAAAATAAGATAGAGAAGGCCTCAGCCCATCTCATTGGGAACTTGCTGGGATGGACTGTTGGAGAAGCCCTATTTGTCCTACATGCACCATGGCAAGGGGGTTGAGGCCCTTGGGTTTGTCACAATCCTACAGAGGAGAGGCAAAATGCTCAACTCACCTGAGGCAGGCAGCATTTGTCTTTTTTCAGAAACACACTCTGAAGCAGAGATTTGCATGCCGGAAGTTTATTGAGAAACATACAGGAGAACAATGATTGTCAGGGAGTGAGAGGAGCAAAATGAAGCAGAAGAAGAAATTAAACTATGATCTAGTTTTCTCAGATGACTCAGCTAACCCAGTGGGACCTCTCAAGCTAGGATGACTCTTCAGTGTTGTTTAAGATTGAAGAAAGGGAGCCAAGATTTTGTATTCTTATATCAGCAGTCATTGGGTGTGAACTGCGTTGGAGAAGGAAAAGTAAACTATGGTGAGGGCTCTCTCTTTGGCCAAAGGGGAGTGACTTAGTTATGAACTTCCAGCAGGCGACACTCCTAGCATCTGAAAGAATGAGCACATTGAACAACAGCATCCACTAAATAATTTACTGGGGTCCAAGATTGTTCCGTGAGAATGAGAAGTCTGAGCTCACAGAGCAATGTGAAATTTCCCAGCTCACTGCATGAGGTTTCCTAGCACACTGTCAGGACATACAGGCTTACAGGTAATGACCAACATTGGACAGACACGGTCCACGTGGTTAGGTGCAGGAGCCACTCCCTGCTTGGCCTCTCTGTCCAATCACCTACCCCTGTGGGCTGTATCCTTAGCTCTGTGCCTTTCCAGCCAATCTGGGGGCTAACTTAGGCTTTGTGCAGGTTGTCTATGAGTCCTCTGGGACCTGCCAATTGGTAATAATATCCTGCTTGCCCAGTGGTGCTCACAGTCACCACCACTGCCCTGGGAAAGTATCAAGGATAAACTTTCCTTTCAGATGAAGATGACAGAAACAGTGACAAGTTGGTGCACAGGAATTCAGCAGTGGAAAATGAGGTCAGTTTCTGGGTTTACAGTTGGGGGAAGACTATGGCCAGCTGAATTCTGCCCTTCTCAGAGCCCTTGTGACAGGGGTTATTTCTCAGCTTGTGTAGTGTGGCTCTCCCAATACCTCTGGTCTGACACTTCTTAGTAGTCTTAAGCTTATTTCTCTGAGTTAGAATAGTTGTTCTCTCCTGGCCTGACTCCTCAAACAAACTTTCTCCTCCTGGCTTCTACCATTTAGATGCTAGTGGACATGGAGGCTCTTCTATGAAATGTGACCTGTCCCTCTCTCTTTAATCTCCTTGTTAACAGTGGCCTGGACTCTATGACAGTGGGGGAAAGGGAGAGAAAAGAATATAGATGGAAAATGATTAGGGGAGGGCTGAGAGCTAACCTGTGAGCCTGTGGACACCTACCAATGTCTTTAACCCTTCATGGTCAGCCTGAGGCATTCACAGGGCCATTTGGCATGGTCCTAGGTGGCATCCTCACCATATGTATTGCGTATGTAGATACAGCTGATTTGCTACCTTTACTCAAGTCTTGCCAGAGCTAGTACTCATGTTTCATATCTTTGGAAAATTTTAGCTGCATAGACCTTGAGGGATGCATTTGATGTCCTCTTTGATATTCAGAGACTGCTGTGCAGCCATTCTGAATAGAAAATCCTCTTCATCATTGTTCCCCACAAGCTAGGGCAGAATTTCATCATGGAGATTGAACTGGAGACTTAGGGAGTTCCTGGGGCTAAGCAGGGAGGGCTGTAGTGGAACCTTCTTGAATTTTCCAGAAAACTCTTCATGAAAATTCCCAGACCTTCCAGAGTCTGAGAATTTTCTCCCTTTCCTAGTTCTCTCTGTGTTGCAGTCTCCCTCCAGGCTGACCTGAGTCTTTAAAGGGCACATCATCAAAGACAGCCCAGAGACCAGAAGGACAGTGCCCTGTGCCAGGCTTACTTTATTATCCATGTTGTGAGTGGAGCTCTGCCTCTTAATGTTTGATTTTTGTATCTTCGTCTTTTATTAGGTCATTGTCATGGACCCACTCTTTCTGTGCCCTCCCTCCCCTACTGTTTCTGTAAGTTCTTGCCTCTTCTTTTTTACCCTATTATCATAGAGATCAGGCCACTGTTAAGAAGGAGATTGAGGAGAGAGGGATAGATTATATCCCATAGATGGAGCCTCTCTTCCTGCTAGAAGCAGTGCAGAGTGATTACTAGGGACCAAAGAAACCCTCTTATTTCTGAACACATCCAGGATTTCACCATCTTCTCTTATGGCAGAGATTCAGCAGATCTCTTTCTGCCATGAAGCACCCAGAGCATCACTTAAGGTGAGGAATATCGAGGCTCAATCAGTGACACCCTCAAAAGACACGCCACTGTTTGCTACATGATTCCTATGCTTAAATTTAGCCTCTGCCTTATCACCTTCCTGTGATTCTCAGTCTTTTAAGACACTAGTGCACTTATTTATTTTTTAATCTAATAATATGAGTGTTTACTTATTCAGCCAACATTACTGATTACTCACTAGATTCCGGATGCTCCTGGAGCTTGCTCTGGGGCTGCTGAAATAAGTAATGCAGAGTCCCTGCTCTTTAAAGACTGACATGATGCCTGGCTTAGAGTGTGAGGTCTTAATGCAGGGACAAAGTGGTAAAGGCATTACAATAGGAAAGAAAAGGAGACATGTCATACTACCTTACAGAATTTGAGCACAACTTCACAAAAGAAAGGTTGCTTGGGTTGAATTAGATGAATAAGTACCAATTGAACAACATCTACTCTTTGGTAATTGTCCTCTGCTTTGTAGTTGAATAACTAAATACAGCTTTGCCTTTAGGTTCCTGGGAATAAAGTCCTTTCTGCTTTTCCTCTAAGAATCATAGCGGGACCTCCTGTTTACTTTAATAACAATTAATTGCAATTTATTTAAAAAATTCAAGAGCTTTAAGAGTATAAGTGGTTTTGGTTACATGGATGAATTGTATAGTGATGAAGTCTGGGCTTTTTAGTGTACCTATTATCTGAATAGTGTACATTGTGCCCAATATGGGATTTTTTTATGCCTTATCCACCTCCCACCCTCCCCTACTCTGAGTCAGAAATTAAATTAAAATAAGTTAAAAAATTAACATTTACTAAGCACTTGCAGACTTTTACCCTAGGCTTACGAGCCAAGCAACACAAAGTAGAAGCCGGTTATACTCAGTTACATGTGTCTCTGCTTTTCCGCTTATTTGTTTACTTAATTTACTTCTCTGCTTTATTTACTTACTTCTTACTTTATTTACTTTATTTACTTCTCTACTTATTTATTTACTTATTTCAGCAGCCCCAGGGCTAGTTTGGTTTTAGCCTCACTGCTCTGCTCACACTGCTACTATTCAAGTCTTGAGTGCCTTCCACAAATGCACAGCTGTTCTCTGACTCCTTAGCTAAAAAATGAGAAATGGGCTGAAGCGTGCAACAGAAGGAGGTAGGCAAAAAAGACAATGGACTTTCTCTCTATGTGGAATGTTAAGCACTGAGAGGTGAATTTTTGTAAGATTATGAGATTCCCCTGGATGTCTCAATAAAAATGTCATTGTTATTTCAAGTTGATTCTAGAAGAAAAACAGAGAAACTTGGGAGATATATGCCCACGTGGCATTTCAGACTTTATAGCTATCATATTCAGAGTTTTAGGGCAATATGATTGTCATCATTAATTTGTACAAAAAGAGCTCTGAGTAATCTATGGATGCATTATCCACAAGAACTAAGTCATTCTTGACTTTTTAATCTTTACACGCACATGTGCACCACCACTCCAACAGAGAAAAATACAGTTATTTCAGACTACGCCTGTCCTTTAAGACAAACATACCTACATACACATATCCAGTTTCAAGTTTTTTCTTTTAGTAAATTTCAAGGGTGAATCCCATGGACAAAGTTGATACTTCATGTTAACATGCGGTTGTCAAAGACACTGAATTGTTTGTTATAATATCATGATGAGAGGTAAACATATCAAAAGTTTGAAAAAGAGAAGCAGAGTCATGGAGACAAAGAAGAAAAGAAAGAAGCCTGTGGTCTAATTCTCAGTCATCTTCTATTGCTAATATTAAAATAATTATAACTATAATTTGTAGACTAATCTAGATATCAAGACTTTACATATATTACTTAATTAATGTTTACAATAAACCTGTAAGATTGATGTTAGTTATAAAATAAGGAAATCAAGACTGAGAGAGTTTTAGTATCCTGCCAAGGTTTTATTCCTAGAATATGAAATGGACAAAATTTAAACTAAGTCTGTCTTCCTCCATTGCTTTTATTTATCTCACTACATTGTGAAATGTTCACCATGCTATGTTATAATTATAAAGTATAATAAGATATGTTTCTTTAAAAAAACAAACCATTAAGACACTGATAGAATTTCTAGAGATAAGTCAGAAAGTTATGGATGAATAAAGGAAGATTATAAAGTGCTCTGAACATAATCAATATTCATCTGACATAGGCAATGAGTCCTTTTGAGGGGTGACAGTGGACTTTGAATTTTGAAGGACCAATTCAGATAAAGGAATTTGGAGACAGACTACACAAAAGGCATAGGTAAGCTTGGTGTGTACATGTAACTCCAAGAATGCAGGGATGGTTAGTAAAACATATGTAGAAATATATCAACTGTAAGACAAAAGTAATGCAAAAAAGATAACTTTTGATAATCTTTTATGCCAGTCTCAAAGTATGATTTTATTCCATGCAATAAATTCACCAAAGGATTTTAATCTTAGGAGTGATATGATGAGATCTGCATTTTAGAAAAAAAACCCATGACTTCAGGGTTGAGAGTGAATTGGGAAGGTGTTTATGGCAAAGGCAGAAAGATGTTATGAAATAGTCCAGGTGAGAGAAGTTGGGTGTAAACTAAGGTAGTGATATTGGGGGTTGAGAAGAAGGAGTGGATATAAGAGGGGTTAACATAAAGTCAACATGAATTGGTGAATGAATAAAAGGGGATGAGGATTATGAGTAAAGACAGGTTCCAAGTTTTTAGATTGGGTTGTGTAGGTAGCTAGGGATGTAATTAAAAATTATTGCCAAAACATAAGTAGAACAAATTTGGGAAAAATAGGTGAATTAATCCAATGTTGAATATGTTGAGGATGTGGTGTATAGATATTCATAAAGCAAATGGAAAAATGGATTTATATTTCAGAAGGATATTTGGGTAAACAGACATAAATTTGGAAGAAATAAAAGTATATAAACAGTTAAAACCATGGGAATAAATGAAGTCAATTAAGAGATAATGCACAGAATAGGGAATACAGGAGAGGATGGATCCCTGGAATCAATGACATAATGAGATAGAGAAAATGGTGGGACCAAGGCTACAGGGGGAACAACTCTGGAGTGCCATGTCATGGAAACTGAGGAAGACTAATTTCAAAAACAACAGATTGATTCACAGTGGTCAGTAATACCAAGAGGCTAATAAAAATAACTCTTTGAAGTTGACAGTTCCAAAATATAAGCAACTGAATAGTAGAGTTTAAGCATCTCTCCAAAAGCAGCTTATGTTTACTCTTATCTCTAAACAAAACTAAGCTTGTATTAATTCAGACATGTGGATGTCTCACTTGTAAAAGAATTATCTCCACCAAAGGAGATTTTCTTCCCTGTAGCTAACTTTATTCCCTTCGTTTGCAGTTGAAGTCACTTTATTCTTCTCAGGATGATGGTTGCCCCATTTGGACAATGTGATAATGTAGCAGGAATGCAGAAATCATGACTTTGGTTTCTTTTTTCTCTTTCCTCTCCAAGCCATTGATAATGCTCCTTAGCAATTCAAGCTGGAGGCTATCCCAGCCTTCTTTTCTCCTGGTAGGGATTCCAGGTTTAGAGGAAAGCCAGCACTGGATTGCACTGCCCCTGGGCATCCTTTACCTCCTTGCTTTAGTGGGCAATGTTACCATTCTCTTCATCATCTGGATGGACCCATCCTTGCACCAATCTATGTACCTCTTCCTGTCCATGCTAGCTGCCATCGACCTGGTTCTGGCCTCCTCCACTGCACCCAAAGCCCTTGCAGTGCTCCTGGTTCATGCCCACGAGATTGGGTACATCGTCTGCCTGATCCAGATGTTCTTCATCCATGCATTCTCCTCCATGGAGTCAGGGGTACTTGTGGCCATGGCTCTGGATCGCTATGTAGCCATTTGTCACCCCTTGCACCATTCCACAATCCTGCATCCAGGGGTCATAGGGCGCATCGGAATGGTGGTGCTGGTGAGGGGATTACTACTCCTTATCCCCTTCCCCATTTTGTTGGGAACACTTATCTTCTGCCAAGCCACCATCATAGGCCATGCCTATTGTGAACATATGGCTGTTGTGAAACTTGCCTGCTCAGAAACCACAGTCAATCGAGCTTATGGGCTGACTATGGCCTTGCTTGTGATTGGGCTGGATGTTCTGGCCATTGGTGTTTCCTATGCCCACATCCTCCAGGCAGTGCTGAAGGTACCAGGGAGTGAGGCCCGACTTAAGGCGTTTAGCACATGTGGCTCTCATATTTGTGTCATCCTGGTCTTCTATGTCCCTGGAATTTTCTCCTTCCTCACTCACCGCTTTGGTCATCATGTACCCCATCATGTCCATGTTCTTCTGGCCACACGGTATCTCCTCATGCCACCTGCGCTCAATCCTCTTGTCTATGGAGTGAAGACTCAGCAGATCCGCCAGCGAGTGCTCAGAGTGTTTACACAAAAGGATTGATCTGAACATATTCTCATTGTTTCCTTCGGAGGCTTCTTCTGCGGACCACAGCCAGGAGCCTGTGACTGGTGTAGATTACATGAATACAGACCATTTTGCAGTGAGTATTCCTTCTAGTCTTACTAGTGCCATGCTAAAGAACACCCACAGATACTTGGCTTATTGGGATGTACCTGGATATCTGGATTTGTGAATATTTTTGCCATTTTTTCTTTTGCTCTTGATTTCAACATTTCTCTACTCCTTGTGTCAGTAGGACTTGGGGATAGGAGAAATAGATGATAGCTCTGAATGTGTCATCTTTCTCGCCTTTGCCCAATGGTAGGCCATGCAACACTGTCTGGAATTGTAAAGTCCCACCCTTTGGTTGGTTTTAGGTTTAGAGTTTCTTCAAAACCTCTAAGTTAGTGCTGGGATCCCCAGATCATTGGCTCCTGTTTACCAATAGGGTCTCTTCAAAGCAGCTGAGAAGGTCGCAGTGTAAGAAAACAGCATTTATTGCAATATGGGTATTACTTATTTATTTAAAACAAACATAAGTGGAGAAGTTATGGTAATAGGCTCTAGGAATAATAAAATATAATTTCTATTTTCAAGGAAGAAATCTATATGTGTCTAGGAAATTTATTTTAAAAGATATCTCTTTGTATTTTCAACTTATTTATATTCATGCTTTGGATAAAGAAGGAATAAGACCAAGTACTGCGTATATGTTTGTTTTATAAATATTCATTAAAAAACCCAAAAGTAACCATATAATTATTAGCATCTAATAACTACAAAATGTGCTAGATCCCGGTGTTGGTAAACATAGCTATAATAAATAAAGCAATAAGTATAGTAGCAGTTATGGACACTTAAAAATGGGTTTCTCTTTTGGAAATAGGGCATGTGGAGTGGTGTCAATTAGATCTTCTATTTCTGTTAATAGGAACTGGGTGAAAACTTAAAAGATGACTGCTACAATTGATATATTGCAACCTGTTTGTTGATGTTGCCCTGAGATCTGGCCTAATTATTTTTGTTCCTAGAAGGTAACACATTTTGTTTAGTCATGGAAGAAGTCAAGTCATTGCTACTTTGATGTAAGATGCTCGGGAGATAAGATTTATTTTGGGATTTCATATTGGTAGGAGGGGTAGAGTTAATAGTTGTTTTTTCTAGTTTTTCTTTTCTTAGTAAATTTTACTCATAATAACTAGTACTCTGTCTGAGAGGCTTAGTATCAGGCCTTTAACTTGGCCGTTGCAAGTAGATGAATTAGGGAGGACTGGTATGAGCTGTTTTTATTGCAGGAGGAATTGCACATTCTAATCAGCTTCATTCCCAGTCTAGGGCTTAAACTCTGGTAAATTGTCCTAGAGAAAATCAGGGTATGATGTATTACATCTATTGTAACAAACTCTCTTAACCCTAGAGAGTCTAAGCTTCATCTCAGGCAGCTTTCTTGGATCACAAGACAGAAATGTGAACTGAAGATGGAAGAGTAACAATACAGAAGAGCTGTGTTCCTGACACTGTCTGGGCCACCAACCATGACTTGAACCTGAAACAGAAATAAACCTGTATCTGGGTTAAACCACCATTTTTTTGGTAATCTTTGTTGTAACAGACCAACCTACAGCCTAAAAAGTATACGTTTTTCATCTCAGATCTTCCAAGTGGGATATGTATTCTTTTGCCTGAAGTATATCTTTTAGAATTCCCTCTTGTAAAGGTTTGCAGTTTTTGTTTGTTTAAAAATGTCTTTAATGCAGGGTTCTCTGGTAAGTCATAATTAGAAAATACAAGTGGAACCAGAGGATAGAGGAGAGACTCTTAATTCTAAATCTTTGCACCTCTTCCTACTACCTTATTCCACCTGGACATGAGGCAATTTAATTTGAAAATTCGACTCCAAGCACAATTATCCAGCCATCTGAAAGACATCGCAAAATCTCATAAATGGAACCTTAGCGGAATATAAAATGCAAAACAGTGAGTGGCTGTTTTCCAGGTTTCTCTCTAAAAAGCAGGTCACAGGCTCTTATGCAGGTTAGGCTATGGTATTTAAATACAAAAAAAGAGAGTGTTTACTACCATCCTTACATATCCATGAGGCAGGCAGTGAAACAGATCAGAACATGTTTTGTACTTTTGAAACACAATAACCCCATCCATTGCATCCATTGCTCCCAATGATCTCTGCCCAATTGTATTAGTGACCCTTCTTCCCATATGGAAAAGCAAGCAAAGGAGAGAAGAAACCGGAGAGAAGAGAGAAGTATTCACTCCCATATGTCCCCCTTGTGGGGAGAGGAAGAAGAGCCTTCCTCTGTGGAAGTATAAAGTGTAGAGAATGAGTTTTGTTCTAATAGGCAGTATGAGGGAGCCTTCTCATCCTTTGGGTGAGGGAACTTTGGGCTTATTGCTAATGTCACATGGGGGTTTAGAAAGGCATGGGGAGCAGGGGCAGGAGATTTTTTTTTTTTTTTAGTATGTGTGCAGGGTCATAGTCTCTTACCAATACAGAATTAAATTGGAAAACAATAACAATAAGGTAGCATGAAAAGAGTTAAATAATTGGAAACTAAACTAAATACATCTCAATAACCCATGGATCAACTAAGAAATCACAGAGGAAGTCAGAAAATATTTCAAACTGATTGAAAAGTACATATAGCAAAAGTTGTGAGATGTAGCCAAAGAGAAAACAGAGAAAAATTTATACTTTAAATGCCTATATTAGAAAAGAGTAAAGTTGTAAAATCAATTATCTAAGTTAACAACTTAAGAATTTAGAAAAGGAACAATAAATTAAGTCCAAGGTAAACAAGAGTAAGGTATTCATAGTGATGAGAGCAGAATAGAGAAGAGCCAATATGGCTGACTAGACACAGCCAGGAAGAGCTTCTCCCACCAAGAGACAAAACCATCAAGAATACTGACAACACTTTGGGCAGATCTTTGGAAGGGAGGAATTGAGAGCAGACTGAGGGAGGACACAGACGCTGGGCTGA
Organism: Homo sapiens; assembly: GCF_000001405.40. Lineage (NCBI taxonomy): Eukaryota > Metazoa > Chordata > Mammalia > Primates > Hominidae > Homo > Homo sapiens. The sequence goes on along the minus strand of NC_000011.10, from coordinate 5,982,941 downwards.
AAGAGGAGGAAGCTGGAAATCCTGCATGGGGTTGCTGAGCACCAGGTCTCATTTCTGGCCTTGAGTGGCTCCTGGGGAAGGAGTGAATTAAATAGGCAATGTGTGGCCCACTCTCCATGTACCTCTGGAATCCTAGCTGCAGGGGACCCCACAACCCCCATAAACATTTGAGCTATCAGGGAGAAGTGTTTGGAGACATGGAAGGAACGGGACTCCAGTCTATGTGGAGCCCAGAGGGTTTGGCATGGGACTGGCTGCAGTGGAACACAGAGACACCCATCCCCCAAGGCTTGCCATGCTCCTCTAGGTGGCTTTGACCTTGTTGACTGTTGGCCCTGTAGAGAACAGGGATATCTTGCCTGTGCGACCAGGCAAGTCTGATCTGAGTGCTGCCCTGTCTGCCAGCCTCTTTCTGGGTCCCAGCATGGCTCCATGTGCTTCATCACAGCCTCAGTTGCCAAACCAGGGAGCTTCCCAGTGGCAACTGCCATAGCTCCTTCACTAGCAGACTCCACCTAATTGTCAGAGAGCTTTGGCAGAAGCCCCCCGACCCCTGCTGACATGCACTCACCTGCACCCTGCCCCCACTGCTTTGCTAGAGTCATGCAGACATTGACACCCCGCCATCGCCAATGCACATACACGTACACAAACCTCAACGTCACCACCCTTCCACTGCCAATGCACACGTATGCGTGGACCCCACTATGCCATTAAACTACCACTGTCATTGCACTGCCACTGCCACCATGCCATCACTCTGCCACTGCCAGCACATGTGCTGCCCTGACACTGCCTGAACACACGTGTAAGTGAGGACTCTCCTGCCACTTCCCTGATGAAGCACTTTTGGCAGCACCCTCCACTGGACTGTTGTTGCCACGGGACGGAGAACACCTTGGCTCCTCCAGTGCAGTAGGTGCTTAGCTTAGAGGGGCCAGAGAACACAGCCATGGGCCTTGTCCCAGCTCCTCAGGGTTAGAGCACACAACCCAGGAGTGCTGAGTTGAACCATGGCCCCCTGAATATATCCATAAATGAAGCTAGTTGACTGAATCCAGTTTACACCACAGTGAAACCCTTAAGGGCGCCAAAGAATATAAAAGCAAAAAGCCTCATCCTAAGGACAAATCCAAACATTAGAGGAACACCAGCCAATACAGATGAGGAAAAACCAGCATAAGAACTCTGTCAACTCAAAAAGACAGGGTATCTTCTTACCTCCAAAAGACCACCTAGTTCCCAGCAATGGTTCTTAACCAGGCTGAGATGGCTGAAATCTCAGACATAGAATTTAGAATCTGGATGGCAACAAAGATCACAGAGATTCAGGAGGAAGTTGAAATCTAATTCAAGGAATCTAAGGAATCCAGTAAAATGATAGAAGAGCTGAAAGACAAATAGCCATTTTAAGAAATAACCAAACTGATTTGATAGAGCTGAAAAATTCACTACAGGAATTTTGTAGTACAATTAGAAATACTAACAGCAGAATAGACAAACTAAGGAAATAATCTCAGAGCTTGAAGATTACTGTTTGAATCAATTCATTCAAACAAAAATAAGAAAAAAGAATAAAAAGGAATAAATGCAACTTTTATTAAATATGCAATTATGTTAAGAGACCAAACCTATGACTGATTGACATCCCTGGAAGAGAGGGAGAGGGAGCAAGCAACTTGGAAAACACATTTGAAGATATTCTCCATGAAATTTTCCCAACCTCAGTAGAGAGTTTGACATTCAAATTCAGGAAATGCAGAGAACCCCAGTGAGATACTCTACAAGATGACCATCCTCAAGACACATATTCACCAGATTCTCCAAGGTTGTCATGAAATAAAATGTATTAAAGACAGCTAGAAAGAAGAGGCAGGCCACCTACAAAAGGAAGCCCATCAGATTAACAGTGGTTCTTTCAGCAAAAAACCTCACAAACTAAAAGAGATGAGGGACCTATTATCACTCTCCTTAAAGAAAAGAAATTCCAGTCAAGAACTTCATATCCAGCCAAACTAAGCTTCATAAGCAAAGAAGAAATAAAATCCTTTTTACACAAGCAAATGATAAGGAAATTTGTTACCAGTAGACCTGCCTTAGAAGTGCTAAGCATGGAAATGAAAGACTGTTGCTGACCACCACTAAAACACACTTAAGTACATAGACTATTGACACTACAAAGCAAGTACACAATCAAGTCTACATAACAGCCAACTAAAAACACGATAGGATCAAATCTGCATATATTAATATTAACCTTGAGAATAAATGGGGTAAAAACCCCACTTAAAATGTTCAATTTGGTAAGTTGGATAAAGAAGCAAGACCCAACTATATGCTGTCTTCAAGAGCCTTGTCTCACATACAATGACATTCATAGGCTCAAAGCAAAGGAATGGAGAAAAATCTATCAAGCAAATGGAAAACAAAAAAGAGCAAGCATTGCTATTTTTATTTCACACAGAACTGACTTTAAACCAACAGTGATCAATGAGGACAAAGATGGGCATTACATAATGATAAAGAGTTCAATTCATCGAGAAGACTCAACTATCCTAAATATATATGCACCCAACACTGAGCATTCATAAAAGAAGTTCTTAGAGTCCTACAAAGAGACTTTGATAACCACAGAATAATAATGGGAGATTTCAATACCCCATTGATAGTATCATACAGATGACTGAGGCAGAAAACTAGCAAAGATCTTCAGGATCTAAACTCAACACTTGAATAAATGGACCTAAGAGACATCTACAGAACACTCCACCCAACAACCACAGAGTATACATTCTGCTACTCTGCACAGGGTACATAATCTAAAATCAATAACATGCTCAGCTATAAACCAATTCTCAATAAATTAAACAAAATTGAAATTATACCAGCTACATTCTCAGATAACAGCACAACAAAAATAGAAATCAATACCAAGAAGATCTCTCAAAACCATACAATTACATGGAAATTAAACAATCTGTTCCTGAATGATTTGGGGTAAATAATGCAATTAAGGCAGAAATCAATACATTGTTTGAAACTAATGAGAACAGAGATATAACATATGAGAATCTCTGGGACACAGCTAAAGCAATGTCAAGAGGAAGGCATATAGTGCTAAATGCTCACATCAAAAGTTTAACAACCTAACTTCCCACCTAGAGGAACTAGAAAAACAAGAAGAAAACAACCCCAAAGCTAGCAGAAGAAAACAAATAACCAAAACCAGAGGTGAACTGAATGAATTTGAGATGCAAAAAACTATACAAAAGATCAATGAAACCAAAACGTTTTTCTTTGAAAGAAAAATTATCAGCTAGGCTAATAATAAAAAAGAGAATATCCAAATAAACACAATCAGAAATGACAAAGAGGACATTACTACTGACTCCACAAAAATACGGAAAGTTTTCAGAGACTATTATGAACATCTCTACAGACACAAATGATAAAACCTAGAAAAAATGGATAAATTCCTGGAACATACGACCTTCCAAGATTAAATGAGGAAGAAATTGAAACCCTGCACAGACCAGTATTGAGTTCCAAATTTGACTCAGTCATAAAAAAAACCTAACAACCAGAAAAAGCCCTAGATCATATGGACTCACAGATGAATTCTTCAAGATGTGTAAAGAAGCGCTGGTGCCAATCCCAGTGAAACTATTCCAAATAATTGAGAAGGAGTGACTTCCCAACTTGTTCTATGAGGCCAGCATCATTTTGATACCAAAGTCTGGCAGAGACACAATGAAAAAAGAAAATTTCAGGCCAATATCCCTAATGAACATAGATGCAAAAATCCTAAAAAAAAAAAAAAAATACTAGCTAACTAAATCCAGCAGCACATCAAAAAGCTAATCCACCATGATCAGATAGGGTTTATTTCTGTGATGCAAAGTTGGTTCAACATATGCAAATCAATAAATGGGGTTCATCTCACAAACAGAACTAAAAACAAAACCATGTAATCATCTCAATAGACAGAAAAGTCTTTTGATAACATTCAACATCCCTTCGTGTTAAAAACCTGCAACAAACTAGGCATCAAAGGAACATCCTTCACAATAATAAAAGCCATCTATGACAAACCCACAGCCAACATCATACTGAATGAGCAAAAGCTGGAAGCACTCCCCTTGACAAATGGAACAAGAAAAGAATGCCCATTCTTACCACTCCTATTCAGCATACTACTGGAAGTCGTGGACAGAGCAATCAGGCAAGAAAAAGAAAGAAAAGGCATCTAAATAGGAAGAGAGGAAGTCAAACTATCTCTCTTCACAGAAGATACCATTCTATATCCAGAAAACCCCATACTCTCTGCCTAAAGGCCCCTAAATCTGATTAAAAAAAACTTCAGCAAATTTCAGGACACAAAATCAATTACAAAAATCAGTACTATTCCTATACACACCAATACTATCCAAGCTGAGAACCAAGTCAAGAATGCAATCCCATTACAATAGCCACAAAAAATAAAAAAATAAAAAACCTAGAAATACAGATAACCAGGAGATAAAATATCTCTACAACCAGAATTACAAAACACTGCTGAAAGAAATTAGAGACAACATAAACAAATGGGAAAACATTCCATGCTCATGGATAGAAACAATCAATATTGTTAAAACATTCCCCATACTGCCCAAAGCAATTTAGAGATTCAATACTATTCTTATCAAGCTACTAATGACATTTTTCACAGAATCAGAAAAAAACTATTGTAAAATTCATATAGAACCAAAAAGAACCTGAATAGCCAAAGTGATCCTAAGCACAAAGAACAAAGCTGGAAACATTACATTACCCAACTTCAAACTGTACTACAGGGCTACAGTAACCAAAAAACATAGTACTGGTACAAAAATAGACACACAGACCAATGGAAAAGATTACAAAACCCAGAAATAATGCTGCATACCTGCAACCAGTTTATCTTCAACAAAGTCAACAATAACAAGCAATGGGGGAAAGTTTCCCTATTCGATAAATGGTGCTGGGATATCTGGCTGCCAAATGCAGAAGATTGAAACTGGACACCTTCCTATCACCACAAAAAATCAACTCAAGATGAATTAAAGACTTGAGTATAAAACTTAAGCTATAAAATCCTATAAGAAAATCTAGGAAATATCATTCTGGATATAGGCCCTGGCAAATATTTTATGATGAAGACTCCAAAAGTAATTGCAACAAATCAAAAATAGACAGGTGGGACTTTGTTAAACAAAAGAACTTTGCACAGCAAAATAAATTATCAATACAGTAAACAGATAACCTACATAATAGGAGAAAATATTTGCAAACTATGCATCTGACTAAGGTCTAATATCAAGAATCCATAAGAAACTTAAATGAATCAACAAGACAAACCCAAACAACCTTATTAAAAAATGAGCAAATGGCATGAACAGACACTTCTCAAAAGAGGACATGCCTGTGGTCAACAAGCATATGAAAAAATACTCAACATCACTAACCATTAAAGAAGTGAAAATCAAAACCACAATGAGATACCATTTTATAGCAGTCAAATGGCTATTATAAAAAGCCAAAAAGTAACAGATAGTGGCAAGATACCAGAGCAATAGGAACACTTATACATTGCTGGTGGGAATGTAAATTAGTTCAGCCACTATGGAAAGCAGTTTGGAGATTTCTCAAAGAACATAGTACAGAACTACAATTTGACTCAGAAATCCCATTATTGGATATATATCCAAAGGAATATATATAGTTCTACGATGAAGATACATGCATTTGAATGTTCATTGGAGCACTATTCACAATAGCAATGATATGGAATCAACCCAGATGCCCATCAACAGTGGGTTGGATAAAGAAAATGTGTTACATATACACCATGGAATACTACACTGCCATAAATGTGAAATCATGTCCTTTGCAGCAACATGGATGCAGCAGGAAACCATTGTCCTTAGTGAGTGAATGCAGGAACAGAAAACCAAATACCACATATTCTGTCTTACAAGCAGGAATGAATATTGAATACAGATGAACACAAAGAAGAGAACAATAGACGCTGGGGCCTACTTGGTGGTGGGTGGCAGAAGGGTGAGGGTCAAAAAACCATCTACGGGGTCCTATGCTCATTACCTGGATGACTAAATAATCTGTACACCAAACCCCTACGACATGAAATTTATCCATGTAACAAACCTGCATATGTATACTCCATGAGCCTAAAATATAAGGTGAAAAAAAAGACAAGCGAAGAGTCAATAAAATAGAAAACAGAAACAATAGAGAAAAATTAACCAATCTCGGCACTGGATTTTTTGAAAAGATTGATAAAATTAATAAAGCCCGAGTAAGAACTATGAAGGAAAAACAATCACAAGTAATCAAAATGATGACTGAACAAGTGTTACTACTACAGATTATACTAGATATTAGAAGGATAGTAAAATAAGTGTTACAAATAACTTTAAGCCAACAAAACACCAATTTATTTATAGATTTTAGGACACAAAAGGTATGTGAATTCCAGCCACCAAACACCGTAAGGAAAGAATTGTGACTGGAAATTCTCAAAAGATAGCTTTTCCTTTCATTTTCCCTTTCTCTTCATCTTTTATTTTCCCTTTCTTTTCTTTTACCCCTTCCTATTTCCCTTCTGTTCTCTTCCCTTCACTTCCTATTCCTTCTCTTTCCTTAAAGTTCCTTTTCTTTTCCTTTTTCTTCTAATCCTTTTTCCTTCCTCCTTCCCTCTTTTTATTCTTTCCCTGTTTTCTGTCTCCCATCCTCCTTCCTTCTCTCCCTTTTCCTCTCCCTCTCCCAGTTCCTTTCCTCCTGCTCCTAGAGACAAGCCCAAGACAACAGGTATCTCTACCATCTTCCTTTCTGGAACTGCCCCCTTTACAGTCACTAAGAGTGTCTTCTTTTTTTTAATTGAAAAACATATTTATTTGGTTTCCTAGTATTTTACTTAAAGTTTCTCTTTGTATTTAGAAAGGAAATTGGTTTGCAGAATGTGGATGTTTCTATATTTCTTTTTTTAAATTTAATATTATTATTATACTTTAAGTTTTAAAAAGTCAGGAAACAACAGGTGCTGGAGAGGATGTGGAGAAATAGGAACACTTTTACACTGTTGGTGAGACTGTAAACTAGTTCAACCATTGTGGAAGTCAGTGTGGCGATTCCTCAGGGATCTAGAACTAGAAATACCATTTGACCCAGCCATCCCATTACTGGGTATATGCCCAAAGGACTATAAATCATGCTGCTATAAAGACACATGCACACGTATGTTTATTGCGGCACTACTCACAATAACAAAGACTTGGAATCAAGCCAAATGTCCAACAATGATAGACTGGATGAAGAAAATGTGGCACATATACACCATGGAATACTATGCAGCCATAAAAAATGATGAGTTCATGTCCTTTGTAGAGACATGGATGAAGCTGGAAACCATCATTCTCAGCAAACTATCGCAAGGACAAAAAACCAAACACTGCATGTTCTCACTCATAGGTGGGAATTGAACAATGAGAACACATGGACACAGGAAGGGGAACATCACACACTGGGGACTGTTGTGGGGTGGGGGGAGGGGGGAGGGATAGCATTAGGAGATATACCTAATGCTAGATGATGAGTTAGTGGGTGCAGCGCACCAACATGGCACATGTATACATATGTGACAAACCTGCACGTTGTGCACATGTTCCCTAGAACTTAAAGAATGTCTTCTTTCACAAGCCCTGGCCTTAAGAGGCTGTCTGATAGGAACTCCTAGCAGGTCCAGGCCCAGGCCCCAGACTTTGTATTTTATCTCCACAATATATGATCTGGACTCTCTCTTTATACTGATGACAGTATACTGAGAAAAAAATACATATTAGTGGAGTAAACAGGCATAAGAGGTAGAACTTTATATTTTACAGTTGGTTCCCAGTAGGAAAAAAGTCTGAAGAGTATATGAGGAGTCATTACCAAAAAGAAAAGTGGAGGACACAAAGAAATCAATCAGTTTCATATAAAATAGTGCAATTGATAGTAACTAACTCATATAGTGCTTACTATAAGCTCAGCACTGTTTTAAGTGCTATTTATATATTGACTCTTTTAATCTTCACAAGCATTCTACAAAATAGGTCACTATTACTATCGTCATATTAAATGTGAAAACTGAGACCCAGAGAGGTAAAGTGATTTGTCCAGAGTACCATGGCTAGTAAGTGATGGTGCTAGGATTTTCACCCAGACAGCCTACAGTCCTTCTCACCATAGGTCCTTGTCCTCCACCTGCCTGTCGTTCTACACACACTGCTGGTGATTTGCATTATTGGGATGCCATTCCATGCTACATTTAATGTTCCATTTTGCCTTGGAAAGTTAGTTATCCACATTCTCATCAATATGTGAATAACCGAATCCTAGCATCTCATGTTAAGTGTCCATTCTTGAGTACCCTTCTGGTACTAACTACTGTACCATTTACAATATGAGCAGGAAACAGACAGTACAGGAAAAGGATTTCACTGACAAGAGTTTAATAAAGAGGCCAGGTGCGGTGGCTCATGCCTGTAATCCTAGCACTTTGAGAGGCCGAGGCGGGCGGATCACGAGGTCAGGAGTTCAAGACCAGCTTGGCCAACATGGTGAAACCCCGTCTCTATTAAAAATACAAAAATTAGCCAGGCGTGGTGGTGGATGCCTGTAATCCCAGCTACTCGGGAGGCTGAGGCAGGAGAATTGCTTGAAACCAGGAGGTGGAAGTTGTAATAAGCCGAGATCGTGCCACTGCACACCAGCCTGGGTGACACGGCAAGACTCCATCTCGAAAAAAAAAAAAAAGAGTTTAATAAAGAGACTATTTATACAGGTCTTGGCAGGGTCAAGGGAATCAATAAGAAGCACGTAGGAGATAGCAACAGCAGGAACTCACTACCAGCCCCAGCCCTGAAGGGCAATGGAGAGGCAGCAACATTCCTCAAACTTAGTAAGCACTGGAGCTTTGGAAGATATGCTTCCCAATAGGACCTCTGGCTACAAAGAAGCAGCCACTAGCAGAACTGTATCAAAGCAAAGGATAGGAATAATAATAAATACCCAATCTTGTCCCTCCATATTTTCATCTCCTTCAGGTGGCTACTATTATCTGAACTGGAAGCCAGGAAGTCATTTCAGAAAGCTCAGTTGAACTAGGCCATAGAGATCAGCCTGCTCAACCACAAAATAGGTCAAAGAATACAAGAGATTTGTGGTCAGATAGAAAATTAAGAACATGCTGGATTAAACCCAACTGTTCGTCTTCTCTGTGGTTGGACCTAGGAGGTGAAGGAAAAAAAAATCAACTGACTGATTTCACTTTAACTTCATAATCACAAACCCCCAAGAGACATTCAACAATGACTATGGCAGGAATAATCATCCACTGAAAAAAGGTGGTTCTAAATACACTGGAGAAGTAAGGAGGAGATAGAGTATGTATGATCTTGAATTAATTCGACAAAAATATGTTGATTCTACCACACTGTAAACACTGTACTAGACATCATATTAATAGGGAACAAAATTAACAGGAATTTAGTCCTCATGAAGCTTACAGTCCAGTTCATATATATTTCTCAGTAGTCCATATTAGGAAAGTTGGTTTTATTTTATGAACAATGGGAAGCTATTGATACTATAATGTAATGCAATTGCCATAATAAAATTTTGATGAGAGCAGGGACCATAATCTCTTATCCCTGTGACTAATCTCATTCTGGACATATAGTTGATAATTTTAAATAAATATTTATTAATGACCGAGATTACATAGAGTAAATTAGCTGTCAAAATTCATACAGATATCAAATAGTGGAGTTGAATTTCAGTTACTATAAAAAGAAGGAAATCTTGTAGGTTTCTTAAGAAATTCTGAAAAGTTTTAATACAAGGAAATCTGTCAATATAACATCTTATGATGTTAATGTAGAATAAGAGAATGTTTAGGAGGATGGTCTGTGTAGTCAAGTAGTCAGATGCAGAATTGAATTCTCTCTCATATTTAAATCCTGTTCCCTGCCGGGCACGGTGGCTCATGCCTGTAATCCCAGCACTTTGAGAAGCCGAGGCAGGCGGATTTCTTGACGTGAAACCCTGTCTCTACTAAAAATACAAAAATTAGCTGGGCGTGGTGGCAGGCGCCTGTAATCCCACCTACTCGGGAGGCTGAGGCAGAAGAATTGCTTGAACCTGGGAGGCAGAGATTGCAGTGAGCCGAAATCGCGCCACCGCACTCCAGCCTGGCTCTCATGGGAACCTTTAACTTAGCTGCTGGGTCCCAGTATCCCAAACTACTGCTCCCAGCTGGCTTGGAGAAGGGGATGGGACAGTGTGAGGAACTGACCGTAGATCATAAAACCCTCTAGATTCGGAAGCAGTCTCAGCTCTGGTTACTGGATGCAGGCAGTAGATTCCTCAAGCAGGACCTAATCTGTTGTATCCTCTGTGAGTTTCAGGGGTAAGGGAGGGGAGCAATGCTGTGTTGGGCCAGGAGACCCTGGGTCACCAGAGGACTCAACAGGAGACTTTCTCCTCATGCTTATATTAATCCCCATGAAAAAAGAAGAAAAAGTCAATGGGCTCTGATACCGAATGCATGAAGATTTAGGAATCCTAGTTTCCTGCTGGAAGCCTCTTCTGCAGTCTCAGCAATCTCATATTATTGCATACAAGGGACCCATGTGTTCTGTGGCTGAGAACTTCATGCATGTGTGCCCAGAAATAGCAATCTAGGGATTTAAAAGAGGAAAAGAATGGTTCTGGGACAGCATTTTGAGTTTATTATGACACAAGTCCAAGAGGCTTAGGGCAAAAGCTGGTGAGGAAATGTGCTCATTGCCTTCTCCCAACAAGTTCCAGTGTTAATGAGAGAAAAAGCTTCCTCTCATTATTAGACATGATTTATAGCCAGCAGAAACAGACTTCCTTGTGACTTTTTTTCCCTAATAGCCCTAGTTTTTTCTTCTTCCCCTTGAAGGTCAGTCATATATTTTGGAAGGCTTCACTTGGTTAAAATATCTACTTCTTGTAATGAGCTTTTAGTATCTTCTTTATCCTGGGTACTTTTTTCTGTGTAGTACAGTTTCAGAAGTGGTCCCTAAATCAAGGTGCATTGAATTGGACACAATATTCAAAGCATAGTTGAACAAAAGCAAAGCAGAGTAAAAGTTATCCATTTCTCTCTGATCACTGTTACTTCTGTTAGTGCAGTGTTCCTTTATAATAGTTGTTAACAATATATCAAAAGTTTGATTCATATTTATGTCTATAACTCCATCTGACAGTATGTTCAGGTATCTAACCGCTTTTTCTCTACTCCCATTCCTCGTCATACCCTCCTCTCTTATCCTTTATACTAAGTACAGTCTTCTTAGTAAAATCCAGGTAGCAGAGGAGGAATTGAATCAGATAATTCTCCACAATGTGAGGGAGGAATGAGGACTTGAAGAGGATGGATCAGAGTCTGGGAATTGTAAAGCACAATCGTAGATGGGGACTACACATAAGAGGCAGGAAAAAGCACAAGTTAAGGAAAGAATCTTTCAGCGACAGTGGACTAAGGAAAAGAAAATGAGCAGAGGGTGAGAAATGAGAATATTTTAGGGTGTTGGGATATTTTCTGCCTTGGTGGATTGCAAGATCTCTAAGACATTCTCTTCATTTGGAGGAAATACAAGGTAGTTTGGTGGTGCTGTATGTATGAAGGCAATGACCTAGTAGGTCAGTGGGGTGAATCAGGAGTATCCCTCCCACCAAGTGTCAGGCTTTGGGGCCAGAGGGCACTAAAAGTGAATGACTTGTTTAAGATTCCCCAAGCTTCCCCAAGAGCTTTGTGCTGTCACTGTCTCTACCTCTGGCCCACAGCTCATTCAGCTATTATCTTGAGCTTCTCCTCGTGGCTTGCCTCAATTTCCACATCAGTTCCCTTTGTTTCTTTGGTTAATATTTTCCTTTTTTATTTTTTCTTATTTCAGTCTTTAAAAGTCAACAGCCTTCCCCAAATTAAGACATTTACCTCACAAGCATTTATTAAGAATTACTAAGCTCTGGATACTGTAAAAACAACATGAAATAAAAAGAGAAAATACATTATATGTACTTCAGAGATTTTATAGTGGATTCGGGAGAGAAAGGAGAGAAAGTTAGGCAGTGGTGTGATTTGTGCAGTATTTAAATGGAAATAGTAGTTGTCTCCCCAGGGCTGTTGCTTTATCTTTTTTTTTTTCCTTTTTATCACCAATATTTTTCTTCCTAGTCTTTTGCCCCTCAGTTTAAATGTATTCACATTGCTTTTTGTAAAAAAAAATCTATGCATTAATACATACTGTTCTACCTGTGCATTCAGTTTTCCCTCCATGTGAAGCTGTTTGTTGAAGTGAAGATTTCCAATGAGGTGATCAGTCCTCCCTGTGTCCATTCATTCCAGTCCTGCTGGCTCCCTGTCCTCCCGCATTCTATTTCTCTCTTCACATGAAACTGTTTGCTAGGACCACCAATGATTACCTAATTGCCAAATGCAATGGATAATCTCTTTCTCACATTACTGAAACTCTTCATGTGAGCATATCTGTCCACTCCATTTGATTTTCAATTATGTCTCTGTTCATTCCTTTTAGGTCTCCTTGCAATCTCTTTACCTCTTTTGCTCTTTTTGTCTTTAATTTATATATTCTCCATAAGTATATCTATTTAAAGTCCTATGGTTTGAACTATATGTTATGTGTTGATGATTTCCAATTCTTTAACTTTCAAATGAATTTAAATTGCTTTCTCTAACATTTTATTTCACATGTATTTTGATAGTTTACAGATCCAATAAACTCAACACGTCAAAACTGGATCCATAATCTCTGCCTCCACAACATATATCAAATCTTTTCAAAGGCTATTTTTTGTTTCGTGAAACTTTCTTAGTCATTTGAGTCAGAACAGATAGTGCAGTCTTAGAATTCTACCCTCTCTTCTTCTACGCAACTAGTCTCACTGTCTTTATATCACTATCATTATATTTATACCTCTAAAATATGCCCATTTTTCTCATCCTCAGAGCTATTTATTCACACAGTGATCACTTCTCAATTGGACTACTGAAGCCAACAGTCACTTGTCCCCTTTTAGATGTCCTTTGCCTCCTCTGGTCCTTTAAGTTTGGGTGTGAAATAGGAAGAATAAATAGATTAGTATTTTTCTCCAAAAAATGAAACCATGGTCTTTATCCAAATGAGGATGTGGGATAGATGAAGAAAATAATTAAGATATGAGAGACTTGAACATTTTGAATATCCATGGGAAGGATTTAGGAAGGGTTGAATACATAGGCAATGGGCTGGATAATCCATAAGTCAGGGTTCCTAAAAAGGTCAAGGTGAATGGAATCAAATTGTGAGGTCAAGGATTGCCATTCAGAGAAGGGATAGAGCCTCGATTCTGCTGGTGCAATAAGGAGAGCAAGGATGTAGATGCTGATGAGTTTATGAGTCTATCATGGGAAGTAGAGGACTTGCATCTGATGTTTCTACTGTCTTTATGAAGCAGTTAGAGAGGTTATCTGAGAGAAGAGGAGATTTAGTATTTGAAAATAATAGAAAATATGGAAAATTGCTTGAAGCAGATAGAGGAATGAATTAACCAGAGAAGGTTATTGTCATGAATATGTGTGTTAAGTTCTCATTTTAGGTTAGTGGTTATAAATGTTAATGAAAACAGCATAACCTTTGAGCCTATCTTTCTATAGGAACATTGAATTGCACTTGTGCAGGCTTGGATTAAATATGTCTAGGATGGGTTGTGACACAGTACCATATGTCAGAGTGATAGGGAGTTTGGGAGTTCCTCTATATATTTAATCAATATTTGCTTTTATTTTCCTCAGGTTTGTAATAGGGTTGGGAGTATATTATATATTTTTTCCATCTCAAATGTACTTTGGTGTGTAATAAAAAGAGAGGAATAATTATTTTCCCCCATCTAACAAATTATGCACTACTTACTGAAAGGACCCTGCAATTAAATTATTTTATGACATATTTATTAATTCTAGATTACTCTGTAAACTTATGAGTGTTTCTAGCCTGTGGATCTATAATTATTCAATTTGCTTTGTCAGTATAATTTGGAATTTTTTTTGTATTTTACAGTATGTTTTAATGAGGTTTTTTTAAATCATTTTCCTTCTAAACCTTTGTCTAGTCTATTTGCTTTTCTAAATTAACTTCAGAAATAATTTACTAAACCTTTCACTATTTATGTTAATATTTACTAAACTTTGCCTTCATTTGGGATTGGTCATCTGTATCTCATACATTTTATAAATTAGAAAATGTTAGCAAATATTTTAACAGCTTTGTTTTCTATTTCTAATTCCTGTGTCTTATCAAACACAATTTCAGGTGAAATTTTCTCAGCTGAGGATTTATTTCATGACATTACCCAGCAACAACTCCACTTCCCCAGTCTTTGAATTCTTCCTCATTTGTTTCCCCAGTTTCCAGAGCTGGCAGCACTGGCTGTCTCTGCCCCTCAGCCTCCTCTTCCTCCTGGCCATGGGGGCCAATGCCACCCTTCTGATCACCATCTATCTGGAAGCCTCTCTGCACCAGCCCCTGTACTACCTGCTCAGCCTCCTCTCCCTGCTGGACATCGTACTCTGCCTCACCGTCATCCCCAAGGTCCTGGCCATCTTCTGGTTTGACCTCAGATCAATCAGCTTCCCTGCCTGCTTCCTTCAGGTGTTCATCATGAACAGTTTTCTGACTATGGAGTCCTGCACATTCATGATCATGGCCTATGACCGCTATGTGGCCATCTGCAAGCCCCTACAGTACTCATCCATCATCACTGATCAATTTGTCGCTAGGGCTGCCATCTTTGTTGTGGCCAGGAATGGCCTTCTTACTATGCCTATCCCCATACTTTCTTCTCGACTCAGATACTGTGCAGGACACATCATCAAGAACTGCATCTGTACTAACGTGTCTGTGTCTAAACTCTCTTGTGATGACATCACCTTGAATCAGAGCTACCAGTTTGTTATAGGTTGGACCCTGCTGGGCTCTGACCTCATCCTTATTGTTCTCTCTTACTTTTTTATCTTGAAAACTGTGCTAAGGATTAAGGGTGAGGGAGATATGGCCAAAGCTCTAGGTACTTGTGGTTCCCACTTCATCCTCATCCTCTTCTTCACCACAGTCCTGCTGGTTCTGGTCATCACTAACCTGGCCAGGAAGAGAATTCCTCCGGATGTCCCCATCCTGCTCAACATCCTGCACCACCTTATTCCCCCAGCTCTGAACCCCATTGTTTATGGTGTGAGAACCAAGGAGATCAAGCAGGGAATCCAGAACCTGCTGAGGAGGTTGTAAAAAATAAAATGAATGCAACCTGACCTTGAAAACAGAAATTGATATTGGAGAATAATTGTTATGATGCATAGAAAATTTAAATTGTTACTGCGAGAATAAGTTTAGACTTGGCTTTCTTCAGTGTTTCAATTGATTATAGGGATATCTACTCGTTGGATCCTGCTTTCTGTTTCACTGACTGGAATCTTAGTGTTTTGGCATTCTAGAATTGTTTGGAAGTTTTTCTTGACTTCATCTATGTGAGTACGAATTGACAAGCCATAATCACTGGAGCTTAGAATTGTATGGTTTTCAAACAAAGGATAAATATAATTCCAATTATTTTAAATGTTTCTCAATTCCTGTATTGTTTAATACATACATATGTGTTAGATGTCTTGGTTTTCCCTGACTCAGCTCAACGTGAATAATTTTTTTTTTTTTTGCCATGAATGGATCTCTTGTGGACATATAGATGTTGACTCAAGAACTTTGATTCTTATGTAGAGTGAATAACATGTGACATTCACTGCCTCCTCTGTCCTTGACAGATCTTGTTAATATTTTTATCTAATGCTACTTATTTGGAGTGTGAATTTCTTATAGTTTTTTTTCCTAGTGATTTTTACATCTTAAAATGACTCATATTTATGTGTGTGTGTGTGTGTGTGTGTGTGTGTTGCTTTAAGTGAATCTGTGTGTCCTTTTTTAAGATATATTTTACCAACTTCTGACTTCATACTATCCTACCTGACTTTTCCATCAGATTTCTGACACCATCTTATTCCTACTCTTTCCTATTTGTCTTAGATATACAGTTAAACCGTCTTTCTCATCCTACTTTCAGTCCTCTTGTCTCAATCTTCATGTCCTGTCCCTGGCCAGCATAGCTTCCCATAGGATCCAGACATCTGAATTAGTGAGTTTTTAGAACAAGGATAAGTATGTTTTACACTTTGCAATTTTTATCCTGATCATGCTCTGATCAGTATATAGGTAGGACCTATATACTGACCAATATTTCCTGGGATTAAGTAACATTTAGTAGCTAGGCCCCTTTTTGGTTAGTAATAGAGCACTTCATAGATATTATTTTTGAATCATTTCGG
The DNA here is from genome assembly GCF_000001405.40 of Homo sapiens. NCBI lineage: Eukaryota > Metazoa > Chordata > Mammalia > Primates > Hominidae > Homo > Homo sapiens. The sequence goes on along the minus strand of NC_000011.10, from coordinate 5,966,464 downwards.
AATGTCTCCTAATCTATGATAATCAAATTATTCTTGGAAGACTTATAAGTCAGTTTATCTTTTCTTTTCTTGTTTCTTTTTTTGAGATAGGGAGACAGGGTCTTACTCTATCGCCCAGGCTGGAGTTCAGTGCCATGATCTTGGCTCACTGCAACCTCTGTCTCCCAGGCTTAAGTGATTCTCCCACCTCAGCCTCCCAAGTAGCTGGGACTACAGGTGTGCACCACCATGCCCGGTTTTTTTTTTTTTTTTTTTTTGTAGAGACGGGGTTTCACCATGTTGCTGAGGTTGGTCTTGAACTCCTGGGCTCAAGCGATCCACCTGCCTCAGCCTCCCAAAGTGCTGTGATTACAGGTGTGAGTCACCACGACTGGCCCAATTTATTATTTCTATAGTATTGTCTTTCACCAAAACAATAGTTTTGATTTCTATCTTCCCTCCTTCTCAACTTCAAAGACTGATCCTAATCAAAATACAAAATTTTTCACTCTTCTGTTTACCTATCATGCAGGTCAGCTCCCAGCTCATTTTTTTTAACATTATGTCCCTCCTATATGTTTTTCTTAAAGTCTGTGTTCCAGTATCCTCTTCCACATAAAAAACAACACCACTCTTTTCATTTGGAAAATTATGCCCATCTTATGAGTCTCAGTTTAAACTCCACCTACTCCACAAACCCATCCTTTATTTACCCCAATGGAATTAATCTGACCTTCTTGAGTCATGTGTGTATCTCCCTTTGGTAGTAGATTATAAACTCCTCTGAGTCTGGTGAAGAGTTTTATTCATCTCTTCAACTTTGTATATTCTAGAGCTTTAATATAATGCTTTACATATTTAGTTATTTTGATGAATAAAAGTGAATATTATGTGTGCACATCTTCTTATTTTTTTCTTATTTTCCCTTCTTAGGGAAAGAATCAAATTATTAATATAATGTATTCTCCAAAGATACTTACAAAAAGCCTTATATAACTCACAGTTCAATGCAATCTTACCTACCATAGAACCTAAGCCTGCTTATTGGGATAACACTGATTTTTATTTATGTTCCAGGCATACTGATTTGGCCACGGGTAAGATGTGTTACTTTTGACTCACCAATCTCAATATGAGTTCTAATTTTCTCATTTAAGAAGAGTAATAATTAATTATCCCCTTACTATTTGATTTCTGTTTGCTGGATAAACTGGATGACCTAATTTATAAAACATTTTTTAACCAGAGCCTAAAACATGCTGTTAACTTACATGTGGAGACTAATTTTATTATTTTCTAATGCACGTTGATTTCTCAAATGTCTTCTTTTTATTTGGGAGGAAAGTGGAGCAAAATATTGGAATAGGATTCTCTAGTGACCATTCTCCTATAAGAACATGGGAAATGGATAATTTTTTCCTCCCATAGGAAATGGATAATTTGAACAATTATCCATGCATTAAATACCTTTACAAGAGCTAAGAAAACCAGGTGAGTGATCACAGTACCTGGTTTTAAGATAATGATAAGAAAAGACACATTGAAGAAGGTAGGAAGGACAATTTTACCTTACACGTTACCCCTCCCCCAACATCAGGGAACAGTGCAAAGAGAGAGATACTATCTTAGGGGAAAGACACATAAGTAAGCATTGGACTTTGCTTGGACCTCAATCCTGGGCCATGCCACAGTTAAACCCAGCACCAGAGAGACCTACATGCCAATATCTGTAAACTGAACCTCTAGGTCTGCCTCAGTGCCAGATAGAAACCCGTAGCCATGTGTGAGATGGACTTGAATTCTGGCCTGCATCACCACTGGCTGACTATAGTAGCCTTGGACTCCAAATAACCCATAACTACATGCAGATCTGAATGGCCATGAGTTTGGGTGCACCCCAATGCTGTGCCAGCCTCAGAAGGGACCACTGAATTCTAGCCTGGCACTATACCAGCCTCAGAAGCCATGGAATTCCAACCCACTGCTGCACTGGCCAGTGCAGATCATAGGCTTAGAGTACCCCCAGGTCTTCAATGACTGCAGGGATTACAGGCTTAGGGACCACACCAGATGACTGGTTCAAAATCTCTGGACAGGCTTATTGTTGAAAAATATTCCCAGACAAAGCAATACTGTGATGACTGATATAACTACCTACCTTTTCAATGGGCAGACATCAACTTATAACCATAAGGATCAAGAGCAATCTGGGAAGCATGACATCACCAAATGGACAAAGTAAGGTGCCAGCAATTGCCCCTGAAGACATGGAGATGTATAAATTGAGTGATAACAAATACAAAACAGCTATTTTATGGAAGCTTAATAAACTTTAATAAAATACACAGAAACGATTCAAGAAAATAAGGAAAATAATAAGTAACCAAAATAAAAAATATTACAAAGAAATTGAAAGAATAATATAAAAATCAATCAGAAATGCTGAGCTGAATATTACAATGAATAAAATGAAAAATATAATAGAGCATCAACAACAGAATTGCTGAAGCAGAAGAAAGAATCTGTAGACAGAAAGGTTATTGAAAAGTAGGTTATTGAAAAATATATAGACAGAGGAGAAAAAAAGAACTAAAAAGAATAAAGAAAGCTTATGGGGTTTATGGGATAGCATCAAAAGATGAAATGTACAATGTACAAGTTATTGGCATTCAAGAGTGAGTAGAGAAAGATAAAAGGGTAGAAATATTATTTAAAGGAACAATAGCAAAATACTTTCCAAACCCAGGGAAAGATATAAATATCTAGGTAAAAGAAGATCAAGATCACCAATGAGATTCAATACACCTAAGACTACTCCAAGACATATTATAATAAAACTGTCAAAGCTCAGACAAAAAGGGGATCTTGAAAGCAGCAAGAGAAAATAAGCAAATAACATATAAAGAAGCTCCAATATGTCTAGCAAGTCTTCTCAGCAAAAACCTTACAGGCCAGGAGAAAGTAGAATGATATATTCAAAGTGCTGAGTGAAAAATATATTTAAAAAAAAACACCAAAAAATCTGCCAACCAGGAATACTATACCTAGCAAAGCTCTCCTTCAAAAATGAAGGAGAGATAAAGACTCCCAGACAAATAAGGGCTGAGGGAATTCATTACTACAGACCTGTGGGATACAGAAAAAGCAGTTCTAAGAGGAAGGCTATAGCAATAAACACATACATGAATAAAGAAAAAGCATCTCAAATAAACAACCTAATGTTGCACCTCAAGGAAATAGAAAAATAAAAGCAAACTAAACCCAGTATTAACACAAAGAAGAAAATATTACAGACAATAGCAGAAATAATAAAATGTAGGCTAGAAAAATATATAAAAGATCAACAAAATGGAGGTTTTTTAAAATGATAAAATTAACAAGCCTTTAGCTAAACTAAGAAAAAAGAGAAAAGACTTAAATAAGATCAGAGATGAAAAGGGGGACACTGCAACTGATATCGCAGAAATACAAAGTATCATGAGAAATGATTCTGATCAACTACACACCAACAAATTAGTTAATCTCGAAGAAATTGAAGCATTTTTGGACACATAAAACCTACAGGAACCTATGAAGAAATAGAAAATGTTAACAGACCAATAATGAGTAATGAAATAAAGATAGTAGTAGAAGTATCTCACTAAAGAAAAGCCCAGACGGTGGCTCACGCCTGTAATCCCAGCACTTTGGGAGGCCGAGGCGGGTGAATCATGAGGTCAGGAGATCGAGACCATCCTGGCTAACAAGGTGAAACCCCATCTCTACTAAAAATACAAAAAATTAGCCGGGCGCGGTGGCAGGCGCCTGTAGTCCCAGCTACTCGGGAGGCTGAGGCAGGAGAATGGTGTGAACCCGGGAAGCGGAGCTTGCAGTGAGCCGAGATTGCGCCACTGCAGTCCGCAGTCTGGCCTGGGCGACAGAGAGAGACTCCGTCTCAAAAAAAAAAAAAAAAAAGAAAAGCCCAGAATCTGATGGCTTCACTGATGAATTATACCAAACATTTAAAGAAGAACTAACATCAATTCTTCTCAAGCTATTCCAAAAAATTAAAGAGGAGAGAATTCTCCAAAATTCATTGTAAGAGGTCAGCATTACCGGGATACCAAAACTAGATGAGAACACGCACACACAAAGAAAACTACAGGCCAACATCCCTGATGAAAATGGATGCAGAAATCTTTAAAAACATTAGCAAACTGAATTCAATAATACATTAAAAGACCATTTACCACAATCAAGTGAGATCCAATCCAGAGATGCAAGAATAAATGCTAACCAACATATGCAAATCAATTAAATGTAATACATCACATTAACAAAATGAAAAACAAAAATCATCGAATCATTTCACTATGTAGAAAAATCATTTGGCAAGACTTAAACTCCATTTATGATAAAAACTTAATAAATTAGGTATAGAAGAAGTTTACCTCAACATAATAAAGGTTACATATGGCAAATTCACAGCTAGCATATTCAACAAGGAAAATTAGAAGCTTTTTCTCCGAGATCTGGAACAAGACAAGGATGCCCACTTTCACCCCTTCTCTTTACTAATATTGGAAGTCTTAGCATGAGCAATTAGGCAAGAGAAAAATAAAAGGCATGCAAATTGGAAAGAAAGAAGTTAAATTGTCCCTATATGGAAACAACATAATGGTGTTAAAATGTCCATACCACCCAAAGTTATATATAGAGTCAATGCAATCGCTTTCTTTTTTTTTTTTTTTTTTAAGTATTTATTGATCATTCTTGGGTGTTTCTCGGAGAGGGGGATTTGGCAGGGTCATAGGACAATAGTGGAGGGAAGGTCAGCAGATAAACATGTGAACAAAGGTCTCTGGTTTTCCTAGGCAGAGGGCCCTGCCGCCTTCCTCAGTGTTTGTGTCCCTGGGTAGTTGAGATTAGGGAGTGGTGATGACTCTTAACGAGTATGCTGCCTTCAAGCATCTGTTTAACAAAGCACATCTTGCACCGCCCTTAATCCATTTAACCCTGAGTGGACACAGCACCTGTTTCAGAGAGCACAGGGTTGGGGGTAAGGTCATAGATCAACAGCATCCCAAGGCAGAAGAATTTTTCCTAGTACAGAACAAAATGGAGTCTCCTATGTCTACTTCTTTCTATACAGACACAATAACAATCTGATCTCTCCTTCCTTTCCCATTTCCCCCTTTTCTATTGGACAAAACCGCCATTGTCATCATGGCCCGTTCTCAATGAGCTGTTGGGTACACCTCCCAGATGGGGTGGCGGCCGGGGAAGAGGGGCTCCTCACTTTCCAGACGGGGTGGCCGGGCAGAGGGGCCCCCCACCTCCCAGACTGGGCGGTGGCCGGGCGGGGGCTGCCCCCCACCTCCCGGACGGGGCGGCTGGCCGGGCGCGGGCTGCCCCCCAGCTCCCGGATGGGGCGGCTGCCGGGTGGAGGGGCTCCCCAATTCCCAGACGGGGGGCGGCTGCCGGGCGGAGGGGCTCCTCACTTCTCAGATGGGGCGGCCGGTCAGAGACGCTCCTCACCTCCCAGACAGGGTGGCGGTGAGGCAGAGACACTCCTCAGTTCCCAGACAGGGTCACGGCCGGGCAGAGGCACTCTTCACATCTCAGACGGGGCGGCGAGGCAGAGGCGCTCCCCACATCCCAGATGATGGGCAGCCGGCCGGGCAGAGACGCTCCTCACTTCCTAGATGGGATGACGGCCGGGAAGACGCATTCCTCACTTCCCAGACTGGGCTGCCGGGCAGAGGGGCTCCTCACATCCCAGACGATGGGCAGCCAGGCAGAGACGCTCCTCACTTCCTAGACGGGGTGGCGGCCGGGCAGAGGCTGCAATCTCAGCACTTTGGGAGGCCAAGGCAGGCGGCTGGGAGGTGGAGGTTGTAGCGAGCCGAGATCACGCCACTGCACTCCGGCCTGGGCAACATTGAGCACTGAGTGAGCGAGACTCCGTCTGCAATCCCGGCACCTCGGGAGGCCGAGGCTGGCAGACCACTCGCGGTCAGGAGCTGGAGACCAGCCCGGCCAACAGGGCGAAACCCGGTCTCCACCAAAAAATACGACAACCAGTCAGGTGTGGCGGTGCGCGCCTGCAATCCCAGGCACTCGGCAGGCTGAGGCAGGAGAATCAGGCAGGGAGGCTGCAGTGAGCCGAGATGGTGGCAGTACAGTCCAGCCTCAGCTGGGCATCAGAGGGAGACCATGCAAAGGGGAGACGAGGACCGTGCAAAGGGGAGAGGGAGAGGGAGGGGGAGGGGGAGAGGGATGCAATCTCTTTCAAAGTACCAACGACAGTCTTCACAGAAATAGAAAATTCTAAAATTCATATGGAACCCCAAAAGATACTGAATAGCCACAGCAATCTTGAGAAAGAAAACAAAAATGAAGGCATCACACTTCCTTATTTTAAACTATGCTACAAAGCCATAATAATCAAAACAGTACGGTACTGGCATAAAAACAGGCATATAGACCACTGGAGCAGAATAGGGAGCTCAGAAATAAATCTATTCATTTAAAATCTATGATTTTCAACAAAGATGCCAATAACACACAATGAGGAAAAGGAGATTTTTCAATAAATAGTATCGGAAAAACTGAATATCCATATTCAGAAGAATCAAATTAGACCCTTATCTCTCACCATCTACAAAATTCAGCTCAAAATAAACTAAAGACTTAAATATGAGAACCCAAACTCTGAAACTACTAGAGAAAACATAAGAGAAACATCCCACAGCATTGATCTGGGCAATGATTATTTAGATGTGACCTCAAAAGCATAGAAAACAAAAGTAAAAATAGACAAATGGTATTACTAAACTAAAAAGTTTTGTACAGCAAAGAAAGCAATCAATAGAGTGAAGAAACAATCTTCCCTTAACAGAATGAAGAGCTAAATGGAAGAAAGTATTTGTGAAATATATATCTGATAAAGATTAATGTTTAAAATATATAAGGAACTCTGACAATTCAATAGCAAGGAAACAAATAATAAAAAACAGGCAAAATATCTGAGTAGACATTCTCAAAAGAAGACAGAAAAATGACCAACAGGTATAAGAAAGAAATGCTTAATATCAGTAATCATCAGGGAAATGCAAATCAAAACCATGATGAGATGTCACCTTACTCCTTTGAGAATGACTATTATAAAAACAAAAAGGAAAACAAAACAGCAACAACAAAAAAACCACAAAAAATAGCAAATATTGGTGGAGATGTGGAGAAAAGGAATGCTTACACACTGTTGGTGGGAATGTAAATTAGTAAAGCCATTGTGGAAAACAGGACAGAAGTTCCTTGAAACATTAAATAGAACTGCCATATGATCTAGCATTCCCACTACTGGGTATATATCCAAAGGAAAGAAAATCATATGTTGAAGAGATAGCTGCTGTCTCATGTTTTTTGCATCACTATTCACAATAGCCAACCTATGGAATTAACCTATGTGTTCATCCATAGATTAATGAAAATAAAATGTGGTATGTATATTTAATGAAATACTATTCAGCCACAAAAATAATGGAATCTTCTCACTTGCGACAACATGTATGAGCCTGGAAGGCATTATGTTAAGTGAAATAAGCCAGACACAGGAAGACAAACATTACATTTTCTCATTTATATGTGGAATCTAAAAAAGCTGATCTTGTAGAGACTAGAAGGCTATTACCACAAATGAGGTGATCAGGGAGGAGGAGGGCATTAGAAGAGTGATTGGTCAAAGGATACATAATTGCAATTAGATAGAAAAAATAAGTCCAAGAGATCTATTGTACAGCATGTTGACTATAGTTAATAATGATATAATACATTGTATTGTTGAAAAGCCCAAAGAGAGTGGAGGTCATGCCATAGTCAACATAAAAATAACTATTTGAAGTAATGCATTTGTTAACTAGCTAGATTCAAGCATTTTATAATGCATATATACTTCAAAACATCCTGTTGTACATGAAAAATACATACACTGTCCATTTTAGAAAGACTGCTTTTATTCTTATTACTTGTAATAAGTGAACAATAAAAAACAGAAAAGTAGAGGATATTCATTATTTTATACATCATTCACTTCAGAGAGGTAACAGCCCTACTCCATGTGTCATTCTTAGTCTCCAGTGGAATTTCTCGTGTAGCCTCTTTTATAAAATCCTTTCCTATTTGAGTCTCATGGTGTTATGCTATGGCACCCTCAGTTGTTCCTTGTTTGCAGTCATCTATTAAAATCTTAGTTTTGCTGCCTCATATCAGATGTTGACAGTTGGCTTATAGTCTAGTTGGAATCAATGCAGACTAAAAGTACTGTTCTTCAAAATAAAAGATTATAGGCTATCCATGAAGAGATAATAGAAAAAAAAGAGATCTCAAATCAACCATTGAGGGATGGATGCTCACAGATTTGCTACATATACCTCTACAATTTGTCATGTCATTATCACTATTTCCTTCTCTTTTTTGAAATTGGACAGTTTTAAATTATTTACAATTTCTCTTGAAACACACAAAAATACTTAGAAGGTTGTCCACATTGGCCACCACTTTTCTGATTTCTGGATAACTAGAATTTCATATTTATAGGACTTTTAAAACTCATCAAATCTAGAACTCTCTTGGAATTTTCTCTAAGGATTCTTTGCTAAATAGATATCCAAGATTTGCTTAAATCCCACTAGTGACAAGAAACTGTCTTCTAGCACTTGGAAGAGAAAACCTGCTTCTCTTTAAAAAAAAGTTTTAAAAATCTTTAAAAAAATGTTTCTTTCACTTATTTGCAACTCTTATTTGGGCCCATATGGAAAACACTTTCTGGAATTAAAATTCCAGTGGTAGCCTGAGTAAGTTTTAGCAATGTCTCATTTAGAATCTTGCGGGCTTCAGAGCTCTGCAAGAGGTATATTGCTCATGTCCTTTTCTAAATAGTTTCCTATTCTCCAATGATGTGCTTTCTCCGTTATCTTGTAAATTCTATTAAGTTACAAGATAGTGGAGAAACCACATCACCGGGGAATAGGAAGCTATTCCCCTATATGTTTTCACTCACTGTTTAATTTTATACTGAGTCAAGAAAAATAACAAAACATAAAAGATTTTTAGTAAATGCTTATGAGATAGATTAAGAAAGTATAAAATGCAGTAGAATGGGAGAATAGAATGACACATGGAATGATGTATACAGTATAACAATGTGGCAGCAGTATAAGTTATAGTAGGATAGACTCCTAAATATTTGATATTCTTCTGTTAAACACTCCAGTGCATAAAGTTTTAAGATACTCTGTGAGAAGTGCTATAAGCCACTAATTTGTCTTTCTCTATTTATTTATTTATTTATTTTTGAGATGCAGTTTCACTTTTGTTACCCAGGCTGGAATGGAATTGTGCGATCTCAGCTCACTGCAATCTCTCCCAGGTTCAAGCGATTCTCCTGCCTCAACCTCCTGAGTAGCTGGTATTACAGGCATAAGCCACCATGTCTGGCTAATTTTTTATTTTTAGTGGAGATGAGTTTCACCGTGTTGGTCAGGCTGGTCTCGAACTCCTGACCTCAGGGAATTGCCTGCCTCGGCCTCCCAAAGTGCTGGGATTACAGGCGTGAGACACCGCGCCAGGCCTCTCTTTATATTTAAATATACACACATCTCCTTCATTTTTGGAAGTGTGTAGAAATATGTGTAGGCTTAGGCAGGTAGGTATGTTTGTGCAGGTACAATATTTCAGAAAGTGGAGATCACGAGGACAGGAAACCCAAAACATCTTTGTATCTTTTGACCTATGGGAGAAGCAATACTGTGATTGTGAAATTTTGTGAACTCCAAACATGAGCATAAAGCAGTGAGAAGTTGAGGAGTCACATTGGCTTCTCAACAATGAACTTAATAAGACATTAGCTTGGAGAAAACATTGTATAGGCACCTCTGTGAAACACCTATTTAAAGGCTTAGCAGAAATAATACTTTGTTTTATAGTTGTTGTTTCATTGCTTGTATAACAGAATGCACTCCCTAGATATTGGTCTTTCAGGACTCAAAGACACTGACGTGAGAAAGACATAATTGTGTTAGGATGTCTGTGAGTCAACCCAAAACATGTAAAGTGCAGCTCAGATCTACACCTAGAGAGGAGACTGCCAGTACTCATTTAATTTTACATAAACACACTCTTTGAAGCTGAAGCAAATCTGATTGATTTTTAATGTGAAAATAAAATATAAAATCTGTTCTTAGAGTTATTTCTAAATAGAACTAACATCATAATCTTCTGAATCATCAGAATCATTATATTTCAGAAAAATTGGATTCATCAAATACATCTTTGGCCAACAATTGTTCGAGAATGATAACATCATGCATAAGAATGCTATGTTTTCTAGGATTTGACATTTTCTATGATCGAGAATTACTGCATTGTGTAAATGGAAATACCTCTATTAAAACAGAATGCTATAAATAGAATAATGTCTTTTGTTTCCACAGTTGATATACTAGAGTGATGTGAAAATAATAATAAAAGTGAGGTATTTTATGGCAAAGTTATTTTGGGGTAAACGCTGCAGCTGCAAGTGCTGCCAGCAAGTATTCGTAGGGCAAATGGGAAAAGGGTTAAAAAGGAGGCTATATGGCAAATAATTATTCTTGCTGTGCTTTATCCAAATAATCAGACCAAGTATAACAAGACTAGAGCTTATTTTGCAATCAAATCATCTTATCATAATTTGTTTTTAATAAAAATGAAGAGTGAAAAGAGAAAAATTATGTTTCAAGAACTACGGTACATCTGTTAGTAGAGCTGCCTGGCCACTGGTGCATGCAGACAGCCCATCCCAAGGGAAGAACCAGGGGAGAAGGAATGTAACCCCCCAGAAGCATGCCAATGTATACAACTGCAAGTCAAAGGCCAAACTGTGCACTTAATCTCCCAAGGTGCCCGCTTGACCCTCTTCCAAGTGTACTTTACTTCCTTTCATTCCTGCTCTAAACTTTTTAATAAACATTCACTCCTGCTCTAAAACTTGCCTCAGTCTCTCATTCTGCCTTATGCCCCTCAGCTGAATTCTTTCTTCTGAGGAGGAAAGAATTCAGGTTGCTGTAGACCCATACAGATTCTCCACTGCTAATAATAAGAAATTTTACATTGTTGGGTGTCTACATTTAGTTGTTTTCCTTTAGAGTGTTGGAAGTTTGTCTTGGAAAATCATAAGTTACAAGCTGATCAGCTTGTTTCTTTCAAGTCTTGATTTTAATCTTTTTACTTTTTATGTAGATTAGCTTTTATTCCAGTGCTAGTTACATACTACTACAGATTAATGGCCACTTCAGCAATTCTACTGAATGCCCCAGGTATTCAGTATGGTCTCTCCACTATGACTGTTCCAAGATTAAACACATTCTGGCCCTGCATATGTTTTCAGAATTGTTTAAGGTCCCCATTAATCATTCTTTCCCCAGTGATTGTTCTTTATTCCTGTATATTTGCAGCTTATGATGCATGTTATCATTCATTCAAAGACTAAATGGTACCCCTTTGTATCTTTGGAGTCCTTTTTTGTGTAGCTCCCTCTTCTTTGCTGTTTTGCTTTACAAATTCCAACTTCTTCAATGTCCCCAAGATCTGCTGTCTTTCTTGAAACTTGGGAAGACTTTTATGCTCTCTTCTACCTTCTGCTTTCCTTGCAATTAGGATCAGGAAAGTTCCTTTAGGAGAAATCTAGGGCTGTATGTTGTTCCAGTTCTTGGAACAATTGTTTCATACTTTCTGTTTAATTTCCTATTTCTTTCTGGTTGAAGTGAAAATTTGGTACCAGTTACTTTGTTAAGGTTGGAAATAATTAATTTTAATGCAATTTTAAGAATTAATATTCTTGCAAAAATATTAATATTGCCAGTATGATCCCACTTTCCAATGAAAACATTATTTAAAAAGACAATATGAATTTTATTTAAAAAAATGATCAACTTATAAGGGAACAAATATTACTAAATTATTCAATTCAAACTTGCAGACTTTGAAAGTATAATTCCAGCTCTATTTTCACACTTTAACTCCCCAGGACTCAACCACCTTATTTCATTCCATTAACCTTTCTCTCTAGCAATAAATAACAATGACAAAACAGCAAATCTGTGTTCCTAGCCCTGGATTGTGGGATAAGATCTGAGCCTTAGTCAGAGGTACATTTGATTTTTCCTCAAATAAAAGTGATCAAGAGAGATAAAAAGGCACAGTCTTACAAGATTTGGGATAATTAAATAGGGTGACTTGAAGACCAAAATGCAAGGCATAAACAAGTCTTTTAGTTGTGCTGGTTCTCACACACACTTTATCATTGTTTTCCCTAAGCAATAATGCAATTAAAGAGTTAGTTCTGGGGCTTACCAATGATCAACTTGACCATCTCTTTAATGAGTAAGCTTTGGTTCAATAGCACAGGTTCCAAAATCCACATTTGTCTGTCCTGATGCCCCTTTTCTCACTATATTTTGAGCTCTTTGCGGCCAGGACTGTGTTTAATTCACCTTTTTTCCCCTGCAACTTTGATATAGTGCTTATTACAGAAGAAAGTTTCAGTCAATTAATTAATTAATCAATGAGTCCCCCCCATCTCTCACAAGCACTTTTGCTTCTAATAAACACCATCTGGATTATGAAATCTTGATATAAAGGTAGTATAGCTTTTATAAGAATAAAAACATTTATTAAAATAATATAGCACTACAAGTAAACTTATCTTCATAAATACAAAATAGAGTTAATGACATTAATGATTTAAATTTATGGAAAAAGTAAAATATAAATAAGTACTATGTCAATGACAGGGAAGTTTTAAAGCTCTCACTGAAAGAACAATGTGTCCTGGTCCTGGATTTGGGTCTGTACTCTTTACCTAGGATCTACAGTATGCAGCCAGATCTACTGATCTTCTACCAATGGTGTCAGCTTTCAATCATATGGCACTTAACCTAGGAATGCTAGAGTAATAATTTAATTACTTGGAACTCTATTAAGATGGGCAAAAGACATGAGCAGACACTTTTCAAAAGAAGACATACAAATGTCCAGCAAAGTATGAAAAAATGCTCAACATCAGTAATCATCAAGAGAAATGAAAATCAAATCCACAGTGAGATAGCATCTCACATCAGTCAGAATGGCTGTTGTTAAGTCAAAAAAACAACAGGTATTGGCAAGGCTGCAGTGAAAGGGAAATGCATATAAGCTGTTGGTGGGAATGTAAATTAGTTCAGCCACTGTAGAAAGCAGTTTGGAGATTTCTTAAAGAGCTTAAAACAGAATTACCATCCAACTCAGCAATCCCATTACTGGGTATTTATCCCAAAGAAAACAAATTGTTCTACCATGAAGATATGCACTTGCACATTTATCGCAGCACTATTCGCAATAGCAAAAACATAGAATCAGCCTAGGTGCCCATCAATGGTGGACTGGATAAAGACAATGTGGTACATATACACCTTAGAATACTATGCAGCCATAGAAAAGAATGAAATCTTGTCCTTTGCAGCAAGATGGATGCAACTGGAGACCATTATCCTAAGTAAATTAACACAGGAACACAAAACCTAATACTGCATGCTTTCACTTATAAATGGAGGCTAAACATTGGATACTCATGGACCTAAAGATGGCAGCAATAGACACTGGTGACTACTAGAGGTGGAAGAGAGGGAAAGGGATATATGTTGAAAACAAACTGTTGGGCACTGTGCTCAGGATCTGGGTGGCAGAATCATTGGCACTCTAAAGTCCAGCATCATTCAATATGCCCAGGTGACAAACCTGGCACAACATTTTCTAAAATTACCTATTTTTATTACTTATTTATTATTTATTTCTCACTAGAATATATACATAGGCCTTGCATATCTTACCTATTTACTACAACCCCCCCACCATAATAATGAGTTTCCTACATGTACCCCCTGAATCTAAAATAAAAGTTGAGAAAAACACAACAAACAATAATAATGTAATTATTTGATTGATATTTTGGAAAGTGAATGTCTTAGTATTGAATCATAATTTCTACTAGAATAATTTGTGATATATTTTCTCTGGATTGTCCTTCTTTCTGATGAAGGGCTTTCTGTTTTTCAGCCTCAATCTCTTCTGTATGTTTTCAGCTTATAGGATTCTGTTCCTGCTTTGGCTCAAAAGTGAGTTCCTGTTATAATATTCTTCCTACACCTTCCACTATTCTAGATTTGGGTCTACCTTTCTGCCAAGTGGCAACCGCCTTGCACCTCTGCCTTAGATTCTCCATGGCTGTGTACTTTCAAATTGTTGACATTTTTTACTGTTTCTGTTTATTCTAGGTTCAGAGGCTTCACAGTTACTATATATGTTTTAATGTAATTATGTGTTATTTTATGCATTATGTTTGCAGTTGATGTATTATATAAGTTCCACTTGGAACATATCTATATTCTCAAATAGTGGCTTATTTTCTTTTTTCATTATCTTATTTCAAATTAATCAAATCAAGAGATTTATGCTAATCACATCATCTAAATTACTTTCCGTCCTTCATCTCAAATCATTCCTTAATGCACAATCCTGTACTATTTTCTTCATAACATTTTCTAAAATTACCTTACTTTTTGATTACCTATTTATTATGTATTTATTTCCCACCAGAATATATAAAGAGACCTTGCATATCTTACCTATTTACTACAACCCCAGCACCATAATAAGGAGTTTCCTACATTAAGTGTGAATGCGTATTTTTGATAAATACATATGGTGTTAAATGTTGAGCTGAAGGGCCACTGCCATCCTCTGTCTGTGTTTTGCTTTGCTTTTTGACCCAGTGACTAGCATCAGCTGGGCCTGCCCTCTCAAATATCTGCTTGCTTTTTCTGGATACAGGAGAAAAAACTTAATTATGAGTAATGTGTGGGAAAATGCAAGGTCTCACCAGCACAATCTGAGTTTCAACATTTTATGAATAACACCTATTTGGTTTGAAGAGACAGCTTTCTCACTCATGTTTTATTTATATATATTTATAATATACTATAACAATCTCACTATTAAACTTTTCATATAAAATACATTTTATTAAAAGAACACAGCAAAAAATAGTTAAATAGTTTCAAATACTCAGATCTATGTGTGTGTAAATGATGTAAAGAAAAATTTAATGAATTACAAATAATGTTTATCATTTACCTTCTGATAAACCTTTAACGTATTAATGTCTGTCGATTACTCTAATGCTAATATTCCTTACTTGTTATGAGTAAATACCCATTTACATTCTTCCTTAGGATCTTAAGTTTAACTCTTCTTCAAGTCTGTCACTGTGGGATTTCAGGACCATATGTCTTAAAAACCCAGTAACTAAAACTTCTTTTAAAAATAAATCTTCTCACCTTGGTTTCCAAGATTTAGCACTCATGTTATTGCAGCATTAACAAAAAAAACTTTACTCTCCTCTAAAACCCTGACTTCCTTGGCAAAACATATAAAAAAGAAAAATTATAGCCAAAACAAAATAATATAAATATAACTGTATTATAAGATGTATTTCAAGAAGAATACATATTTTCTAATTAACTTTATTTTCTATCCATATCTGACTTTCAAAGCAAAATTTCTAGAGTAGTACTGATTAATACCATAGTCACTAGCCTCACGTGGCTATTGAATGCTTGGAATCTGGGTAGTCTGAATTAAAATGTATGTTAAGTGTAAAATACTCAGGGTGTTTCAAAGACTTAGTACAGAAAAGGAATGTGCAATATCACATTAATGATTATCTTGTATTTGTTATGTGTTGAAATGATAATATTTTGGATATGTTGGACTAAATAAAATATCTTATTAGAACTAATTTTGTCTGTTTCTACTTTTTCAACATGTGTACTAAAAAGTTTAAAATTAAGTATGTGGTTCATATTGCACAGCACAGTTCTAGAGGAAATCCTCACTAATATTACCTATTTTGGTGAGATAAAACCATAGTTAACTTGTTCACCTTGTTTTTCAAATAAATATATGCCGATATTGTTTTGACATTGTTTATAAATGTCTAAAAATTACATATAAGTGAAGCAAAACAGATTTTTCAGGCAAATACTTTTAAAATATGAACTTTTTACCATGTTCTTTGGGAAGACAAGACTTATGGAAAATTTTCTTAATCTCAGGGAGGTATGTACTCTAAATCCCTCAATATGTCCTTTTCCTGGCACCCAAGGTTATCTTCTAACAGCTTACTGTAGACATCTGGATTTGTCATACAAACGATGTGATCTTGAAAATAACTAGTCCTCAAAGTTTTGGTGTTTTGATAAGTATATGTTAATATAGCATATTGTTAAAACTTTCAGATTTTTAATATTTCCTAAGAGGTGGTGGCTTAAATTTACCTTACAAGCATGTTATATCTTTATAATTGTAAGATTCTTCCATGGTATACGGTTATTCACATTTCAAGTCAAGCCATTTTTCTTATGTTGAAATGTATGAGAGAATGAGATTTTAGAGAGTCCTTCTTCTTTGAGTAATAAAGAAAAAGGTGTATCTACTCGGATCTTAACAGATGGCTTTTCACTTTTGAGAAATTTCTAATTAAATTATTGATTATATGCTTTTAACTATTGCTTCTTATATGTGGTACATGCTTATTTTTCAATCAGTAGGTTTCAATTCCAGGATATCCAGGAATTAAATACTAATTTATCATTTTTTTTGCAAGATGGAGAAGAGAAATGAACGGAGAGAGCTCTGCGGAATTCTGCTTGAGTAGGACAGGGCTTAATCTCAGATGCTTTCAGTTAAATTTAAAACATTCGGACATTTGGGACAGTCTTGGTATTTGATACTTGAGAAATTTTCCTTGTATGGTCAAAACAAAGTAACACATACTTGTAAGTTGTTACTGAAGCACAGAATCTTGTATTTAGAAGAATATTCTAAAACAAATCGCTCACTATTATCAGGTATTGGATGAATAATGGGAAACACAGTGAATTCTCTTATTTGATTTCTTCCCAGGCGGGACACAACTTTTATGCTGTGGGTATGTATGTGTGTGCATGTGGGTGTGTGGCTGTGCAAGGCCTACTGCCCAGACCTTCTCTTTATCTAATGTTTCCTTACAGGACCAAGTATCTTACTGCCCATACATATCTTTTATCCCATTCCTCACTGCTCTACAGTTTAGAAGAATGTGTTCTGGAGTGCATATTTGTATTTTTCCTACCCAAACTTTGAGGTCCTCAAATCAACAACAATATTCTTTTTATTTTTGTTTCTTAATAGCTAACATAATTCACAGGACACCATGTGTGCTTAGAAGCTGTCCAATTAATGAGAAAATAATGTTCAGGAAAAGTATTTTAGGTGTCAATATTATTGCTAGATTGTATGCTCTAATACCAGCAATCTTTTGACTCATTAATAAAGATTTGTTTGCATATCAAAACCTGTGATATATTGGATCTGAAAGATAAATGTTCTAAGCACAGACACATTGGGGAAGAGGATTCAAGAATCTCATATATCCAGTAAAACTCATTGATAATTGTTACTCATGAGGAATCAAGGCAAAACCCTTGCCCTCTTGCAATGCACATTACAAAAATTTACTTGTCTTCCAGAGAAAGAGAAGGAGAGGGAGAGAGAGGAGGTGAGGGGAGAAAGAGAACTAGAGAAAGGCAATGATGTGGTTGAAGGGTGAGAGAAAAAGACCTACTTACAGACCAGTAGCAACTTTCCACCACTGAGGACTGAAATTTCAACTACTGTGTTTTTTTCTCCAATGTATTCCCTTTTCTGAAAATAAGAATAAAAGGACATTACACATAACAGACACAACAAAATAACCGCAGTTGTATTTTTAATGATACAAAATTCATGACATATTGAGTTGTGTGTTCAGAAACATACATTTTTCACTTTAAAATCTGCTTTAAGGAATGTCAGTGTTTTGGACAAAATATGATTATAAGCATGGAATAAAACGAGAGAGGGCCAAGAATATTTCTGAGAAAAGGGTGAAAAGGAAGATAGACTTAAATTAAAACCGATGTTTTTGAAAAGCACACACAATATCTAGTGTACCCAGTTTGAGGTTATAAGTCACAGATATGAATTTCAGCCCACTCACTCATTAAGTGATTAATAAATTATCTTATTTTAGATATTCAGAGATCCAGTGGTCCTTGTTAGCACCCTTTCTTCAACAACCTCTGCATTCCCTGCTTAATTTCTTGGGTTCTCACCCCGTAAATGATGGGGTTAAGGGCTGCAGGAATGACATGGTGGAGAACATTGAGCAAGACTGGCACATCAGGGGAGACTTTCTTCTTAGCCACATGTGTGAGGACAAAAACCAGAAGGATGGTGCTGAAGAAGAGGATGAGCATGAAGTGGGAGCCACATGTGCTTAGGGCCTTTGCCACGGCACCCTCTGCCTTGAGTCTCAGCACAGCTCGCAGAATGAAGGTGTAGGAGAGGAAGATAAGGATGAGGTCAGATCCTAGCAGAGTCCAGCCTCCAGCAAATTGGTAAAGGTGATTGATGGTGACATCATCGCAGGAGAGTCTGGAAACAGACATATTGGCACAGATGCAGTTCTCAATGACATTTCTTCCACAATAACGGAGTTGTGCTGAAAGGATGGGGATGGGCAGAGTCATAAGCACATTTCTGGTCAAAATAAACATGGCAGCCTTGACTACAAAGTGATCAGTGATGATTGATGGATATCTCAGTGGGTGGCAGATGGCTACATAACGATCATAGGCCATGACCATGAATGTGCAAGACTCCATGGCTAGGAAACAATTCATGATGTACATCTGGAGGAAGCAGGCAGGGAAGCTGATGGGCCTGAGGTCAAACCAGAAGATGGTCAGGACCTTGGGGATGACAGTGAGGCAGAGCACGATGTCCAGCAGGGAGAGGAGGCTGAGCAGGTAGTACAGGGGCTGGTGCAGAGAGGCCTCCAGCCAGATGGTCATCAGGAGGGTGGTGTTGGCCCCTACGGCCAAGAGGAAAAGGAGGCTGAGGGGCAGGGACAGCCAGTGCTGCCAGCTGGGGGATCTGACAAAACAATTCAAGAGGAAGTCTGAAGCTTCAGTGGAGAGGGTGTCATTTCGGTGTGTTGTCATATTTTCCCATATATTTTACTGCTTTCTTTCAGTGATCTGGAAAATTATGATTACAAACTAGCTGTGGATTCTTGATACACAAAGATAGCACAATTTGTTTGTCATAGGTACAACTTGTGGTTTCTAGCAGGTTATGTAGAGCCAAGCGAATTCATCTGTTTTTCCTCAGTGTCATGTCACTGGGGTATTCCTATCACTTTAAACAGTACAGCTGTCTGAGGTGACATGATTCCTCTATACATGTTTACTTTATTCAATGTCCATTTTCAATAGAATTGTTTTTTTTAGAGAAACTAAAAAGGAGAAAACACTTAGGAAACAACTTTAGTGTGACAGGTGAGACTCTAAATTTCTACCCATAGGTTTCTTCTTCACAATTTTCTTTTTAATGTACACATAGCCTACCATATCTACAAGTTGACTATTGCAATAAGCTCAAATAAATAGCAGAGCCTGGCACAAGGAAGGGACTCAGATAAATGTCCCTAGTCCCCATGTCCCCATGACATCCTTATTCTAACCTTTCTGCTGCACTTATTTTGCTTAGAGATTTTTTAAATCATACATCTAAAATAAATTTAGTTAACTTGTATTTTGTCTAAAAGTTCATTTTTATTTAGTAGGCATAGGTTCCACCAAATAATTGCCTTAATATCTCTCTATTTTTTAGATGTTCATATTTTTAGGCTTCCTAACTTTTGGGAGAAACAGCTTTAAAAGGAGAGTGGGCACTTCCACATAGCTAACAGGGAGAAATGCTTGTCATTAGACATGATGAAAAATTGGTTCTTCTTATTGTAATTGTGTGAGGGTGACGAAGTTCACCTTTAAAGTCCTTCCGTCTCCTTCCAGTTTCCTTTTCCATCTTGACTGTAATGATATAGCCACACATTTCCCTCTCTCCTGACAGTAGTTCAGTGTTGCCATTATTCCCTTATCATTTAACCCTCTTCCCTGGCATTCTGTTAGGTACCAGCATCACAAAATTTAATAAGAAACTGTCCTTATTTTCACTAAAACAAACCTATAACTACTCTGGGAGATGATGGGTGTAACGAGAATGAATGATATGAGCAATGTCAGAGATATGCACAAATTATTAGGAGACTGCAGAGGAGAGTTGAGTGTGACATAGGGGATAGGCTGGAAAAATATCATTATAAATAGGGTGATGTGGTACCCACATTTACATTAAAGGTAAAGGATTCTAAGATTCCCCTCCCCTGCATTGTGAAAGACAGCCCATAGAAAGAACACTGTAGCTTGGCAAGGGTGTAGGTCAGGTCTTCAGGGGGCCCTCCAAATCATGCAGTTTTATTGTGCATATTTCTGTCTACTGGGACAGAGGTTTCTGTTCAGATGTTATTTTGTAGGTTTAAAAATTCCTTTCTATCGCTTCTCAGCCTTTTGGCTAAGATCAAGTGTGTGAAATTCCTTTTCATCAAATGTTTAAGAAATGCCCTGTTTCTCACACTTTGGCTCACTAATATAACAAAATTATATGGTTATTTTTGTAATTCTTTCTACTTGCTGGGAACTGTGCTCTGTTTTAGCACTTCATCCCATTTAGTTATTCAACATTCTGTGAAATATGTTTCATTATCACCACTTACAAACAAGGGAAGTGATATTTCAAAATCCAGGTTCTTAACTGCCCATATGTTATTATTCTAATCCTAATCTTACCTAATATAGAGGTTGGGTTGGATTAATTTCTAGGGTTCCTTCAGACCCAAGAAATAATTTTTTTTTTTTTTTTTTTTTTTTATATGGGGTCTAGCTCTGTTGCCAGACTGGAGTGCAATGGCGTGATCTCTGCTCACTGCAACCTCCGCCTCCCAGGTTCAAGCGATTCTCCCGCCTCAGCCTCCAGAGTAGCTGGGATTACAGGCACACGCCACCACACCCAGTTAATTTTGTTTGTTTTTGTGGTTGTAGTAGAGATGGGGTTTCACCATGTTGGCCAGGATGGTCTCGATCTCCTGACCTCGAGATCCACCCACCTCAGCCTCCCAAAGTGCTGGGATTACAGGTGTGAGCCACCGTGCCCGGCCAAACCCAATAAATAACTCTATTATACGTATTTGCCCCACTGATCCTATAAAAAAGAAAACAAACTTTACCCAAAACACAATTGATAGTTTTAAGAATTGAATCTGTCGAGGAAAAAAGTTTTGGGGTAGGGACAGGGTGACAAGGAAGGAAGTTATAATTAAACTGTGAACTCCAAACTGTATGATATTTTCCTACTGATGGAAACATACTTTTTGGAAGAGGTTCAGGTAGGCTTTTTGTTTTCAGTTGTCTTTCCTATTCCCCAAAAGCAGTTCCAGTCCTTGCTCAACTGGGTCCTGTCAGATTCTCCTCATCAGAAAGACCCTGTTAGTAACTGTGGCTGCTGTCAGTGGAGGGAGGACGGGCATTCCTCCAGGGATCCTCTCTTCACTCCTCTTGATCCTCTGATTCCCCATGTAGTCTGCCAGGCATGGCCCTTCACCTCATATATAGAAGAGATTTAGATATTCTCCCAATTCTTTTCTCCTGTAAATAATAGGGTATATTAGTAATGACCTGATAAGTTCAAAATGAATTTTAAACATACCGTTTCATTTGTGATTCATAATACTTTGAAGTAGGTAGGGTAAGTTGATTATTTTAGCAGTTATCTTTCACATAGGCAAATCATATTTTAGTGGTTTTACATGTCTTCCTACAGTTTCTCAGGGTTCAGCTGTGGAGAAAATAAAGGTCTAAATAATTCATTCAGGTCCAAGCCAGTGAAAATAGGAATACGCCTGTGCCCTGTGTCACCATAGTGATGCATACATGTTTATGTTATTTGGGATTTTGTTTTATATATTTTGTAGGTTTTTCTTTTCCACCCACACTCTCCATACACATACAATTCTAAGGGCTGTTTTTCAGCAGTCTGGAGATTCTCCCTCTTCCTTCCTCTTGCAACTCCGACTCCTGCTTCCCACAGCTCATAGGCTCCAATTCCCTCCTTATTCCCCTTTTGTATTGTGTCTTTTATTGTATTCCTGGTTTTGACTCTTAAGGAACAACCCCTTCAAGGTTAAATAAAGATTATAAAATCATTCTCTATGCACTTCATACCTGCCACCCTCCAATCTTACTTTCTCTTTTCTAATATTTTTGCCATTTTCCTTGATAGAGTGGCTCACTGAGAGTAAGACATACTGGAGTTACAGGAGGTCCTCAAGATAATAACCCCTAGAACAAAACTTCCAGCCTCCAGTTGGTGACTAACGACCCTTCTTCATGCCCTGGGCACTATGTTCATTCACTTCTTTTCCTTCTCTGTCTTTGAATACATTAACTTGTAAGTGTGGAACAAAAACCAGTAAGACCTTCTAAGCCTAGAACTTGGCATAATTGACCCAACCCCAATTAACTTTGCACCCACAGCAAGTACAACTATAGGCTGTTAAATTCCACATATTCCCTTTAAACACTATCTTCTGCATTACTTTCTTGTCATTTATTCCTTTGCTCATTGCATCCTCTGATCCTACTTTCTGCAAAATTTTTACAGTTAAAAATCACAGCCTCTTGGTTAGTTGTATTCTCAGGTATTTTATTCTTTTTGTGGCACTTGTAACTAGGATTGCATTCTTGATTCAGCTCTTAGCTTGAACTTTATTGGCGTACAGAAATGCTACTAAGTTTTGTACATTGATTTTGTATCCTGGAGTCCTTTATCTGTTCTAGGAGCCTTTTGCAGTGTATGAAGGGGACTTAAACTTCAGAAATGTTTTATTTTATTTTAAAAAACCTGAAGCAAATAAGGTGGTTTTTTTTTTTTTTTTTTTAAAGAAAATCACAGCCCCAAATCTTACCTTTCCAAGTAGCTTTTCTTCTCCAGGGGTCACAAAGGACTCCTAGAAGGAATTAAATGTTTTGTGCTTGGAAGTAGAGAAAATCTTGAAATGACCTTTGCAGGGTAGAGCCAAATGGAAGATCTAGTGACTTAGGCATGAGTATCCATAGAGAAGCCTAGAGGAAAAAGTATATTTTCTGTCTCTTGAAGAGCTTTGGGATAATTATTTTTAGCACTAAGATGAAATTTCTGAGGATTACATGGGAGGATTATTTTATTTTTCTAACTCACTGACTTTTCCTTTTTCCTTCTATTTTCTCTAATGTTTCTGCATGTTTTTCAATCATTCAACAAGCATCAATAAAGTACTCATCCCTAGAAGTAAAGCATCTGGAAACACATTTGCTCCTTTTCTCCTTTCATTATTCAATCTTGGTTTGTAATCAAAACTTGCCAATGGCACACTAGGGCTTAGGAACTGGAGCTAATGGTTTCCAGTTCCAGCCAGGAACAAGATGAGAAAGCCAAAGAAGTTGAAGCTCAAAGACTAAAGGAGAGACCATCAGCCTAGGCTTTCCCAGGTTGCAAGATAGGCCCACAGAATAGTGCCAAAGAAACCCTGTTTTAAAAAGTAAAAGAGTTGCTAGGGTTCTATCTTGGTAAAATTCAGGCAGGCCTGTAAGATACCTCTCTCAGGTGTAGTTTCAGATATTATTCAGTGCATCCAGTGACAGGTAGCTAGCTGCTCTTCTGGGCGTAGTTTTCTGTTCTTGTCAGAAGTAGATTTTAGCAATTTTGATCAGAAATATTTTGAACTACTTCCTGACTTCCACTGGTCCTGAACTGTGGTCTTTGTCTTCAACCTCTGAAGTTATAGAAACTAATGTAATTCTAACTTTATAATTCAGACACTGGTAGGCATATTCTTTGTTTTCAAGCCACTAAATTTCCATATTCAGAGTTGAAAACTCCAAATTTTCTTTACTTGGCTCCAAATTATGCACTTTTTAGCTCTCATACTGCCTGTTAATCTTCTATAGACAAATTGCAACTTTCCTGCATTTCTGCTACCACCAAGCACCCAGAGGATGGCAAAAGAGAGAAGGTCCCAGAGCACATAAGCCTCTTTACCTGAGACAGGGTGCAGTCTTTATTTATTTCCTTCTCAGACTACTTCAGCAGTATTGACGCAGGAATGGAAAAGAGCACAGATAGGGACTGAAGACAGAGATCTCTCTAGTCTTCTGGCTAATCTTTGTATAGCCACCATTAACATCCTCTAGCCAGACTCACAGAAAATGTGAAGCATGGGGTTTGGCTCCATTAATATTGGAGCTCTTGTTAGTTTCAGAAGTATCTGGGGCAGTTATAATTGTAGTGCCTCAGAAACTCTGACCTCTGGGAACTTCTTAATCCCTCTTCCCGTAGGACCAAAAGGTCCTCCTGGGAAAAACAGGCAGTTAGATGGGAGAAGAAAATTATTCTCTTTCTTTCTGTGACAAAAAACCCCCGGTAATCCAGTGCTACACTGACTGCTTGTCCTGTAGGCAGTAAGTACGTCTCCTGGGTACAGGGATCTTATGTTCACATCCATCTGTGTTCATATTCATCTGCCTATGCACACTGAGCAGCTTCTGTGGATCCAATAAGTGAATGGAAATTTTTGTGGGCTTCCTGCTTGTTTTGTTTGATAGGCACTGCCCAAACCATGCTATTGAATGGATTGGTGTTAATCTATCATGACTTTTATGAAGGTATTATGATAAAAATGCAAGAGAAAACTGAACAAAATCTTACTGAGAAAATGCAATGTGATATTCAGAGAAAAAAGACCTATAATAATTTTTTTTGTGGTGAGAGGTTTAAAAATGGAATTTATAAATAACCCAATATTAGTTAGCAACTATGTTTTTCCTTTAGGTTTTATTTTCATTTTGAACCTTATATGAATTATTCACACTTATCAACTAATGGAAACAAGCATCATAAGTTTCTTCAAGACTTTTGCTTTATTTCTTTTCCTGTATTTTCCAACATTCCTCCTATTTCCCTTCCCTTTAGGAAAGTGAAAACTCCAGTGGATTTAAAATATATCTTTCTAATTAATTTTCAGTATGCTTATACAGGGATATACTTAATTTATGAAAAAATTCTTTTAAAATTGAATTTATATAACTGTCACTGGGTTGTAAATCTGTTATTCTTTTTCTATCAATGCTATATCTTCAAATTTATACATGTTGCTATGTGTAAGTTGACTTTATTATTTTTTACTGCTGTTCACTACTAAGAAAGACCATTTGAGAATTTTCCCCAATGCCTTATGAATTATAATGCTTTCCTTTCTCGACGGTGGAAACAGATACTATTTCAGGCCCTGTGTGTTGATTGGATACTGTTCTCACTAATTCTTTTAGGTGCCCTCCTCCCTTCCTCCACCTTGGTTAGTGTCCTCATCTGCACACATTCATTCATTACTTGAGGAAGATCCTCTGTAGGTTTTCAGGCTTCTCTCTGTGTGCAGCTTTCTTTTCTCCAGTATTCTTTCTTGCGAGCTTTAGCGGGTTTGGTCTTTCTGTACTCCAATTACATCTCCTCCACTTAGGGACTCCACTGAGTTCCATTTGGTCTTGCTTCCCTGCACTGCAGCCTGGAAACTCTTTGAAGACAGAAAACTGGGGTAGTTGTAGGGCCTGCCTCATTTGTTTCACATATTTCAGGGATAACTGTCCTTACTTGCCTGATGTCTACTGTCTTGAAACTCATTGTTTACTATATTTTATTCCACTTTTGGTTTGTTTTGTTTTAGGTCAGTTAGGAAAGCAAATTCAGTCCCTTTCATCATATCTTGGCTAGAAGCTGAATAATATGAGAATTTTTAGAGTAATTTAATTCACCTCATCAGTATTTGTTGTAGCTGATCTCAAAAGATGCCCGCCCCCAATGTAGCATGCTAGTGAGGAATCAATACTTTGTATGATCCCCTTATTTTCAATCTGAGATGAGTCTTGGATTCACTTTTGGTTAAAAGAATGTGTTGGAAGTGAAACTGATTGAATTCTGAGACAAGCTCCTAAGAGGCCTTGTAGCTTCTACCAGCATCTCTTAGTTAAGTTGTTTAGGGGGATATCTGACTGCACTGAGACAGTTTTGCTGTGATGAAGCCCCAGTTAGCTATATGGAAAAGACTCACAAAGAGAGGCCTCTGCTCAGTCATGCTCTGATGTTTGAACCATCTCAGACATGTGAGTAAAAAAGTTATATTGGACATCCCA
Source organism: Homo sapiens (assembly GCF_000001405.40). Taxonomy (NCBI): domain Eukaryota; kingdom Metazoa; phylum Chordata; class Mammalia; order Primates; family Hominidae; genus Homo; species Homo sapiens. Next base: position 5,940,230 of record NC_000011.10, on the reverse strand, counting down.
GCTGCAGTACATGTCACACGAGTTAGAACCAAGAAATTCAGCTGACAGGTACACGGTACAGCGTAGCTGTCACGGTCACATCCAGTAATTCAATCCATCCCAGCTCATGACCCAGTCACTGTTGTGCAGACAAGATTTCCCCACTGTTCCCTTTCTGAATTCACAATGCACAAATTCATTAGTATAATAAATGCTTATTTTTAGATGACACCAATAGATAACCAGAATAGAAATCAACAGTCAGATCCTGTTAGGCCTTGGAAAGCAGGGCCCTGGCCCTGGTCTCTGACACCTTATGGGGTCCAAGATTTGAAGGATTTAGCTTATCACAGAAGCAAGAAATTATTAAGATTGAAACGGAAACATGGCATGAAAATAATTATGAAAGACTTGCACAAACAAGTTACATATTTTCTATTGAATAGGCTTTGACAATGTTGGAGTATACCTAAATTAAGCTAACTTGTTGTCTTGGATTTGATGGAATCATTCTGAAATCGAACAGCCCCTATTCCTACTGTATGATATGGGCATCTGACCCAGAGAAGACCAGGTCTCCTAGGCTGTGAAGGGAAGAGCAGGTGCGTAAGGCTGTGAGCCAGAGGACCCAGAGAATCCCAAGAACACCTGAGCAGAGAAAAGAACAGGATATAGACTTCTCACTGTGACCACTTCAAGTTAGATGCTGAAAGGGCCTAATGCTACTTAGTGGTGCTCAGTGAAGTATAAATCTGTCTTGTTCTCCAAATGAGCCCTTGGGACTAGGCCAAGACTGCCTCCCAAGAGAGGCAGGACCACGTTCCTACATTCTAGTCATGTGAGCTATCTCAGGGATACCTGGGGCCACGTGGAAATCAGGTCTAGAATGGTGGGATCAGGAGCCCAGGTGATCTCAGCCTGACCTTCCAGCCTCATCATCCTCATTTCATTCCCCTCCCAGGCAATCTGGTCTAAGGCACTCAGAAATGTACTTCTCAAGCTCGTTCCCACAACCTGCCTGCATGGTTAAGACATGGTCTGACCCCGTCCCTGTTTGGTTTTGCTCAGTCTATACCTTGGACACATTCCTTAACCACAATGCGTTGATAAAATTTAATCAGAGAGACCATACTTCATAGGTGTGTCCTGCGTCTAGAATGGAATATGCTATCAATCAATGCGGCCAGTAATTATTCATCACCAGGAGAAAGAAATTCCTGGCCTTTACTCTGTTGGACCCCAGCCCCATGTCTCAAGACATCACCTGCGCGCCGTGGCAGGTCTCCCTGCTGTAGGCACCTGAATCACAGGAACTAAAGGTAGGGAGAAAAAGAAGGACAGATGGGCAAAAATCTGTGCCATTGAAGAGGAAACCTAAGACCGCCGAAGAGGAGAACTGCGTTGTTAGACTCCTGGCAGACTCGAGAGCCCGAGACTAACCAAACCGGTCACCAGGGCCCCGCGGCGTAGGCTGCGGGCTGTTCTCCTTAGCTTCCGGTAGTCTCCCCGCAGCTGAGGTCCGGGCCGGGTCAGGGCGCTAGCTGGTTACCATGGACACGGCGAGCGGACGCACACCAATCAGAAGACTGCGTTCCTTGCCCCTTTAAATACACACAGCCCAAAGCAATTTACTCCGTTCTGCTGGAACACAAACGCGCTTCTCAGTTTCTCTGGAGGAACTTGGTTGGCGAAGAGCTTGGCGCTTCTTGTAAACCTTGTCCCGCTGGACAAAGACTTGTGAAGGAACACGGAGTGCCACCAGGACTCCGTGGCCCTCCCCGCCTCTCTCTCCTTTTTCCCTTCATGGCGGTGAAGCTGTGGACGCTTCTCTTCAGGAGGTGAGCTCCAGATGAGACGCCACATCCCAGCGGAGTCCCGGAAGGGTCACCCCGGTAAGTGAAAGGCAATGGAAGGGCACCGTGGATCAATAAGGCCCAGAGGCGAGACAAAGAGGGCAAAAATCTTCTTTATTGAGCTCTCGGGCGAGGTTCACTGGTCCGCAGGGGGAAGGCCAGGGAAGTCACGCTGTGCCAAACGTGTAGCGCATTTATATAGATGAGTGACGTGCCTTAGTGACGTGCTTTAGTGGGCATGCGTGTTCACTGAGGCAGCGGGAACAAGAAAGGTGAACCCGGAAATGCTGAGTCAGGGTATCCGAGGTGGCTGTCCGGATGGCGGGAATAAATGGTGGGAACAGGCGAAAATGCCAAGTCAGGGTAGCCAAGATGGCTGCTGGGATGGCGGGAACTGGCGAATCCGGGAATGCTGAGTCAGGGCAGCCAAGATGGCTGCGATCTTGGGGTCTTCACCGGGATCCAATCAGTCCAAGCTCTTTTTGGTTATAGAAAAGGGGCGACGAATTCGTCTGGCTACTTCCTGCTGTTAAGGGGCGTCGTTGGGGAGGGGGCCTAAATCAGAGGTTGGCAGTTGGACATAAGGGTGAAGTAGCATCTGGTTGAAAGTGACCCTGGTGATTTCTTGTATCCGCTGGCGGAGAAACTGTACTAGGATTGGGGCAAAACACAGTATTATACAGAGAATTATAATTGGGATAAGGAAAGGGAGCATCTGTTGAACCACGGGTGAAAACCACCAGGAAGGACCAGGGCGGAGAGGGTCGTAGGAGTGTTTTAACTCCTCTTGGATCTTTTTTAAAGTTTGTAAATTAGTCTCAACTACCCCTGACTCGTTAATAGCAGCATTCTTCCTGTAAGAATAAACATGTCCCTCCTTTTTCTGCCGTAAGCAGGTCTAAGGCCCGCCTGTTCTGTGCCGTGACCTGTGCTACCGAAGTCATCTGTTGCTGTAGGGAGGCCAGGGACTCAGCCGATGCCTCAATGGCCAACTGCAGGTGAGTAGACAGATCCTGAGATGTTTGGATTAAGTGGGTGAGGGCTCCTGTTCCTAGCCCTGATGCCACTAAGGAGGAGGCTAAGGAGATGCCTAGTACTAAGGGTAGGAAAATAGCCCGTTTGCTTTTATTTCGCGGCCTTGGCTCGGTCCAGGCTAGCAGATGGCTAAGTTCGTCCTGACTATATAGGGTCAGGCTAGGGATGAGAGAGACGGGTAAGCACAAGGTGTGATTACCAGTTGAGTTAAGAACTTTAGTTAGCATGGAGTTACACCAGAAGTAGCCTCCGGGTGGTGCCGGGGCACTGGTAAGCATCCTGGTCTGGTTACACCAAGAGGCATTTGGGATGGAGTAACAGAACGGGAACTTGTGTCTTGTAGGGTCTGAGAATAGTGGGACCTGTCCTTTCGGGACCGGTGGTATAGGGGTGGATGAATTTCTTGTATAATTAAAGGGGGTAGGGAGAGGAACTGCCACTAAGGGAGGTCTTCCAAGGGCCGCACAGAGGAAGCAGTGGGAGAGGTTTTGTACCCCTGTGGATTGGAGCAGTTGTGTACCTTCTGAGATTAAAGTTAACCACGAGAAGGGGGAGGACATGGCCTGGTCAGCTGCCAGTTGAAGCTGGTTGGCAAGCCTTCTCGGCCGACTGGATTGAGGAGGCTAAGTCGGATAACCCTGTGACAGTGGTTTTAAGGGTCCTGGCAATGCGGATCTTAGCTACCGGATACATAAAAGTTCTGTGCTCATATAGTCCTCCATCTATACCGGAGGCCCAGCGGGGGTCTCAAGGGTCAGAGATTTGGAGGTTAAATCCGTTAAAGCCTCCTGAAGTGTTGACAGAGAACATGGTATCCTTTCTATAAATGGATGCCTCATGGATATTGCACCAGTGCCACAGGCAGCCTACATTTTCTTTGACCCAGGTGGTATTGCATTTGGAGTTACTTTGATCATACAGGAAGCAAAGCGCTGGGTTTTTTGTATTTGGGCCTAAGGAGGAGAATTTTAGACCTAGGAAAGTTATGGGTGCCTGGCACCTTGCTGGCGGGCATGCTGCCGTGGCTACTAGTCTAGAGGAGACTGCCTGTCCGGAATTCCAATTCTCAGTGAGGAAAAAAACCCAGTGAGAGGGAGTCTGAGAGGGGGCTTGTCTACTACGACTGGTGTGCAAGAGTAAGAAGAGTGACAAGACAAAAAAAGCGAACTTCTTGTTGGTGAAAGTTCTGGAGGGAGCCTTGCCACACTAGTTCGTCTATATAGGCTAACAGATTTTCAGGCCAGTGAAGTGTGTTAGCAAAAGTAGGGAATGACCAGCTTTCCTCGAGAAGAACTTGAATAAATTGTTGGAGCCTGTCACACGGAGAATTCATGCGGTATTTGATTTAGAGAGTTTCAGTTTGGTTGGGGAGAGGGAGGTGACAGTCCAAGTGGCCTGATCTTGTGTAGGTGCCCTCTTAAGATGGGAAATATGGTACCAGGAAGGAAGGCCTATAAGTTTAGCTGCCGTCAGTGTTGTAAGAATTACCGTATGGGGCCTTTCCACCGGGGGGAGAGGCCTCTTGCCTGGAGGTCTTTTACTAGTACCTGATCTCCTGGGGTTATTATGGCCAGACTGTCTGGGCCGAGTGGTCCGGGCTTTGGAAGGCTGCGGTCGGCGTGCTCTCTTAGCAGCTCCCTTAACAGGGTGAGGTAGGGCAGGTACGTGCTAAGAGGTGGGGTATTCACAGGGAGCTCTTGAAAGAGGAAGGGGCGCCCCTATAGGAGTTCAAAGGGGCTAAGTCCTGTGGGGCTTCGGGGTGCTGCCCGGAGCCGCGCGAGGGCAAAGGGAAGTAAGGTTACCCACGATTGGCGTGTCTCCAGAGCCAGTTTGATTAGGTGTTGTTTGACAAGGCCGTTGGCGCGTTCCACTTTTCCAGAAGACTGTGGATGGTATGGAGTGTGTAGCTTCCAGTTAACGCCAAGTGTGGTTGTCACCTGTTTGACTATCTTGGAGATAAAAGCAGGCCCATTTTCAGATTGGATTGTCCGAGGGAGGCCAAATCTCGGGATTATGTGTTCAATGAGGGTTGAAGCTACCACCTCTGCTGTTTCATGAGTGGTGGGATAGGCTTCAATCCAACCTGAGAAAGTATCTACTAGAGTAAGAAGATAACGGAACTTTTTTTTTTTTTTTAATTTATTTATTTTTTATTGATAATTCTCGGGTGTTTCTCACAGAGGGAGATTTGGCAGGGTCATAGGACAATAGTGGAGGGAAGGTCAGCAGATAAACAAGTGAACAAAGGTCTCTGGTTTTCCTAGGCAGAGGACCCCGCGGCCTTCCGCAGTGTTTGTGTCCCTGGGTACTTGAGATTAGGGAGTGGTGATGACTCTTAACGAGCATGCTGCCTTCAAGCATCTGTTTAACAAAGCACATCTTGCACCGCCCTTAATCCATTTAACCCTGAGTGAACACAGCACATGTTTCAGAGAGCACAGGGTTGGGGGTAAGGTCACAGATCAACAGGATCCCACGGCAGAAGAAGTTTTCTTAGTACAGAACATAATGAAAAGTCTCCCATGTCTACTTCTTTCTACACAGACACGGCAACCATCCGATTTCTCAATCTTTTCCCCACCTTTCCCGCCCTTCTATCCACAAAGCCTCCATTGTCATCTTGGCCCGTTCTCAATGAGCTGTTGGGCACACCTCCCAGACGGGGTGGTGGCCGGGCAGAGGTGCTCCTCACATCCCAGACGGGGTGGCGGGGCAGAGGCGCTCCCCACATCTCAGACGATGGGCGGCCGGGCAGAGACGCTCCTCACTTCCTAGATGTGATGGCAGCCAGGAAGAGGTGCTCCTCACTTCCTAGGTGGGATGGCGGCCGGGCGGAGACGCTCCTCACTTTCCAGACTGGGCAGCCAGGCAGAGGGGCTCCTCACATCCCAGACGATGGGCGGCCAGGCAGAGACGCTCCTCACTTCCCAGACGGCGTGGCAGCCGGGCAGAGGCTGCAATCTTGGCACTTTGGGAGGCCAAGGCAGGCAGCTGGGAGGTGGAGGTTGTAGCGAGCCGAGATCACGCCACTGCACTCCAGCCTGGGCACCATTGAGCACTGAGTGAACGAGACTCCGTCTGCAATCCCGGCACCTCGGGAGGCCGAGGCTGGCGGATCACCTGCGGTTAGGGACTGGAGACCGGCCTGGCCAACACGGCGAAACCCCGTCTCCACCAAAACCAGTCAGGCGTGGCGGCGCGAGCCTGCAATCGCAGGCACTCGGCAGGCTGAGTCAGGAGAATCAGGCAGGGAGGTTGCAGTGAGCCAAGATGGCAGCAGTACAGTCCAGCTTCGGCTCAGCATGAGAGGGAGACCGTGGAAAGAGAGGGAGAGGGAGACCGTGGGGAGAGGGAGAGGGAGAGGAAGAGGGAGAGCTCCTAATTTTGTATTTTTAGTAGAGACGGGGTTTCTTCATGTTGCTCAGGCTGTGTCTTGAACTCCCGATCTCAGGTGATCTGCCCGCCTCGGCCTCTCAAAGTCCTGGGATTACAGGCGTGATCCACTGCACCTGGCCCCAAGCTGCCGATCTCATCTGAAAACAAAGAGACCCATCTTGGCTGGGGGAGTCAGGGAGGGCTTTCCCTGTAGAGGAGTCTGAGGAGCTGAAATCTGAAGGACCAGGAGCGATAACGGAACTTTTTGTGTCTAGGCATGTGGGTGAAGTCAACTTGCCAGTCTTCTCCTGGCTGATGTTCTCTTAGCTGGTGACAGGGACCTGGGAGCTTAAGTTTTCCCTGAGGGTTTGCCACTGTGCAAACATGGCATTCCTGATGTATTTGCTTCAGTAAGGAATAAAGGGAAGGATGGTAGATTATGGGTTCAAGAAAGTTATATAAAGCCTTTGGGCCTATATGTAACGAACGGTGCATGTCGGTGAGGATGAGTTTCTTCTGACTGCACGGGAGAACTACTCTATCATCCACGAATATCCAGCCCTGATTACTCTTGTTAGGGGTGTGGCTATGAAAGCGCTCATTGGAGTTGGTTTTTACTCCTGAGTGACCCATGAGGTGGACTAGCTCTTCAGGGGAGTAATCGGGAGTGTAAGCAGGAGAGAGGAAGCACACAGGAGTGGGGGAAGGGGCCAAGAGGGCCGTGGCCCGGGCAGTGGTGTTGGCGAAATTGTTGCCTAATGATATAGGGTCTTTAGAATTTTGGTGGCTTTTGCAATGGATGATGGCTACCTGTGTGGGGGCTTTTAGCACCTGGATGAGTTTCTCAATGAGGGGTCCATTGACAATAGGAGTACCTTTAGTGGTAAGGAACCCCCGTTCCTGCCAGAGAATGGAGTAGGTATGCGCTATTAAGTAGGCATACTTGGAATCAGTGTATATGTTTACTTTTTTGTTTTTAGATAGAATTAGAGCTCTAGTAAGAGCTATGAGTTCTGCCTTCTGGGAGGTTATACCAGTGGGAAGTGGTTTGGCCTCAACTACTTGAGATGAGGTGACCACGGCGTATGCCGCTCGTCGTTGGCCCTGCGGCGTGGAGATGGAGCTACCATCCACAGACAGGGTCTGATGGGGATCTAGGATGGGGTTGTCTTGGAGGCTTAGGTGCGCGGGGGGTAGGGTTGATAGGATTTAAGAACACGAGTGTAAGGATGCAGGGTCCTTTTCTGGGCAGGGGAGGAGGGTAGCTGGGTTTAAAGTTGGAGAGGTAGTAAGTGTGATGTGTGGGTTTTCAATAAACAGGAGATGAAATAGCTGGAGTCTGGAGGGGGTCAGGTGACTCAGGCACTTGTGTGAGAGTAAGTCTTGTAGCCTATGTGAGGAGAAAACAGTGAGAGGGTGCCCTAAGGTAAGCTTAAGAGCCTCTTTGGTGAGTTTCGCTGCCGCAGCCAAAGCCTGCAGGCACGGCTGCCAGCCCTGGACAGTGGGCTCGAGCTGCTTGGAAAGGTAGGCTACTGGCTGGTGTGTTCTTCCTACCAGTTGGGCCAGGAGCCCTGTAGCAACCTTTTCCCGCTCATCGGTAAAGAGATGGAATGGGCGTAGCGGGTTTGGGAGTGAGAGGACTGGGGCTGTTATGAGGCAATTTTTAAGCTTATTGAAAAGATTGGCTACTAGTTTTGGCTCAGACAGTGGGCCAAGGGGGGTCTGTTTGGTGGCCTGATACAGGGGCCTTGCTAGGACTCCGAAATTGGGGACCCAATGTCTGAAAAAGCCGACTAGCCCCAAGAAGGAGAGAATATCTTCAGCATCTTGTGGAGGCTGAAGATTTTGTAAAAGGCTGATTCTGTCTGAGGTTAGGCCTTTTGAGTTTGGGGTGAGACGTATACCTAAGTAGGTGACTTTAGAGGTACATAGTTGGGCTTTGGACGGGGTGACTCTATAGCCTCAGTTTCCTAGGAAGTTTAAGAGAGTACAAGTGTCCTTAAGGCAATCTGTCTCAGAGGGGCTGCAAAGGAGCAGGTCATCAACATATTGGATAACAGTACTGGCCTCCAAAGGGCAGCGAGCGAGGTCTTGGGCCAGTGCCTGTCCAAAGAAATGAGGGCTGTCTCTAAACCCCTGTAGCAGAACCGTCCAGGTGAGTTGTTTAGAGACGCCAGTGTCTGGGTCCTCCCATGTGAAAGCAAAGAGGAAGTAACAAGCGGGGTCTAGTGGGATAGAGAAAAAGGCATCTTTAAGGTCCAGAACAGTGAAGTGAGACCTGTTGGGGGGGATGCGAGAGAGGAGTGTGTATGGATTAGGAACTACCGGGACTGTAGGGATGACTGCCTCGTTGATGAGGCGAAGATCTTGTACTAGACGGTAAGTCCCAGAGGCTTTTCGTACCGGCAGAATAGGAGTATTGCAAGGAGAATTAGTGGTAATTAGGATGTGTTGTTGTAGAAGCCGAATAATAATGGGTTTTAGTCCTCGACGGTGCTCTAAGGAAATGGGGAACTGAGGTCGGGCAGGGAACTTGAGTGGGTCCTTTAACTTAATAAGGACTGGCTTATGGTGTGTGGCAACAACGGGAGTGTTGGTGTCCCAAACTTTGGGGTCAACGGGGGTAGGGAAGACTAATGGCAGGGTTGGAGAGGCCTGGGCTGCTGTATCGGCTGAGAGGAGGGGTAGGAGAAGAGCTAGGTGGGTGGATGGGCCGGGCCGGAAGACTACTGAGGCTCCTAACTTGGTCAGGAGATCTCTCCCTAGGAGAGGGACTGGACATGAAGGGATGATGAGGAAAGAGTGTGTGAAGAACGAGTGGTCTAGGCGGCAGGGCAGTGAAGGTGTCTGGCGGTAGGTGGAGGGAGTGCCATCAATCCCCATAACAGAGATTGAGGAGGGTTGGCTGGGCCCACTAAAAGATGGCAAAACAGAGTAGGTAGCCCCTGGGTCCAGTAAAAAGGAAATGGACTTACCTGCTACCTGAAGCATTACCCTGAGCTTGGCAAGGGTGAGAGGGGTTCCCGAGTCTGGGCCTCTTCAGTCATCGTCCAGTTGGAGGAGCTGGAAGGCGCCTTCACCATCCGGGGAGGGGTCGCCATGTGGAGACACAGCGGCCGCTCTGAGGCCGGGGCAGTCTGACCTCCAGTGCCCCATTTGTCGGCAGTTAGGGCACGGGCGCATTGGCGGCTTGGGGTTTGGGCACTGCTTTGCCCAATGACCTGGATTGCCGCACTTGAAACAGTTGTAAGGCAGGCAGGACGGTTGCTGTTGGCTAGGGCACCGGCTGGCCCAGTGTCCCGAGTTGCCGCACTTGAAGCAGGCGCCAGATGGGGCCCGGGAGATTGTACCTCTACCTTTCTTGCCTGGGCTCTTAGGGAATGCCGGTTGCACGGCAGCCGCCAGGGCCTGGGTTTGGAGCTGAACTTTTTGTTTTAATCTTGCCTGTTGTTGTACCTCAGCCGCCTCCTCTCGGGAATTAAAAACTTTGAACGCCAGCTTTACTAAGTCCTGAATAGGGGTTTGGAGGCCTTCCTCCGCCTATTTTAGTTTTTTTCTAATATCTCTTGCTGACTGGGAAATAAAATATGTTGCCAAGATGGTTGCCCCTGCAGGGGAGGCCGGATCTAGGCGGGTATAGTGGACTAAGGCATCAGTCAGCCGATTTAGGAAGACTGCCGGATTTTCATCCGGGTATTGTACAATTTCCTTTAGTTTGTCAAAGTTGACTGATTTATTGGAGGCCACCTGCATCCCTGCCAGGAGGCATTGAACCATTATGTCCCGGCGGCGACGCCCTGCTTGCCCAACTTGGTAATCCCACTCTGGATCGGTGGATGGAACCGCCTGTGTTCCAACGGGTACGTTGGGGTCTGTTAGATGTAATTGATTGGCATGCTGCCGTGCTGCAATTAGAATGCGTTCTCTTTCCTCAGGGGAAAGGGTGGAGGTAAGAATAATATGGATATCGTGCCAAGTGAGGTCATAAACCTGACAGAGATAGTGAAATTCTTTTGTGAAAAGAGTAGGGTTGGTGGAGAAAGAGCCTAGGTGTCTTTCTATTTTGGACAAATCAACGAGGGAGAAAGGCACATGAACTCGAACAATGCCTTCTGCTCCAGCCACTTCGCGCAGCGGGGCAAGGAGTGCCGGCCTGGCCTGGGTGTGTGCGGCCACAGGGGACTTGGGAGGGGCAGGTGAGGGTAGTGGTGGAGGAGGAGGAGATGATGGAGGTGGAGGAGGAGGTGGCGTGATTGGCGAAGGAGGGACCCGTGAGGAAGTGGGCGGTGCGTGACCTGAAGGTGGAGCCGAGGGGGGTGGGGAAGCGTATGGTGGCGGCAGAGCATGGGCTGCAGTTTGGAGGGGAGGGGAAGATAAGTTATCTATGGGGTCTGAGAGAGGAGAAAGATCATCTTTGTCCGGATCAGGAGAGGTTTTGGGAGAGGTTTTAGCTAAAAGGACTTGCACTAGTGAACACGGGGCGCAGAGGTCTGGTGGAGAGTGAAGGTCCCAGAACCCTTGAACATATTTGATTTCTGACCATTTGCCTTGCTTCTGACAAAAATTGGTAAGGTCGTTTAGGATATTGAAGTTGAGTGTGCCTTCGGGGGGCCAGCGAGATTGGTTGTCTAAGGTATATTGCGGCCAGGCAACTGTGCAGAAGAAAATTAGTCGCTTTCGTTTTAAATCTTGGTCGAGTTGTAAAGTTGGGAGGTTGCGCAGGAGGCACCCTAAGGGGGTGTTTTGCACGATTTTGGACTGGGTGGACCCCATCCCCTTCCCTTTATGGCCACGGTCTGAGGGACAGCAGAAGCATCCTTCTGGGGTCACTCAGACCACGTGGCTCCTGGAGCCTCGGATCGGCTACTTCAGACACAGACGTCTCCGAGTAGTCAGTGCCGATTTGGACTTCCCCTGGGGAAGTAAACTTGGGTCACCTGGTGGCCCGGACTGGCCTTCCCTTGAGGAAGGAAACTTTCCCTGGGCATGTGCATGACTCTCAGCCAGGGAGGAACAGACAAAAGGAAAAAGGAGGGGTACTCACCCAGCGTCAGCCGAATTGGACTGGAGTGGCTGCAGCAGCTGCAACCTGGTGGCAAGTAACCGAACGAAACGGATGGGTAGCCGTGGGGAAGAAGCCTGATCTGACCAGGAGGGGAGTCCCCTCGAGCCTCTGGGGGGCTTAGGAGGTGTCCCTTCCCGGGTTTTGGCACCAATGAAAGGCAATGGAAGGGCACCGTGGATCAATAAGGCCGAGAGGCGAGACAAAGAGGGCAAAAATCTTCTTAATTGAGCTCTCCGGCGAGGTTCAGTGGTCTGCAGGGGGAGGGTCAGGGAAGTCGCGCTGTGCCAAAGGTGCAGCGCGCTTATATAGATGAGTGATGTGCCTTAGTGATGTGCTTTAGTGGGCATGCGTGTTCACTGAGGCGGCGGGAACAAGAAAGGTGGACCCGGAAATGCTGAGTCAGGGTATCCGAGGTGGCTGCCGAGATGGCGGGAATAAATGGCGGGAACAGGTGAAAATGCCAAGTCAGGGTAGCCAAGATGGCCGCTGGGATGGCGGGAACTGGCGAATCCAGGAATGCTGAGTCAGGGCAGTCAAGATGGCTGCAATCTTGGGGTCTTCACTGGGATCCAATCAGTAAGAAAGTGGGAAATCCGAGGAAAAGGAAGACGCTGAAGGAATACAATGGAAGAAATTAATGAGACTAGGATTAGGAGGATCAAAAGGCAAAACAGAATAGGGAGACATGAAGGCGAAATGGGGAGAGAGCCCACTGCAAGCAACGCCTCCAATCCCTGCTGCAGCGGCAGAAGCAGAGGGAGAGCTGGAGGAGTCTTGAACCCCTAAATCCATAGTCCGTGTTGCTTTGAAGGAACCTCCGGGCCCATCTTGGAAGAATGTGTGCAGAGCAGCAGGCTGGTTTCAAAGCAGGACTCCACCCTGTTGAGCACACAGCCTCTCACTGAACCTGTTTCACCTGACTCTCCCTTCCACTCCAGGTGCTCTTTCAGGATGCAAACCTTTCCCATTCCAAATTTGGAATAAAGTAGCAACACACTGCTGTTTTCAGTTTTCTGTACAAACATGAAAATTCTGAATGCAGAAAAACTTAAGAAATGAATTAAGGAATGAAAATATTTACAATTTAATTGGTAGGGCTTTATTTGATAAAATTAAGATATTCTGCGACAGATACATCGTTGTATGCAACACCATTGCAAGATTTAGATATGATATGTAAAGTTCATTTATTTTCAAATTACAGTAATTGGTTTAAGATTTTAGTGACAATTCTAGTTACTACTACTTTAGCAGAATGAAGTTTTCTAAATTTAAATTAGGAAAAAAAATCTACTTTAAGACTACAGTGATTCAAGAAGAGTTTATCTAATTTGGCTTTAATGTCAACAGAATATTTATCATGTAAAAATCTGGACTTCAGTAACAATGACTTTGTGGAAATAAAAGTAATAAAAATAAATTTTTCAGAATAAACTTATAATTAACTAATGATTTTTAGATGTCACTTGATGTGTTAGATCCACTGTTTATGAATAGAACCTCCTGACATATGTAATCTTACATATAAAATAAATATTGTTTTGTAATTCAAATTTTAGCCTTACCACTTGAGTATTTTATATTAATGAGTTTATCTTGACATGATACATTGCAACACGGCTTATTGCTCTGAAAATTCAAAAGTTTTCTATGTTGAATCCAAGAACAAATGAAAATGTCTTTCTTTTAGACATTTGTTTTGTTGTGGAGTGTTATGGAAGATACCTGTGAGCATGCTATTATATGAATCCTTAGAGAGACCATGATCAATATTGAAAGACTTTGGGAATGCAGTGATTATGGCCTAAAGAGTATATGTGGTCAAGTGAAGAGTAAATTTAACATGTCCAGAAAATGAATTATTGTTCACATTTTCCTGCATATTCTGATCAAGAATTGCATTTGTGGTCACCATCAACTGAGAAGGGTAAGAACCTTTGAGAAGGTGAACAGAAGCCAGCATCTGTGGGCGACACAATGGATAATGCATTGTCATGAGTAATGCTGAGGCTAGTATTAAATAAATGCTACTAGGGTATTGTGGAGGCAAGAAGATCTGTATAATTTCCTCAAAACATATTCCAAAGGGTCATAGTATTGTGAATAATAGCAGCATTGCTTCAATTTTCTTGTGATGGAAAATACAGAATTAGTTAGGAATGGCACATTTGACAGTTTAAGATAGTGAAGAAATGCTGCCTGTATTGAACTGGAAGAAATGGCACCTTGAGACTGCAAAGTATCTTTATGTAAACTGATTGGACAATATATATATATATAAGAATTTTTCTCTAACCATTATTCTACCACATTCAGCTCCCACTTATGAGTGAGAACATGTGGTATTTGGTTTTCTGTTCCTGCATTAGTTTGCTGAGGATAACGGCTTCCAGCTCCATCCATGTACCTGCAAAGGACATGACCTCATTCCTTTTTATGGCTGCATAGTATTCCATGGTGTACATGTACCATATTTTCTTTACCCAGAGTCTATCCTTGATGGGCATTTGGGTTAATTCCATGTCTTTGCTATTGTGAATAGTGCTGCAATGAATATATATATGCATGCATCTTTATAATAGAATGGTTTATATTCATTTGGGTATATATCCAGTAACAGGATTGCTGGGTCAAATGGTATTTTTGCCTCTAGGTCTTTGAAGAATCACCACACTATCTTCCACAATGGTTGAACTAATTTACACTTCTACCAACAGTGTAAAAGCATTCCTTTTCCTCTGCAACCTTACCAGCAGCTGTTGTTTCTTGACTTCTTAGTAATCACCACTCTGACTGGCTTGAGATGGTATCTCATTGTGGTTTCAATTTACTTTTCTCTAATGATCAGTGATGTTGAGCTTTTTTTCATGTTTGTTGGTCACATAAATATTTTCTTTTAAGAAGTGTCTGTTCATGTCCTTTGCCTACTTTTTAATGGGGCAGTTTGTTTTTTTCTTGTAAATTTGTTTAGATTCCTTGTAGACTTTGGATATTAGACCTTTGTCTAATATCTAGATGGATAGATTGCACACTTTTTCTCCCATTCTGTAGGTTATATGTTCACTCTGATGATAGTTTCTTTTGCGTACAGAAGCTCTTTAGTTTCATTAGATCCCATCTGTCAATTTTTGTTTATGTTGCAGTTGCTTTTGACATTTTTGTCATGAAATCTTTGTCCATGCCTATGCCCTGAATGGTATTACTCAGATATTCTTCTAAGGTTTTTATAGTTTTGGGTTTTACATTTAAGTCTTTAATCCATTTTGAGTTAATTTTTGTGTAAGGTGTAAGGAAGGGGTTCACTTTCAATTTTCTCCATATGGCTAGTCAGTTCACTGAGCACCATTTATTAAATAGGGAATCCTTTCCACATTTGTTTTTGTCCAGTTTGTCGAAGATCAAACGATTGTAGGTGTGCGGTCTTATTTCTGAGTTCTCTATTCTGCTTCATTGGTTTACGTGTCTGTTTTTGTACCAGTACCATGCTGTTTTGGCTACTGTAAATTTGTCAAAAGTATTTCCTTCAATCTATCCTTCAAACTTTTATTGACTGGATCCAGTGACAGAAAGGGAATGGCTTTTTCTGACAGATCCTTTTTGTATTAGCATTTCGTTTTTAGAGATTCTTTAGATTGAACTGAGATATGTTATTCTCCGTCTCATCACTCTTATACACGTCTTTGTTTTCTAGTCTTTTTTACAATACAAAGTGAGTTTATTTCTTCCCCTGAATAAATAAATCAAGTATTTATACACAGACATTTTTCTTGTAGGGCTACTAGAGTTCCAGATTTCAGACTAAAAACGTTCAATTTCTTTAATTGGTTCCCATTTTTCAGCTATCCCAACACATTTGTTAATTTTCCATGGAAAAGCTCCAGCTTATCTACAATCCTGTGCAACAAGCCCCCAGAGGAAGCCACAGCATTTAAGAAGGGTCCTGTTATTACACAGGACACAGTGTCTACTACCTCCTTGACATCTGGGAGTTTGATTATTAAATACCTTGAGGTAGTCTTCTTTGGGTCAAATCTGCTTGGTATTCTATAACCTTTTTGTACTTGAATGTTAATATCTTTCTCTTGGTTTGGGGAGTTCTCTAACATCATCTCTTTGAATAAACTTTCTATCTTTATCTCTTTCTCTACCTCCTCTTTAAGGACAATATCTCTTAGATTTTCACTTTTCGGGTTTTTTTTTTCTAGATATTGTAGGTGTGCTTCATTGTCTTTTATTTTTTTTGTTTCCTCCGACTATTTTCACATAGCCTGTTTTCAAGTTCACTAATTCTTTCTTCTTCTTAATCAGTTCTGCTATTAAGAGACTCTGATGCACTTTAGTATGTCAATTGCATTTTTCAACTCTAGAATTTCTGCTTGATTCTGTTTAATTATTTCCATCTGTTTGTTAAATTTATCTGATAAAATTTTGAATTCCTTCTGTGTTATCTTGAATTTCTTTTGAGTTTTCTCAGAACAGCTACCTTGAATTCTCCATCTGAAAGATTACATATCTCTGTTTCTCCAGGATTGCTCCCTGGTGCCTTATTTAGTTCATTTGTTGAGGCCATGTTTTCCTGGATGGTGTTGATGCTTTAGATGTTCTTCAGTGTCTGGGCATTGAAGAGTTAGGTATTTATTGTGGTCTCCACAGTCTCTTTGTACCTATCCTTCAATTTCCAGGTAATTAAAAGGACTTGGGGCCCAAACCCAATAATACTTGTTTTTTGCAGACTTGTAGAGGTATGACCTTGGTGGTCTTGGATATGTTTCAGAATAATTATCTGGATTACCAAACAAAGATTCTTTTTCTTTTCCCTTACTTTTCTCAAACATATGGAGTCTCTGTCTCTGTGCTGAGCCATCTGGATCTGGGAGTGTGGTGATGCAAGCATCCCTGGGCCACCAGCACTGGGACTGTGATGAGTCAGACCTGACATCAGCACAGCATTGTGCCTTGCTTAAGACCCTTCCCTTCTGGGTGCTGAGTTCCCCCAGGATCTGGGTATGTCCAAAGATGCTATCTGGGAGCCAGGGATTAGAGTCAAAAACCTTAGTAGTTTTCCTGATGTTCTATCTTAGTACAACTAAGCTAGCACTCAAACCACAATACAAAGTTTTTCACACTCATGCATCCCCTTTCCACAGGCAGGAAAGCCTCTCCCACAGGCCTCTCCCTGTGGCCACTGTCACCACCAGTCTACAAGATAACTGCTCAGCCACCACCAATGTTCACTTAAAGCCCAAGAGCTCTTTAGTCAGCTTATGGTGAATGCTGCCAGGCCTGGGACTCACCCTTCAGGGCAGGGGGCTCCCCTCTAGCCCAGGCAGGTCCAGAAATGTTGTCTAAGAGCCTAGGCCTGGACTTAGGGACTCCAAGAGGCTGCTTGTTACTCTACCCCACTATGACCAAGCTGGTACCTGGAGTGCAAGAGAAAGTTACCCTTTACTTTTACCTCTGATTTCCTCAAACAGGAGGTGTTTTATTATTTTTATTTTTATTTTTACCATAACCACTAAAGCTAGGAATGTGCTAGGTCACCCTTGAAGCCAGCATGTATGTCTGAAGGCCCAAGGCCCATGGCATACTCCCTGGGTATTTCTGGTGGTTATTCAGAACACAAGGGCTCGTTAGTCAGCAGATGATGAGTCATGCCAGGATCAGGTCTTTCCCTTCAAGGTTGGGGGTTTCCATCTTGGCCCAGGGTGTGTCTAGAAATGTTGTCTGGGAGTTAGGGCTTGTAATGGAGGCCTCATGACTCTGCCTGGTGCCCTCTCTGTGGCTGAGCTGGTATCCAAAATGCAAGACAAAGCCCTCTTTACTCTTTGCTCTCCTCTCCATAAGCAGAAGGAAGGAGTCACCTTCATTGCTGCAAGCTGCACTGCCTGGGGTTTGGGAAAGAATGTGCAAGCCCTCCCTTAGCCATGCCATCTGGTGTCTCCCTAGGTCACATGACTCCCTAATTCACTGACTCTAAGCCCAGCCTGGCACTAGGAGTTGCCTAGAAATTTCAGTTCTTGTGTTCTAGACTGCCTTTCAAGTTTACCTAGGACCCTAGAGCACTTTGGCCCACAGTGGCAAGGCTTGCCAAGAAACTCAAGTTCTGACCACTGGTATGGGCAATTCCTCTCTGGCTAGGGCTGGTCCATATGCTCCCGCCATCTGTGGGTGCTGGCTGGGCCCAGCACAGCTTTATTCTCTGCTGTGAAAGGGCAGCACTGAGTTCAGTGTAAAGTCTCCCAGTCAATGCATTCTTCCTCCCCAAAGTTAACAGATTCTCTCTCCACAAAGCACAGCCGCTGCCATTTGTAGGGGGTGAGGGGGTAATGAGGGAGGAGTGGAATCTGATTTAAGACTGTCTCTCTTGCCCTCCTCAATGCCTCTTTCCATCGTATAAAGTTTAAAACAGGTACTGTGACTGCTCACCTGATTTTGAGTTCTTGTGATAGTGCTCTTCTGTGTGCAGATAGTTGTTAAAATTTGGTGTTCCAGCTGGGGGGATGAAAGGGGTAGGCATGTATTCTGCCATCTTCAGATTAGATAATTTTTATCATGCCATCTTCAAGTTCACTGGCTCATTGTTCTGTCATATCCACTTTGCTGCTCAGCACATTCAGTAGATTTTTAATGTAAGGTGTATTTTTCTGTTTTAGAATTTTCACTTGTTTTTAAGATATTATTTCGCTTCTAAAATTTATTATCTTTTCATTTATCACTATATATTTTCCTTCACTTCAATGGGCATAGATATATTAGCTTTCTGAAATTTCTCAGTGGCTAATTTGATATTTGAGTAATCTTGAATTTGGTCTTTGGTCTCATTTGATTATGTTTTCTATTGAGACCAGATTATTGTTTTCTAGTTCTTTGTATGTCGGGAAATTTAGGATAGTGTGCTGAATACTGTAAATGTTATGTTGTGGATGCTATGGATTCTGTTATAGTCTTCCAAACAGTGTTGAAGTGTTTGTTTTAGCAGGGGAATTAACCTGGTTCAATGCAATCTACAAAATCATGCTCTTGAATAGCAGTTCAAATACTAACTCACCTCTTTTATTTTTTATTTATTTTTATTATTATTATACTTTAAGTTTTAGGGTACATGTGCACAATGTGCAGGTTTGTTACATATGTATACATGTGCCATGTTGGTGTGCTGCACCCATTAACTTGTCATTTAGCATTAGGTATATCTCCTAATGCTATCCCTCTCCCCTCCCCCCACCCCACAACAGGCCCTGGTGTGTGATGTTCCCCTTCCTGTGTCCATGTGTTCTCATTGTTCAATTCCCACCTATGAGTGAGAACATGCGGTGTTTGGTTTTTTTGTCCTTGTGGTAGTTTGCTGAGAATGATGGTTTCCAGCTTCATCCATGTCCCTACAAAGGACATGAACTCTTCATTTTTTATGGCTGCATAGTATTCCACGGTGTATATGTGCCACATTTTCTTAATCCAGTCTATCGTTGTTGGACATTTGGGTTGGTTCCAAGTCTTTGCTATTGTGAATAGTACCGCAATAAACATACGTGTGCATGTGTCTTTACAGCAGCATGATTTATAATCCTTTGGGTATGTACTCAGTAATGGGATGGCTAGGTCAAATGGTATTTCTAGTTCTAGATCCCTGAGGAATCGCCACACTGACTTCCACAATGGTTGAACTAGTTTACAGTCCCACCAAGAGTGTAAAAGTGTTCCTATTTCTCCACATCCTCTCCAGCACCTGTTGTTTCCTGACTTTTTAATGATCACCATTCTAACTGGTGTGAGATGGTGTCTCATTGTAGTTTTGATTTGCATTTCTCTGATGGCCAGTGATGATGTGCATTTTTTCATGTGTTTTTTGGCTGCATAAATGTCTTCTTTTGAGAAGTGTCTGCTCATATCCTTTGCCCACTTGTTGATGGGTTTGTTTGTTTTTTTCTTGTAAATTTGTTTGAATTCATTGTAGATTCTGGATATTAGCCCTTTGTCAGATGAGTAGGTTGCAAAAATTTTCTCCCATTTTGTAGGTTGCCTGTTCACTCTGATGGTAGTTTCTTTTGCTGTGCAGATGCTCTTTAGTTTAATTAGATCCCATTTGTCAATTTTGGCTTTTGTTGCCATTGCTTTTGGTGTTTTAGACATGAAGTCCTTGCCCATGCCTATGTCCTGAATGGTATTGCCTAGGTTTTCTTCTAGGGTTTTTATGGTTTTAGATCTAACATGTAAGTCTTTAATCCACCTTGAATTAATTTTTGTGTAAGGTGTAAGGAAGGGATCCAGTTTCAGCTTTCTACATATGGCTAGCCAGTTTTCCCAGCACCATTTATTAAATAGGGAATCCTTTCCCCATTGCTTATTTTTGTCAGGTTTTTCAAAGATCATATGGTTGCAGATATGCGGCATTATTTCTGAGGGCTCTGTTCTGTTCCATTGGTCTAGATCTCTGTTTTGGTACCAGTATCATGCTGTTTTGGTTACTGTAGCCTTGTAGTATAGTTTGAAGTCAGGTAGCGTGATGCCTCTAGCTTTGTTCTTTTGGCTTAGGATTGACTTGGTGATGCGGGCTCTTTTTTGGTTCCATATGAACTTTAGTTTTTTCCAATTCTGTGAAGAAAGTCATTGGTAGCTTGATGGGGATGGCATTGAATCTATAAATTACCTTGGGCAGTATGGCCATTTTCACGATATTGATTCTTCCTACCCATGAGCATGGAATGTTCTTCCATTTGTTTGTATCCTCTTTTATTTCATTGAGCAGTGGTTTGTAGTTCTCCTTGAAGAGGTCCTTCACATCCCTTTTAAGTTGGATTCCTAGGTATTTTATTCTCTTTGAAGCAATTGTGAATGGGAGTTCACTCATGATTTGGCTCTCTGTTTGTCTGTTATTGGTGTATAAGAATGCTTGTGATTTTTGCACATTGATTTTGTATCTTGAGACTTTACTGAAGTTGCTTATCAGGTTAAGGAGATTTTGGGCTGAGACGATGGGGGTTTTCTAGATATACAATCATGTCATCTGCAAACAGGGACAATTTGACTTCCTCTTTTCCTAATTGAATACCCTTTATTTCCTTCTCCTGCCTAATTGCCCTGGCCATAACTTCCAACACTATGTTTCACATCGTCCCATATTTCTTGGAGGCTTTGTTCATTTCTTTTTATTCTTTTTTCTCTGAACTTCCCTTCTCGCTTCATTTCATTTATTTCATCTTCCATCACTGATACCCCTTCTTCCAGTTGATCACATCAGCTCCTGAGGCTTCTGCATTCTTCACGTAGTTCTTGAGCCTTGGCTTTCAGCTCCATCAGCTCCTTTAAGGACTTCTCTTCGTTGGTTCTTCTAGTTATCTATTTGTCTAATTTTTTTTCAAAGTTTTTAACTTCTTTGCCATTGGTTTGAATTTCCTCCTGTAGCTTGGAGTAGTTTGATCATCTGAAGCCTTCTTCTCTCAGCTCGTCAAAGTCTTTTTCCATCCAGCTTTGTTCCGTTGGTGGTGAGGAGCTGCATTCCTTTGGAGGAGGAGAGGCACTCTGCTTTTTAGAGTTTCCAGTTTTTCTGCTCTGTTTTTTCCCCATCTTTGTGGTTTTATCTACTTTTGGTCTTTGATGATGGTGACGTACAGAAGGGATTTTGGTGTGGATGTCCTTTCGGTTTGTTAGTTTCCCTTCTAACAGACAGGACCCTCAGCTGCAGGTCTGTTGGAGTTTGCTAGAGGTCCACTCCAGACCCTGTTTGCCTGGGTATCAGCAGCGGTGGCTGCAGAACAGCGGTGGCTGTAGAACAGCGGATCTTGGTGAACCACAAATGCTGCTGCCTGATTGTTCCTCTGGAAGTTTTGTCTCAGAGGAGTACCCAGCCATGTGAGGTGTCAGTCTGCCCCTACTTGAGGGTGCCTCCCAGTTAGGCTGCTCGGGGGTCAAGGACCAACTTGAGGAGGCAATCTGCCCGTTCTCAGATCTCCAGCTGTGTGCTGGGAGAACTGCTACTCTCTTCAAAGCTCAGATGGAAATGCAGAAATCACCCATCTTCTGCGTCGCTCACGCTGGGCCCTAGACTGGAGCTGTTCCTGTTCAGCCGTCTTGCTCACCTCTTATTTTTATCTGAATGTCTTTGTGTCTGCTTTATGCATGCTTGGTTCAGGAATTAACCAAAGACATGGCAAAGTTTATATATAGAATTTGAGCTTTCCATACTTGGCTTTATACTTTCTAAATTTTTGTCTTTCTTTCTAGCAGCTGTTGTTGTCCCAAACTTTGTCCTCTAATTCTCCATGACAGATAAAGAAAGACCGTTAGTTTGGCATTACAGTTTTAAGCACTCCATGTATGGCACTGATTTCATCATTCCCTCAGTCTAAAATCAATAACAATGATAAACTAAACCTATACCATTTTGTTATAAGACCAAGAGGTTTGTATGTCTACAGTTCATTAACAGAACCATTACACTAAGGTAGCAGGAATGCAGCAGAGATAGGATTATGTTGGGTGAGAGAGGGCATCCCTGTCTTTTGCCAGTTTTCAAAGGGAATGCTTCCAGTTTTTGCCCATTCAGTATGATATTGGCTGTGGGTTTGTCATAGATAGCTCTTATTATTTTGAGATACGTCCCATCAATACCTAATTTATTGAGAGTTTTTTTTAGCATGAAGGGTTGTTGAATTTTGTCAAAGGCCTTTTCTGCATCTATTGAGATAATCATGTGGTTTTTGTCTTTGGTTCTGTTTATATGCTGGATTACATTTATTGATTTGTGTATGTTGAACCAGGCTTGCATCCCGGGGATGAAGCCCACTTGATCATCGTGGATAAGTTTTTTGATGTGCTGCTGGATTCGGTTTGCCAGTATTTTACTGAGGATTTTTGCATCAATGTTCATCAAGGATATTGGCCTAAAATTCTTTTTTTTGGTTGTGTCTTTGCCAGGCTTTGGTATCAGGATGATGCTGGCCTCATAAAATGAGTTAGGGAGGATTCCCTCTTTTTCTATTGATTGGAATAGTTTCAGAAGGAATGGTACCAGCTCCTCCTTGTACTTCTGGTAGAATTCGGCTGTGAATCCATCTGGTCCTGGACTTTTTTTGGTTGGTAAGCTATTGATTATTGCCACAATTTCAGAGCCTGTGATTGGTCTGTTCAGAGATTCAACTTCTTCCTGGTTTAGTCTTGGGATAGTGTATGTGTCGAGGAATTTATCCATTTCTTCTAGATTTTCTAGTTTATTTGCATAGAGGTGTTTGTAGTATTCTTTGATGGTAGTTTGTATTTCTGTGGGATCAGTGGTGATATACCCTTTTTCATTTTTTATTGTGTCTATTTGATTCTTCTCTCTTTTCTTCTTTATTAGTCTTGCTAGCGGTCTACCAATTTTGTTGATCTTTTCAAAAAACTAATTCCTGGATTCATTGATTTTTTTGAAGGGTTTTTTGTGTCTCTATTTCCTTCAGTGCTACTCTGATCTTAGTTATTTCTTGCCTTCTGCTAGCTTTTGAATGTGTTTGCTCTTGATTCTCTAGTTCTTTTAATTGTGATGTTAGTGTGTCAATTTTAGATCTTTTCTGCTTTCTCCTGTGGGCATTTTGTGCTATAGATTTCCCTCTACACACTGCTTTGAATGTGTCCCAGAGATTCTGGTATGTTGTGTCTTTGTTCTCATTGATTTCAAATAACATCTTTATTTCTGCCTTCATTTTGTTATGTACCCAGTAGTCATTCAGGAGCAGGTTGTTCAGTTTCCATGTAGTTGAGTGATTTTGAGTGAACTTCTTATTCCTGAGTTCTTGTTTGATTGCACTGTGGTCTTAGAGACAGTTTGTTATAATTTCTGTTCTTTTACATTTGCTGAGGAGTGCTTTACTTCCAACTATGTGGTCAATTTTGGAATAGGTATGGTGCTGAAAAGAATGTATTTTATGTAGATTTGGGGTGGAGGGTTCTGTAGATGTCTATTAGGTCTGCTTGGTGCAGAGCTGAGTTCAATTCCTGGATATCCTTGTTAACTTTCTGTCTCGTTGATCTGTCTAATGTTGACAGTGGGGTGTTAAAGTCTCCCATTATTATTGTGTGGGAGTCTAAGTCTCTTTGTAGGTCACTAAGGACTTGCTTTATGAATCTGGGTGCTCCTGTATTGGGTGCATATATATTTAGGATAGTTAGCTCTTCTTGTTGAATTGATCCCTTTACCATTATGTAATGGCCTTCTTTGTCTCTTTTGATCTTTGTTGGTTTAAAGTCTGTTTTATCAGAGACTAGGATTGCAACCCCTGCCTTTTTTTGTTTTCCATTTTCTTGGTAGATCTTCCTCCGTCCCTTTATATTGAGCCTATGTGTGTCTCTGCACATGAGATGGGTTTCCTGAATACAGCACACTGATGAGTCTTGACTCTTTATCCAGTTTGCCAGTCTGTGCCTTTTAATTGGAGCATTTAGCCCATTTACATTTATGGTGAGTATTGTTATGTGTGAATTTGATCCTGTCATTATGATGTTAGCTGGTGATTTTGCTCGTTAGTTGATGCAGTTTCTTCCTAGCCTTGATGGTCTTTACAATTTGGCATATTTTTGCAGTGGCTGGTACCGGTTGTTCCTTTCCATGTTTAGTGCTTCCTTCAGGAGCTCTTTTAGGGCAGGCCTGGTGGTGACAAAATCTCTCAGCATTTGCTTATCTGTAAAGTATTTTATTTCTCCTTCACTTATGAAGCTTAGTTTGGCTGGATATGAAATTCTGGGTTGAAAGTTATTGTCTTTAAAAATGTTGAATATTGGCCCCCACTCTCTTCTGGCTTATAGAGTTTCTGCTGAGAGATCTGCTGTTAGTCTGATGGGCTTCCCTTTGTGGGTAACCCAACCTTTCTCTCTGGCTGCCCTTAACATTTTTTCCATTTCAACTTTGGTGAATCTGACAATTATGTGTCATGGAGTTGCTCTTCTTAAGGAGTATCTTTGTGGCGTTCTCTGTATTTCCTGAATCTGAATGTTGGCCTGCCTTGCTAGGTTGGGGAAGTTCTCCTGGATGGTATCCTGCAGAGTGTTTACCAACTTGGTTCCATTCTCCCTGTCACTTTCAGATACACCAATCAGACGTAGATTTGGTCTTTTCATATAGTCCCATATTTCTTGGAGGCTTTGTTCTTTCTTTTTATTCTTTTTTCTCTAAACTTCCCTTCACGCTTCATTTCATTCATTTCATCTTCCATTGCTCATACCCTTTCTTCCAGTTGATCGCATCGGCTCCTGAGGCTTCTGCATTCTTCACGTAGTTCTCGAGCCTTGGTTTTCAGCTCCATCAGCTCCTTTAAGCACTTCTCTGTATTGGTTATTCTAGTTATACATTCTTCTAAATTTTTTTCAAAGTTTTCAACTTCTTTGCCTTTGGCTTGAATATCCTCCCGTAGCTCAGAGTAATTTGATCGTCTGAAGCCTTCTTCTCTCAGCTCGTCAAAGTCATTCTCCATCCAGCTTTGTTCCGTTGCTGGTGAGGAACTGCGTTCCTTTGGAGGAGGACAGGTGCTCTGCTTTTTAGAGTTTCCAGTTTTTCTGTTCTGTTTTTTCCCCATCTTTGTGGTTTTATCTACTTTTGGTCTTTGATGATGGTGATGTACAGGTGGGTTTTTGGTGTGGATGTCCTTTCTGTTTGTTAGTTTTCCTTCTAACAGACAGGACCCTCAGCTGCAAGTCTGTTGGAATACCCTGCTGTGTGAGGTGTCAGTATGCCCCTGCTGGGGGGTGCCTCCCAGTTAGGCTGCTCGGGGTTCAGGGGTCAGGGACCCACTTGAGGAGGCAGTCTACCCGTTCTCAGATCTCCAGCTGCGTGCTGGGAGAACCACTGCTCTCTTCAAAGCTGTCAGACAGGAACATTTAAGTCTGCAGAGGTTTCTCCTTCCTTTTGTTTGGCTATGCCCTGCCCTCAGAGGTGGAGTCAGGCAGGCCTCCTTGAGCTGCGGTGGGCTCCACCCAGTTTGAGCTTCCACGCCACTTTGTTTACCTACTCAAGCCTTGGCAGTGGCGGGCACCCCTCCCCCAGCCTCACTGCCGCCTTGCAGTTTGATCTCAGACAGCTGTGCTAGCAATGAGCGAGGCTCCGTGGGTGTAGGACCCTCCAAGCCAAGCGCGGGATATAATCTCCTGGTGTGCCATTTGCTAAGACCATTGGAAAAGCACAGTATTAGGGTGGAAGTGACCCGATTTTCCAGGTGCTGTCTGTCACCCCTTTCTTTGACTAGGAAAGGGAATTCCCTGACCCCTTGCGCTTCCTGGGTGAGGCAGTGCCTTGCCCTGCTTTGGCTCACGCTCGGTGCGCTGCACCCACTGTCCTGCACCCACTTTCTGACACTCCCCAATGAGATGAACCCGGTACCTCAGTTGGAAATGCAGAAATCACCCATCTTCTGCATTGGTCACGCTGGGAGCTGTAGACTGGAGCTGTTCCTATTCGGCCATCTTCAAAAAGTTACCGTATTCTAACATTTTGCTATCATTAATATAAATCAGTAAACATTAGTTGAGCTATGCCCACAATCTTGTGAAAGACAATATTATAAATGTAAAAAAGTTAGGACTTGTGTCCTTTTGATATCAGTATGTACATTAGTAGAAAAATTATTTTCTTGTTTGCATTTACTGTCTACCTATGGTTTCCTAGTACATGCTAGTGTAAAAAGAGGGCTATCAAACAAACAAAAAGGATTGAGTGTGTTAGTTAGAAAAACATTATTTTCATTACTTATTCTGTTAAAACATATTATAATGTCTACTATATTAAAATACACTATAAAACATTCACTTAAAATCGCTTTTATGATGCTTTTAACTGTAAATTGAACTTCAGAGAAGTTTCTCGAGACATAAATCCTCAAAAATTTCTAAAATTATAACTGAATCATATGTATTAACTACTAAAATTTTAAATCAAAATGATTTTCCACAGTGGTCACTATTATATATAGTTACTTGATCAATGTTCGAAAACCATCTGAAATAAACACAAAAGAACTATTTATATAAACCATGTCATCTGAAGTTCAGCAGTGGTTGCAATAACACTTCAGCACAGAATTAGTTCTCTGGATTAATTTTACAGAGGTCCTGGTTGTTACTTGGTTTGTATTTTTATTTTCTTTTATTTTATTACTTTTCTGTTTTCCTAGTGATTCTGTGAGGTATCCATCATCTTTTCAATAATTTTTCTTTGCTTAAAATATCTAGAATTATTTTTTGTTGCTTGAAAGTAAGAATTCTGATTGAAATAGCAGTTAAAGAGGTATGGTGGATATTTCATGTAATAAATATTGAGCTTTTCTTATTTACAAAGATGAACTACATTGTTTTGTACTTTCATAAATGAAGGTGAAGTGGTAGTTAACACCTTGATGCTGGAATTATACTTCCTGGGTTCAAATTTTGGTTTCACTACTTGCTGTGTGTGAAGCCTTTATCAAGTTGTTTTTATGTCTTTGTGCATCTATTTCCTCCTCCGGAAAATAGTCATAAACTTAGCATGTATCTCATGTTAATTGCATTTATTAAATGATGTAACATGAATAATACTAATCATAGTGCCTGATATATGGTACTTTGTAAATATTATCTGTCCCCATTAATAGGAAGTATAATGTATAATGGAAAAGTAGGCATTGAGCCTCACTTCAATACAGTTGTGGTCAGTTATTTCAAAGAAAGAAACTTTCTGGGTGCTACAGTAGAAGCCTGTTACAGTGGAGCCTGACAGCCTAACATAATATTGAAGGTTGGGTAAGGTCATTTTAAGTAAACCTAAGTAGGTTGAACAAGAAAGAAAAATAGGAATCACCTAAGCAAAGAAGGATGAAAAGATTATTTTAGGCAGTGAAAACTACACACATGCAGAGGTTCTGTACTAAGAGAGAAAGCATGTTGAGTTTTAGGAGCAAAGAGAGGAACAATTAAGCTTTGGATAAAAACTTAGGTACTTTTCGTTATTTAATGACAATCTGCTCAACTGTCAATTTGAAGCTTCATCCATCAGTATAAAGGTATATTAAATATGTGTTATGATTGCTTCTCTGACCCAACTGGTCTTCCCAACTGCCCTCCCTTAGATAATCCCAGATTTATTCAAATATTCCAATATTTTGTGAAAAAGCTGACACCTGGGAGGTTCCAGTGGTCAAGAACTCCTGCAGTTACTGAGCAGCATTTTTTCCCTCGTAGGATTATAACTTCAAGTCAGAAAATTCATTTGTTCTCCTCTTTCTTCTGTCTTTTTGTTGGTGGAGAGGAAGTACAATCTTTCTTTTTCCAATTCAAAGACACTGCATTTTCTTACTTCTATTCTCTGTTTAGCATTAACTTTTCTCTTTTTTTATTTTTTATTTTATTTTATTATTATTATACTTTAAGTTTTAGGGTACATGTGCACAATGTGCAGGTTAGTTACATATGTATACATGTGCCATGCTGGTGTGCTGCACCCATTAACTCGTCATTTAGCATTAGGTGTATCTCCTAAAGCTAACTTTTCAAAGGACATATATTTTCTCAAAATACCAGAAGATACCTTGTCTTTCTGTTCTCAATGAATTCTGAAAGTCAATGAGCTACTAAGGATCTGGCTGCTTATTTGGAAACAAAATAATGGAGGATGACATTGGCCGCATAGTCAGGAGAAATAGGACGCTAAAGGCATTCAGTTCTGCCAGCTTGGGACCTGGCAAAACAGTTCTGGAGAAACTTGGAAACCTCAATACAACAGTCGTTGCTAAGCAATAACAAGGCACTGATCAGATCGTCAAGCAACTGACCAAAGAGGAAAAATTTCATAAACAAGTCATTTAAATATGTGGGAAATCATGTAAGAAGGTTTGTGGAAAGTATTAGTGCATCAAACTAGTTTTAAAAAGTTTTACATAACAGAATAATCTGCTCAGTCAGATTAAGTGACAATCACTGTTTGGTCTTGTGAGAAAAGATCAAATGTTATTCATCTCTGCTTTTGGGGAATTAATTGTATAAAGAAGGGCACAATAACTTAAAGTAGAATGATGGCAGTATAATATGGCTGCTATGGTTTGAATGTCCCTCAAGATTCATGTGTTGGAAACTTAAACCCCAATGCAACAGTATTGGGAGGTAGGACCTTTAAGAGGCGATTATGTCACATGGGCCCTGCCCTCATGAATGAATTAGTGCTGCTATCGTGGGAGTGGGTTTGTTATAAAAGCAGATTCAACTCTCCATTTCTAATTCTCTCTCTTCTCTCTTTCTCATGCACATACACTCTTGCCCTTCTGCCTTCTGCCATGAGATGACCCAGTGACAAGGCCTTCACCAGAAGCAGGTCACTTGACCTTGGACTTTCTAGCCTCCAGAGCTGTGAGCCAAATAAAGTTCTATAGTTTATAAATTACCCAGTCTCTGATATCCTGTTATAGTAGCACAAAACAGTACCAGGAAGATTGATATTGGGAGTAGAGTTGTTGCTACAACAAATACCTGAAAATATGGAAGTGGTTTTTGAACTGGGTAATAGATAGAAGCTTGAAGAATTTGGAGAAGCAAGGTAGAAAAAGCCCAGATTGCTGTGAATGGAGCATTAAGCATATTAATTATTTTTATTAGGAAAAAAATGAGAGTCTGAAATCAATTCTATAAGCTTCTGCCTTACAAATCTAGAAAAAGATGGGAAAAGCATATTCAAAAAATAGAAGGAAGAAAATAATAGAAATGAGCCGAACTCAATAAGATAGAAAATGAACAGAAAAAGGAAAAAAAACAAAACCAAAAATGTGCTACTTTGAAAAAAAATCATAGTGTGATACATTTCTTTATACACTATTCAGTCAAGAAAGATAAAAATACAAACACAGAATCAAGACTGAGATTAAGATGGCAAATAGGAGGCTAGTCAGAGACAGGGCAGCATGTAGAGACTCACATCATTAACTTTTCTCCAAGAATTACTGCAGGAACATGCCAGGTAAGCTGAGATAATCCACAGACCCTTTGAAGGAACTGGATTGCTTCTGCAGGCTCCTTGAGATGCCAAAAAACTCTGAATCAGCTTGCTTTCTCAGTGGGGTGGCTGACGGTCTGGGGCAAGTTCTCAGAACTGGTCACCAGCTGCCTGGAAACACTTGGTGTGGTAGGTGGGGCATGATGGAAGTGAGACCAGCATTTAGGACTGTGGCTACATGGGAATGGGGTGAGGCCTGTGACTGCTGTCTTTGTCCCACTTCTCTGGTGACCTGTATGACTCAGCAGAGGCAGCCACAATCCACCAGGGAACATAACTCCATTGGACTGGGAATCACACCCCTATTCCCCACAGCAGCTGCAGCAAGCTCCACCCAAGGAGAGTCTGAGCTCAGACATACCTATGTCTGCCCCCACCTGGTGGTCTTTCTCTACCCGTTCTGGTTGCCAAAGACAAAGGACATAATATCCTGAGAGCTCTATGGCGCTGCCCACCACCTGAGAAACCTGAATACGTAACCAGACAACCCCAGGGCAAGTATACATCCTCCTTCTAGTACTGTAGTTGATGTGCTCTTGAACATGCCACCTCCTGGCTGCAGGCCAACCAACACAAAACCAGTGCACTAAACAAAAATACAACTAAGGACCCTCACAGACTCCACTTAACTCCCCTGCTACCTCCACCGGAGCAGGTGCTGGTATCTGTGGCTGAAAGACCTGAAGACAGATCACATCACAGCACTCTTTGCAGACACTTTCCAGTATTAGCCCAGAGCCCTGTAGCTACACTGGGTGGCTAGACCCAGAAGAGCAAAATCAGTCATTGCAGTTCAGGTCTCAGGAAGCCTCATCCCTAGGGGAAAGGGGAGAACACCAAATTAAGGGAGCACCCCTATGGGACAAAAGAATGTGAACAGCAGCCCTTAAGTCCCAGATCTTCCCTCTGACATAGTCTACCCAAATGAGAAGGAACAGAGAAACAATTCTGGTAATATTACAAAACAAGGTTCTTTAACACCTCCAAAGGATCAAACCAGCTCACCAGCAATGGATCCAAACCAAGATGAAATCTCTGAATTACCAGAAAAAGAATTCAGAAGATCAATTATTAAGCTGATCAAAGAGGCACCAGAAAAAGGTGAAATCCAACTTAAAGAAATCAAAAACATAATACAGGATATGAAAGGAAAAATCTTCAGTGAAATAGACAGCATAAATAAAAAAACAAACACAACTTCTGGAAATGAAGGACACACTTAGAGAAATACAAAATGCACTGGAAAGTCTTGCAATAGAATTGAACAAGCAGAAGAAATAACTCCAGAGCTCAAAGACAAGGTTTTCAAATTAATCTAATCCATCAAAGACAAAGAAAAAATGATTAAAAAAATGAACAAAGTCTCCAAGAAGTTTGGGACTATGTTAAGCATCCAAACCTAAGGATGATTGATGTTCCTGAGGAAGAAGAGAAATCTCAAAGTTTGGAAAACATATTTGAGGGAATAATCAAGGAAAACTTCCCCAGCCTTGCCAGAGAGCTAGACATCTAAATACAAGAAGTTCAAAGAACACCTGGAAAACTCATCGCAAACAGATCTTCACCTAGGCACACAGTCATCAGGTTCTCTAAAGTCAAGACAAAGGAAAGAATCTTAAGAGCTGTGAGGCAAGGCTGGGAGTGGTGGTTCACACCTGTAATCCCAACCCTTTGGGAGGCCTAGGTAGGCGGATCACTTGAGGTCAGGAGTTCAAGACCAGTCTGGCTAACATGGTGAAACCCTGTCTCTACTAAAAGTACAAAAATTAGCTGGGTGTGGTGGCATGTGCCTGTAGTTCCAGCTACCGGGGAGGCTGAGGCAGGAGAATTACTTGAACCTTGGAGGCAAGGGAGCCGAGTTCACACCATTGCACTCCACCCTGGGTGACAGAACGAGAGTCCAACTAACTAACTAACTAACTAAATAAATAATAGAGCTATGAGGCAAAAGCATCAAGTAACATACAAAGGAAAACCTATCAGAATAACAGCAGATTTCTCAGCACAAACCCTGCAAGCTAGAAGAAATTGGGATCCTATTTTTTGCCTCTTTAAACAAAGCAATTATCGGTCAAGAATTTTGTATCCAGTGAAACTAAGCATTATAAATGCAGGAAAGATACAGTCTTCTGCAGACAAACAAATGCTGAGAGAATTTGCCACTACCAAGCCAGAATTACAAGAACTGCTAAAAGGAGCTCTAAATCTTGAAACAAATCCTCAAAATACATCAAAATAGAACATCCTTAAAGCATAAATCTCACAAGACCTATATAACAATAACACAATGAAAAAAAACAGGCATTCAGTCAATTAATAGCGTAATGAACAGAAGAGTACCTCACATCTCAATACTAAAATTGAATGTAAATGGCCTAAATACTCCACCTAAAAGATACAGAATGGCAGAATGAATAAGAATTCACCAACCAAGTCTCTGCTGTCTTTAGGAGACTCACCTAACAGATCAGGACTCATATAAACTTAAGGTAAAGGAGTGGAAAAAGGTATTCCATACAAATGGACACCAAAAGCGAGCAGAAGTAGCTATTCAGACCAAACAAACATTAAAGCAACAGCAGTTAAAAGAGACAAAGAAGGACATTATATAATGAAAAAAGGATTAGTCCAACAGGAAAATCTCACAATCCTATATATATGCACCTAACACTGGAGCTCCCAAATTTATAACGCAATTACTACTAGACCTAAGAAATGAGATAGATGGCAACCCAATAATGTGGGGTATTTTAATACTCCACTGACAACACTAGACAAGTCATCAAGACAGAAAGTCAACAAAAAAAAATGGACTTAAACTATACCCTACAAAAAATGAACTTAACAGATATTTAACAGAACATTCTACCCAACAACTGCAGAATATACATTCTATTCATCAGCACATGGAACATTCTACAAGATAGACCATATGATAGGCCACAAAACAAGTCTCAGTAAATTTAAGAAAATCAAAATTATATCAAGTACCCTGTCATACCCTGGTGGAGTCAAATTGGAAATCAACCCTAAAAGGAACCCCCAAAACCATGCAAATGCATGGAAATTAAATAACCTGTTTCTGAATGATCATTGGGTTAACTGTGAAATCAAGATGGAAATTAAAAAATTCTTTGAACTGAATGACAGTAGTAACACAACCTATCAAACCTTCTGGGATACAGCAAAGAATGCTAAGAGGAAAGTTCATAGCCTTAAATGTCTACATCAGAAAATCTGAAAGAGCACAAATAGACAATCTAAGGTCACACCTCAAGAAACTAGAGAAACAAGAACAAACCAAACCCCAGATCAACAGAAGAAAAGAAATAACCAAGATCAGAGCATAACTAAATAAAAAAGAAACAAACAAACAAAAAATATAAAAGATAAATAAAACAGTAAGCTGCTCCTTTGAAAAGATAAATAAAATTGATGGATCATTGGTGAGATTAACCAAGAAAAGAAGAGGGAAGATCCAAATAAGCTCAATTAGAAATAAAACAGGAGATATTACTACTTACATAACGGAAATACAAAAGATTACTCAAAGCTACTATGAACACCTTTATGTGGATAAACTAGAAAACCTAGAGTAGATGGATAAATTCCCAGAAATATACAACCCTCCAGATTAAACCTGAAAGATATAGAAACTCTGATCAGACCAATAACAAGCAGTGAGGTTGAAATGGTAATTTAAAAATTGCCAACAATAAAAAGTCCAGGCCCAGACAGATTCACAGCTGAATCCTCAGACATTCAAAGAAGAATTCATACCAATCCTATTGACACTATTCCACAGGATAGAAAAAGAGGGAATCCTCCCCAAATCATTCTACGAAGCCAGTATCATACTAATATCAAAACCATGGAAGGACATAACAAAAAGAGAAAATTACTGACCACTATCCCTGATTAACATAGATGCAAAAATTCTCAACAAATTACTAGCGAGCCAAATCCAACAGCATATCAAAAAGATAATCCACCATGGTCAAGTG
The DNA here is from genome assembly GCF_000001405.40 of Homo sapiens. NCBI lineage: Eukaryota > Metazoa > Chordata > Mammalia > Primates > Hominidae > Homo > Homo sapiens. The sequence goes on along the minus strand of NC_000011.10, from coordinate 5,906,942 downwards.
GGTTTTATACCAGGTGTGCAGAGATGGTTTAACATCTGCAAGTCAATAAATGTGATACACCATATAAACAGAATTACAAACAAAAATCACATGATCATCTCAATATATGCAAAAAAAGCATTCAACAAAATCCAGCTTCGCTTTATGATTAAAACTCTCAGCAAAATCAGCATACAAGGGACATACCTCAATGTAATAAAAGCCGTCTATGACAAACCCACAGCCAACATTATACTGAATGGGGAAAAGTTGAAAACATTCCCTCTGAGAAATGAAACAAGACAAGGATGCCCTTTCTCATCACTTCTATTCAACATAGCGCTGGAAGTCCTAGTCAGAGCAATCAGACAAGAAAAAGAAATCGCAGGTATCAAATTGGTAAACAGGAAGTCAAACTGTCACTGTTTGCCGATAATATGATTGTATACCTACAAAACCCTAAAGACTCATCCAAAAGCTCCTAGAACTGGTCAACAAATTCACCAGTTTCAGGATACAAAATTAATGTACACAAATCAGTAGCTATGCTATACACCAACAGTGACCAAGCTGAGAATCAAATCAAGAACTCAGCCTCTTTTACAGTAGCTTCAAAAAATATATATAAAATATGTAGGAAAATACCTAGCCAAGGAGGTGAAACACCTTTACAAAGAAAACTACAAAACACTGTTGAAAGAAATCATAGATGACACAAACAAATGGAAACACATCCCATGCTCATGGATGGGTAGAATCAAATTGTGAAAATGACCATACTGCCAAAAACAGTCTACAAATTCAATGCAATTCCCATCAAAATACCACCATCATTCTTCACAGAACTAGAAAAAACAATCCTAAAATTTATATGGAACCAAAAAACAGCCCACATAGCCAAAGCAAGACTAAGCAAAAAATAACAAATCTGAAGGCATCACATTACCCGACGTCAAACTATACTATACGACCACAGTTAGCAAAAGAGCATTGTACTGGTATAAAAACGGGCACATAGACCAATGGAAAAGAATAGAGAACCCAGAAATAAACCCAAATACTTGCAGCCAACTGATCTTTGATAAAGCAAACAAAAACATAAAGTGGGGAAAGGACACCCTATTCAACAAATGGTTCTAGGATAACTGGCAAGCCACATGTAGAAGAATGAAACTGGATCCTCATCTCTCACCTGATAAAAAAATCAACTCCAGATGAGTCAAAGACTTTAATATCTGAAACCATAAAGATTCTAGATGATAACATCGGAAAAACCCTTTTAGACATTGGCTTAGGCAAAGACTTCATGACCAAGAACCCAAAAGCAAATGCAACAAAAACAAAGATAAATAGGTGGTACTTAATTAAACTAAAAAGCTTCTGCATAACAGAAGAAACAATCAGCAGAGCAAACAGACAACCCCCAGAGTGGGAAAAAATCTTCACAATCTACACACTCAACAAAGGACTGATATCCAGATCTACAAATAACTCAAACAAATCAGCAAGAAAAAAAAAATCCCATCAGCACATGGGCTAAGAACATTAATAGATAATTCTCAAAAGAAGATAAGCAAGTGGCCGACAAGCATATGAAAAAATGCTCAACATCACTAATTACCAGGGAAATGCAAATCAAAACCAGAATGCGATACCATCTTACTCTTGCAAGAATGAGCATAATCAAAAAATCAAAAATTATAGATGTTGGTTTGGTTGCAGTGAAAAGAGAACACTTTTACACTGTTGGTGGGAATGTAAACTAGTAAAACCATTATGGAAAACTGTGTGGAGTTTCCCTAAAGAACTAAAAGTAGATGTACTGTTTGATCCAGCAATCCCACTACTGGGTATCTACTCAGAGAAAAAGAAGTCATTATACCAAAAAGGATACTTGCACACTCATATTTATAGCAGCACAATTTGCAATTGCAAAAAGTATGGAACCAGCCCAAATGCCCATCAGTCAACGAGTGGGCAAAGAAAATGGGTTACATACATATACCATGGAATACTACTCAGCCATAAAAAGGAACGAGATAATGGTATTTGCAGCAACCTGGATGGAATTGGAGACTATTGTTCTAAGTGAAGTAACTCAGGAATGGAAAATCATATTTCATATACTCTCACTCATATGTGGGAGCTAAGCTATGAGGACACAAAGGCATAAGATTGATACAGTGGACTTTGGGGACTTGGGTGAAAGGGTGGGAAGAGGGCAAGGGATAAAAGACTACACAATGGGTACAGTGTACACTGCTCGGGTGATGAGTGCAAGAAAATCTCAAAAATCACCACTAAAGAACTTATTCGTATAACCAAACACCACCTGTTCCCCCAAAACCTATTGAAATAAAAAAATAATACAAACACAAATATATACATACATATACACATATATAGTCACACACATATATGTGTATATATATTTGCATATATATCCCAATATATATATCATCATGACTAGAAGTGACTGATCATCAAATGTCTTTAGGTCTATACCCTAGTCTGGGATCTGTTTTTTCCTGATCCCATAGATAACAGGGTTGAATACAGGTAGAACAACCGTATATACATTGGCCAGAAATATACGAATATAGCAGGGATGCTTTCACCAAGCAGTGTATCAGAAAAAAAATACTGGGATGTAGAAGATGAGCATGACAAACATGGGAACCACAGGTATTGAGAGCCTCGAACTGGCCATTCCATGGTGGTAAGTGAAACAGTGTGTAGTTTCTTTACATAGGAGAAACCAATTGCAATAAGGTCAATAAATCCCACAAAAAGGCAACCATCCCAAACATATTATTGGCTCTGATACTGGCACAGGAAAGATGGGCAATGCCCATGTGCTCACATTTGGTGTGGGGGATGATATGGGCAGCACAGAATGACAACAGCAAGATGAGAAACTCAAAAGGGATGATAAAGATTAAAGATCTAATTATCATGACTTCCTAGGATGGCTACCACATTGTTCATGAGAATCATGGTATATCTCAGTGGATTGCGAATTACGACATAGTGGTCTATGGCCAGGATTATCAGTACCCCAGATTCCAGGCCAGTGCATAGATAAGTCATAAACATCTGTATATAAACAAGGAAAGCACCAAAAACTATTTCCCTGACGTTGAACTGGAAGATACGATAGTAACAACGGACAGGCTTAGGTTAGTGGAAGTCAACATTTTCATCAGTTGCCCCCGATGAAAATACTCAGCTAGCAAATAAAGTGACTGTGTATAAAGACCTACCTTTCAGCAGCCTTGAAATTTTGAAATAATAAACAAAGTTGAATTCTTTTAGATTGGCTTGAAGCATGCCAATGTTTCACAGACATGGACTCAGCCAAGATGACCAATATTCAGTGTTTACCATAGCATTTGGCATAGCTCAGCCGACCTGCTCCAAGACTTGCAGTATTGATGGCTTTGTACAAATTCAGTTAAAAAAAAAAAAAACTCTAGAGCTTGATAAACTCCCTAAACAACTTTCCTTTCTTGGGAATTCTATGTGCACACTGTGCTGTTTTCAAATATGCTCCTGGCTCCCATGTTACAGCCCCTGGAACATATACTTGGTAATGAATGGGGTTTTCTCTTCTGTATTAGCTTCTATGCTCCTTAGAAATTAAAGTTCTCTGTTACCCATTTCCATTCAGATTACTCACTTTCTGGAGCACGTGACATTTAGCAAAGTCTCAGAAATGATACAGGAAAACTCTTAGTCGAAGTTCTTAACGTATGATACCAAAATTAAGTGGTCTGGTGGTTTAACATATTTTGGGTAGAGTGAACAAAATTGAACATATTAGAGCCTTTAAATATACAAATGTAAATATTCAGGCTCTAAAATGAGATTTTCGTAGTTGAAATATTATATAATAATACATTAAATAAACTATAATTGAAAAGTGGTATTTTACTTAGAAGACACTCCACAATGAATTTTTTGTCATCTTTATTCCTTGTTAAATGATCTGTTTAGTTTTTTTTAAATTCTGTATCAATTTCAAAATATCTACTTAGAAAATGATTACTTGGTTACTTTTTCTTTATATATTTATATGACATATCACTTCAGTTTACTTCCACTTGTCAATTTATACTGTTATTTATATTGTTATTACTTTCGCACTATTCTCTGTACATTTCTGCTCATTCTACCTTGAGTTTCAATCAGGGCTCCATTTCCAATTAGGAGCCAACTTCACATTTTTGCAGCTCCTAGAATACCCAAAGAAATAAATTGTCCTATTTATCTTCTATACCTTATTAAGAATGACTTTATATTATTTCAGCAGCCACACTATTACAGTCTGCCCTAAAACCCACTCTAGCAAAGACTGTGGAGGATGGGATTTCCCTGAGTCCTTAAGCCCAAGACAGAAACCTGTTAACTCTTCAAGCTTTATAGTCTCCTGACTGAAAGTCTCTTTCACGAAGGTAAGAGCTGAGAGGTCCATGAAGAGGCCCATGCGTTGGGATAATCTGGATCTGGAGAGCTGACCTCAAACCAGGGATTGTATACTAGAGTGGATTAGTAAATGAAATCTACATACATTAGAAATAACAATTACACTATAATTATGTTTAGTAAGCACTCATTTTGTTTCCAAATCTTTTAATGTTTTACAAGCTGCACAGATTTTCACAACATTCACTTTAAGCTTCAATATCCCTGCTCATAAAATGCTATAAATCAGTATGAATTTGTTATTGTGAACTCAAAGAGTCTAAGTGAAATGCTCAGGTCAAAATTTTAGGTAAGGCCATAACCTGTATTTAAATCTAGATCTTATGACTCCTAGTTAATTTCTCTTGCCACTGTATCCTGCCTGGTTTTGATGAAATACCACATCATTTTAATCGTCATGAACTTCAGCTTTGGATATGTAAATACAGAGAATCTTCATGTGGAAAGGCTATTCAAGACAATTACTGGGCAATAACTTTTACAAAGCCTTTGTTTCTCTTTAGGCATTTTGTAGTATCATGGGGCTTAAGTGTGAGTACTTTTTGCACTTTTAATGGGTGAAACAGAGAGATTGTTTTGGAATCTTTGAGCTATAACTTCCAACAGACCGTACTGAAATCATGAGACGTTGTAGGGGATATAATGCTATTGGCTCATGTGGGAATGCAAGAGAAGTAGTAAAAAAAATGTTTCCAGTGTTTATTTTGTTATGATCTCATTATTGTCTAACTGAATTGTTGTGGAAGATCCTCTTGGGGTCAAAATGCCAAAAGCTTTTAGGGTTGAGTATCCTAAGTACCTGCTCTCGTATCTGTTTTGTTTTGACCCCATAGATAACAGAGTTAAGAGCAGGGGGAAAAACCACATACAGATTGGCCAGAAGAATGTGGATGTAATGAGGGATGTTGTGGCCAAAGCGGTGTGTCATGAAGGAAAAGAGGGCTGGCAGGTAGAAAGCCAACATAACACAGACGTGAGAGCCACATGTGCTGAGTGCCTTAGGCCGGGCATCCCAGGCTGGGAGATGGAAGACAGCTCGGAGGATCTGGACATAGGAAAATCCAATCACAGAAATGTCAATGTATCCCACTGAGAAGGCAATCAATCCATATATAACATTAATACTGGCACAAGCTAACTTTGCCAAGCCCATGTGTTCACAATAGGTATGAGGGATAATCCGGACACCACAGAAAGGCAATCTCAGGATGAGAAATGTGAATGGAGTCACAAATACCAAAGTCCTGACAATGATGACTATGCCCAGAATGGCTATTACCTTGTTGGTAAGGATCATGCTATATCTCAGGGGGTTGCAGATGGCAATATAGCGATCTATGCCCGTGACTGTCAGTACCACAGACTCCAGGCCAGTGCATATATGAATGGTATACATCTGTGTGATGCAGGCACCAAATGCAATCTCTCCAAGATTAAACCAGAAAATTCCCAGCATCTTGGGGATGGTTGCTGTAGACAAGCCCAGATCAGTGCCGGCCAACATGGCTAGGAAGTAAAACATGGGTTGGTGGAGGCTCTGTTCAGTCTGTATCACAAACAGGATAATGATGTTCCCTAGAAGGGCTGTTAGATACACTGCAAAGAAGGGGAAGCCAATCCATACATGCACATCTTCCAGCCCTGGGACCCCCACTACGAGGAAGGTGGAAGGGTGAAACTGTGTATTGTTGGTATGAAGCATATTGGTGGCCATTCCCTACAGACACATTTCTTGCATGAGTTTTCTTGCTTCCAGTGAGAAACCATAACTTCTTTCACAGCATGGTGTCTATTTCTTGGGGAAACAGAAAATCCATTCTTTAACTCCATAATATAGCATAAGAGACCTAGAGAGGGAATATGAAATATAGTTAAAAAGACACTCTCACTTTTAAATATTTGCCTCACTTACACAGGAAACCATGCAGAAAGTTTCCAAAATATAGCAATCCTGCACTTCCCATGTCTTTCCTCCCTTCAGTCTCTAAGAAAAAACTTCCATATGGCATTAAATTAGCATATATTTATTGCTAATTATACTTGTTAATCAGGATGTAAAGAGTAGCCAAGGTGAAGTGTGTGTGTGTGTGTGTGTGTGTGTGTAAAATGTCACTGGACTGAGATTGAGGAGGAAAATGATAAGAGGAATGATACATTCTTGCAAATTAGATCTGAGAAATTAAGAATATTCTCTGTGAGAGGAGACTCAGTAAAGGTGGAGGATTGGTTAGTTGGTGTTTGGATTTGAGATAATAAATAAAATTTTTAAATTTAGATACATAGGGTAACTATTGCATAATTCCAGAAAAACAATGCTCCCTCTTACAACTTCAAAGGCCCTTCACTATATTATGTTTTCTTTCCTGAATAGAAAACACTGGATGCTCTCAGATACTTTGCAGTGCCTTTTGTGATTTATGATCTTTTCTGTCTTCTCCATTTCGCATTATATAAATGGGCAATCGCTTCATAATGCCACCTAGATAGTGGCAGTGTAATTGTCTCTATCTTTTTAAAAGATACTGAGGTCAGATACTTGCCTCAGATTGGGGACAGTCTAGTTTGTATTAATGCTGTAATAGTTTCCCTGGTATATTGATGGACAGTGATATGTTTAAGTTCACAGCAGGCTAGTTTACCGTCACAATTGAGTCTTTCTGGTGTGCCTTGTGGTTGAGTCTGGTTTGTAACTGGCTCTGTGCAATGGATGCAATCTGCAACATAATAGGCCTGTAGGGTGCTTGGGTGTGTGCAAATGAGACTAGGACTTGATTAGAAACTTTGCTGCTACAGGGTGTATTCTGTGGTAGGCTCTGGGCCATGGATGGAATACATTCAGTTATTGGGTTAGTCAGATTCGGGCAGTGCCATATCCATATCAGTGCCATGGGTCAAATTACTTTGATGCTCATTTGAGTGCAATGATTTCTAATATGGTGCTACTAATCCTAAAGAAAAACTATCCCTATGACTTGGCTATAATGCAGGCCCAAAGAACTGCTTTGGAAGTATAGTGGTATGTGTATTTGGGTTTGTATCTTCTCAGATTCTGTCCAATTTCATGGTGTGGAATTGCTTCCCAAGATATGTCACGATTCTGCTAAAGGGAGGGAAGATACTTTATGATATGATCATTTCCTGAGTTGTATTAATCATCTTTTTCTCCTTATGGGATCTGATTATAGGAAAGTTAGTATCACAAAATCAACATACAAAGATGAGTAGCATTTCTATATACCAGTATTCTTCAAGCTGAGAACCAAATCAAGAACTCAAACCCATTTAAAATAGCCACACAATAATAAAATATGTAGAAATACATTTAACCAAGGAGGTGAAAGATCTCTACAAGGAGAACTAAAAAACACCAATGAAAGAAATCACAGATAACGCAAACTAACGGAAAGACATTTCACACTCATAATCTGGAAGAATCACTATCAGTAAAATGACCCAAAGCAATCTACAGATTCTATGAAATTCCTATGAAATTCCCAAAGCCATTTTTTCAAATTAGAAAAAACTATTCTAAAATTAATATGGAACCAAAAAAGAGCCCAAATAGACAGAGCAATCCTAAGCAAAAAGAACAAAGCCAAAGGCATCACACTACCCAACTTCAAATTATACTCCAAGGCTGCAGTAGCCAAAACAGCATGGCATTGCTGGAAACATGACACAAAAATCAGTGGAACAGAATAGAGAACCTAGAAGTAAAGCCACACACCTACAACGAACTGATCTTTGGTAAAGTCAACAAAAACAATCAACTGGGTAAGGATATCTTATTCAGTAAATGTGCTAGGGAAATTGTCTAGCCATATGTAGAAGAATAAAACTGGACCCCTACTTCTTACCATATACAAAATTAACTCAAAATGGACTAAAAACTTGAATATGAGGCCTCAAACTACAAAAATCCTAAAAGACCTAGGAAAAACTTTTCTGGACATTGGCCCTAGGCAAATAATTTATGATTGAGACTTCAAAAGCAAATGCAATGAAAATGAAAACAAAAATAAACAAATGGGATTTACTTACACTAAAAAGATTCTGTGCAGCCAAAATAAACAATTCACAGAGTAAACAGACAACCTACAAAATGGGAGAAAATATTTGCAAACTATGCATCTGACAGAAGACTAATATCAAGAACCAATAAGGACTTAAATAATTAAGCAAAAGACAAAACCCAATTAAAACGTGGGCAAAGGTTGAATAGACATTTCTCAAAAAAAGACACACAAACAGCTAACAAGCATATGAAAAAATGTTCATCATCATTAATCATCAAAAAAGTGCAACTTAAAACCACAATGAGGCCAGGTGCAGTGGCTTATGCCTGTAATCCTAGCATTTTGGGAGGCCGAGGTGGGAGGATAACTTGAGCCCAGGAATTCCAGATCAGCCTGGGAAACATAGGGAGACTTCATCTAAAAAAAAAAAAAATTAGCTTGGTGTGGTGGTGTGCGCCTATGGTTACAGCTACTCAGGAGGGTGAGGTGAGAAGATCACTGGAACCTGGGAGGTCAAGACTGCAGTGAGCCGTGATTGTGCTACTTCACTCCAGCCTGGGTGACAGAATGAGACTCTGGCTCAAAAATGAACAAGCAGACAAACAACAACAAAAACAAAAACACAGTGAGAAACCATCTCACACCAGTCAGAATGGTTATTATTAAAAAGTGAAAAAATAACAGATGTTGGTAAGGATGTGGAGAAAAAGGAACACTTACACAGTATTAGGGATTTATTAGCTCAACCTCCATGGAAAACAGTATGAAAATTTCCCAAGGAACTAAAAATAGAACTATCATTATTTCTAGGAATCCCGCTATTGGATATCTACCCAAAGGAAAATGGACTGATCAAAAATACACCTGCACTGATTTGCTTATCACAGCACTATTCACAATAGCAGTCATGAAATCAACCTAAGTGTCCATCAGTGGTAGATTGGGTAAATAAAATGTGGGACGTATACACCATAGAAAAGTACACAGCCATAACAAAGAATAATGTCCCTTGCAGCAATATGAATGCAGCTGGAAGCCATTATTCTAAGTGAATTCATGCAGAAACAGAAAACCAAATAGCATATGTTCTCACTTATAAGTGGGAGATAAACAATGGGTACACATGGACATAAAGATGGAAACAACAGACACTAGAGACTACAAAGGTGGGGAGGGAGGTAGAGAGGCAAGAGTTGAAAAACTACCTTTTGGGTACAATGTTCACTATTTGGGTGATGGGTTCACTAGAAGCCTATGCCCCAGCATTATGCAATATGCCCAGGTAACAAACCTGCACGTGTATCCCCTTGAATGTCTAAAAATAAAAAAGTTATGTTTACAATACAAAAGAGTCAGTATCAATACCTTTCACCCACTAATAACCACAAATTAGCTTTATCTTTCTATTTACATCTATCCCCTGCCCCAGCATCCGATCTGTCAGAGAATTCTTTACATTTTGTCTTTTACTAAAAGGAATAATAACTAAGTTTATGTTAGAGGGAAAAAACGTCTAGCTGACATTATGTGCCAGGTATTTTTTCAGTGCTTTTGAAATGTGATTTTATTTAAAGATTAAAGCAGTTCTGAAATTGGCACTTCTGTCCCCATTTACAGAGGAGGTAAATGAGATTCAGGCCAGGGAATTAAAAACTATATCTTACTCAATAGCTACTGCTATTAGTAATTTTTTATATGTAAGCTGGGGGTAATAAAATTAATCACATGATCACCACATCATGCAGGGACTGTCCTGAAAATTAGAAGTTATAGACATGTGGTGTGATTACTTTCCACATGGATTTTAAATAACTGTAATCATCATCATGATTATTACTTTCAATAGGGAGAAGGAGAAATATTTCTCCAGACCCTCTCTTTTTATTGTACTCACCACTTGCTGCCTTTAAATCCTTATTTCTCATACAATGTATTTCATATCTCTATTAATATGTAACATCCTTACAGTTACAAAGATTTGAAAACTGAATAATTTTTCATTCAAATTTTTTCTTCTTCTCTGATTTTTTTTTTTTTTTTTTGACACAGTGTCCCACTCTGTCGCCCAGGTTGGAGTGCAGTGGTGCTATCTCAGCTCACTGCAAGCTCCACCTCTCGGGTTCACGCCATTCTCCTGCCTCAGCCTCCTGAGTAGCTGGGACTACAGGTGCCTGCCACCACGCCCGGCTAATTTTTTTTTTTTTTTTTTTTTTTTTAGTAGAGACGAGGTTTCACCATGTTAGCCAGGATGGTCTTGATGTCTTGATCTCCTGACCTCGTGATCTGCTCGCCTCAGCCTCCCAAAGTCTTCTCTGATTATTATACCCTGTTCTGTTTTTAAAATCTCTATTTATATTCCTACCTACATTTTAGTTTTTCTACTTTTCTTTTCTTTCTTTTTCTTTCTTCTTTTTGAGATGGAGTCTCTCTCTGTTTCCCAGGCTGGAGTACACTGGCACAATCTCAGCTCACTGCAACCTCCACCACTTGGGTAGAAGCGATTCTCCTGCCTCACCTTCCTGAGTAGCTAGGATTACAGGTGCCCACCACCACGCCCGGCTAATTTTTGTATTTTTAGTAGAGACAAGGCCAGGCTGGCCTTGAACTCATGACCTCAGCTGATCTGCCTGCCTCAGCCTATCAAAGTGGTGGGATTACAGGCGTAAGCCGCCACACCTGGCCTATTTCTGTTTTCACTGATATACATAGACTAACATTGTTCATCTGAATTATTACCAAATTGTCTTACTTGGTTTTTCAGTTATTGTGTTTCCTCCAATGTAATGCTTCCGCAGGGGTCAACCATAAATGCCAATAAGATGATCATCCTGCTAATGGTGGAATACAATGATTAGCTTAAAACATTAAATTTATTCATGGCTATTTACAAAGATTAAAAAATAGAGGTTATATATCACAATATGATTAATTGTATTAATGAATAAGCTATAGAGAATTTTGTTTGCAGAAAAATTAAAGTACAGAGCTAAATTATTTAATCTGTCACTGAAATAAGGAAGAATAAAGAATACCTAAATTTGGTAGAATTAAGAGTGCAATGGAGAAAAATCAGCCAAAGGAACAAAATTTATGTTTAATTTTATATTTTCACTGTTTCCTGTGAATATAAATCCAGCTTTTCTTTTGTGATATGCAATTTCAAATCCAACAGCTATTATTTTTCACCTTAAGACAGTGCTTGTTACAAGAATTTTATTTTCTAAAATATTAGCTTTGGAGAATTGTATTGTTCACTTAAAGTAATTTTGGTGTAGGACTTTGAATTTCCTGACATTGTCACAGCCATTTAATTCACCATGGCCTTAGCAATCTTTTCATAATTAAACACAACAACTGAAAAAAATGTGTAGTGGTTCTCTTGTCAGTGAAGTAAAACATTTCTACACTCAAAGTCTAAAGCAATCTTTTCTTTACATTGAGTCCGCAATTAAAATAATTTTTGAAATCAGATTATCATAAGTATTTTCTGAGAACACAAACTATGGCCCATGGACCAAATCTGGCCCACCATTTGTTTTTGTAAATTAAATTTTATTGGGGCAAAATTATTCTCATTCATTTATGTATTGTCTGTGGCTGCTTTTAATCTACAATGGAAGATCTGAGGAGTTGTGACTGAGATCTCATGGCAGGAAAATATTAAAAATATTAACTCTCTCTCTCTTTATAGAAAAAGGGCACCGACCCCTGAGCCATAAGAATAAAATTTCAGTAGTGCTCCATATCCTTATGAAAAAAGTCTTTATTCCATAAAATGCAGTGAAGAATCTTAAACATTAATTTTAACCTATCTTTACAGTATTATCATCTCCACACTGCAGTCAAACTGCACTTCAAACTTTCTGCATGCTTTCTTCTCTATGTCTTTCTTCATATTTCCTCTTATGAGGAGACTTTCCTGTCTAGCTTTAGTCACCACTATAGTACATAGCCTAGATTTATTAACATACAATCTACATAGCCTGCCTCAATCTGCTTATTTCAAGATTATCCATTCTTTTTTTTCCTATTTTTCCAAAGGCCAATCTATCTTTCTGTTACGTGAGTTATCAGCGGTTTTCAAAATGAGTTCCCTGGACCAATAGCATCAGCATCACCTGGTAACTTGTTATAAATGACATTTCTTGGACACTAACTAAGACCACCTTAATCAGAAGCTCTTGAAGAGGGGTCCAGTAATCTGTTAAAAAGCCCTCCAGGTGATTCTGATGCTTATTCCAATTTGAGAACCACTGGCGAATATCTACCACTAGGTTATAATTTCTTTGAAGGCAAAACTAGTGTCATATTTATCTCCATGATAACATGATTTTTTTAATGCCAGGATCCACAAATGGCTATTGAAAGTTGAGTGCAAATAATAATCTTCCCTATTGTTATATATAGTATTTTAGATTGAATTCCTAAAAACATATCTGAGATAGAGAATGGCGGGCAGAAAGATTTTTGAGAAAGGCTCTGGGAAAATATGCTTATAAAGAAGCCAGGAAGGTAGGATTGGATCAGAAGACAAACTTCTTTATCATGTAGTTACATCTGAAGCCTCAAATGATACGATATGAAGCTCTGGAGATGGTTTGATCTCTCTAAGTTGTCCCACACACACAAAAAAAGTAAGCCTTTTTTATTTTTTTTGTATTTCTATATTATCTAGTTGTTGGCAATGGGCCACACTGTGTGATGCGACATGACCTCAGATGAGGCAGTTCCTTGGATCTGAGGGCAATTCCAGGGACGGGTGAAAATTTGAGGTTTCAGCATCTGAGATTCCTAACAACTAGTCATAGGTGCATAGGTCTTGAAAAGCAGACCACACAGCTATAACCAGGGAATGATCTGTTAACATCCTTCTCATCTTCATGAAATGCTCTTTTTTTTTTAATTTTAAAACACTTATCCTTCTCTTTTCCTTTAACTCTCAGAATGCTCTTTGAAGTTTGTTTACTGCTTTTCTTCCTTTATCATGTCCTTAAGTAATAGTCTGTTCTTGACTACAGCTATGAATTTGGGTTTTTCTTAACTACTATCTCTTTCTCTTGCTACTTCCTTAGAAGATGGCCCTATCTACAGAGACTCTGGCCGAGTCACTGGAGCTCCATCATCCCACAAATCACTTTAGTTACTGTCATTGAGGACCCTCTTTCAGCATAACCAGGAGCTGACTCACCTACCTCTGCCCCGCATCTGAGAAATTGTCTGTGAAGGACCGGATACCCCAGACTGCAACCTGTATGCGACATAGTTCTTACTATTCAGAGCCAAGGAGTTATATGAGAATTCTTGTCCCCTGGGAAGGGCTTCCCTAAAGTGTGGGCTGTGTCACTGGACCTGGAGAGAAAACAGAAAATTTCCCTACTCCTGAGGATAGGGCTCTAGGTTATCTTGTCAGAGATACCTTCTGCTTGCTGATGATCTGTGCATCCTCTAGTGGGTACATTCCCTGCACAGGTCCCAGGGGTCTATTCAGTTAGAGGCATAATGACCTCACACTTACACCTTAAATCTGACTGTGGTATCAGGTGATTAGTTACTCTTGACAGAGAGGCAAGAAAAGAGCCCTGTAAGAAGGAACCCAGCATCGCCTTAAAGTCATCTCTGAAATATATGTACATTAATAAATGGCAGAGATAGAATTCTAACTTCAGTTTCCAATTCATGAGATATATCTGTTACAAGAATTACATTCCATGATTTTTGTGAGTGTGTAATGCATCTAACACGATACATAATATTAATAGAAATATCAAAATGAATATATATATATACAGAAAGAAAAGCAGTTTAACCTACAGATTAAGAACATGATCTTTTGATTCTCTTATTCTGTGATCTTGTTCAATTACATTTGCCATTCTAAGTCTTGGTTTTCTCAAATGGAAAATGAGAAAAAATTATATCAATATTGTAACAGTATAATAAGGTAATGTCTGGAAGGTGCTCAACACTTACTTGTTAGAAATTAATTAATACATTAACACTGGCTATGCATTTTCACAAATCTTTTACAACATTATCTCTGAAGTTAACACTTTGGAGTTAGGCAACATAAATTTAAATATTTTTTTCTTAGATTCTGTAGCTGGGAAAACATTTCTTAACCTCTATCAGCTTCTTGTTCCTTCTTATAGATTCACAAGGCTGACGGAAATGACAAAACACATTTCACACTTTTTTTTTCAGAGTAAGTGAGATCATGCATTTGACTAGAACAGCAGAGTGTTTGACAATATATCTAAATATTATTAAATGGACATTATTTCTATTCCTTATTTGAAGTAGAATTTTTGGTGTTCAATAACATAAATAAATATTCAGTAGAAAAAGTTATTTACCTTTTTAGTTCATTAGATTGTTCATTTAAATGACTGTCATTTATTTGTTCAGGAAATGTATTTATTGGTACACATGGACATAAAGATGGGAACAGCAGACACTGGGGACTACTAAAGGTGGGAGAGAGGCCGAGGACAAGGGTTGAAAAACTACTTATAGGGTAATATGCTTACCACCTGCGTATATTAGTTCATTTTCACGTTGCTATAAGTAAATATCTGAGGCTGGGTCATTTATAAAGAAAAGAGATTTAATTGACTTACAGTTCCACATGGCTGGGAAGGCCTCAGTAAACTTAACAGTCATGGCGGAAGGGGAAGAGGCACATCTTACAGGGCAGCAGGTGAGAGAGAAAGAGAATGCCCGTGCAGGGGGAGCTGTCAAACACTTAAAAAAACATCAGATCTCATGATAACTCACTATCATGAGAACAGCATGGGGGAAACCAACCCTGCAATCCAATCACCTCCCAACAGGTCCCAACCCTAATGTGGGGATTATGCGGACAATTCAAGATGAGATTTGGGTGGGAACACAGAGCCTAACCATATCAGTGGGTGATGGGATCATTCATACCCCAAACTTCAGAATCACACAATCTACCCATGTCACAAACCCACACATGTAGCCCCTAAATCTAAGAGTTGAAATTACAAAATAAATAAATAAATTTTACAAAAAAGTATTTATTTTTACCACTAGATGTCAGTCATGCTCATCCTACAAGCCAATGTTCCTTGATTCAACCTTCTTTTATTGAGCTCCTGATATGAATTAGACAACATAATAATTAGATGCTCATTAAATACAGGCTAAATCAGCAAGTGCCATTTGAGCATTATGTATACGTGAAAGTCAAATCAGCTACATTTCTTGAACATGAGCTATTGTGCTAACTAAGTTTTCAAGATATTTTTGTTATATCTCTATTTGTATACCTCTGAGTTCAAAATCATTTCTTCAGGGAGCTTTGATTTCTTTTACAATAAAAGAATGTAAAGGATGAAAAGTTAGTGACTTTTCTTGATTATTTCTAATGTTTCCTATAAAATTGGATATATCTTACTATGCATTATCATATTGATCTTTTTGAATTACAATATTAATTAAAGCTTTGGAAAGCCCAAAGTTTTCCTTAATACCCATGAATCTTATAAACCACATAGAAGAATACCCCTAGCATATAAAATGTTCTTTCATTTTACTTTTGGCCTTACAGAGAGAATACTCTAAAATTATGAGAAAACTAAGAATATGCCTGGTGATTATTCCATTACTTTTTTATTCTCATTTCAATTCTCAGTGCAAACATACTAGATTATATTTCACAGTATATTAGTCCAAATGATTTTTTATCAGCATTATAATTCTTGGGCTGTCTAAAAGAATACAAAAAAATTCAAAATGATTCTAAGAGGATTCTGAGAACAAAAAGGAGAGTATCTAATGCTACAAATAAATAAATACTGAAATAAATAGCACACAATAGTAATTGAAAGGAGAATATATAAAAATATTGGCCGCCTCATGTTTGTTCAGAATTTTCCTCCAGCCCTTTGTTTATGTGGGCCAATGTGCTGGAGATCTCCTTTCGGCCTCTCTAGGTCCATTCTATACTCTGTGTCCTAAGAGATTCATGACTATGTACTGTATCAATAGCCTCTTTTGTCCCATAGAATCTGCTTGGGTTCAGAAAATAGGAAGCACCAGCAGGTGAGGGGGAAGTGAGTGAGGTCGAGATATTTATTCTGGTTCCCACCTGCTCCTTCATTGCAGGTGACCTGCAGGTCACCACGGGCTCTGTGAGTACCTCCAAATAAATTGCAACTTCTATCTGCAATGCTCTCTGGGCCTCCAGATGCCAGGAACTCCTTCTCCTCTTTGGACCCCAGAGTAAACATTCCCACACTTACTATCCTTATAGTCTCTTGTGGAATTTCTAAACTGTGCCTATATATTTGTCTTAGTTTAAGGGGTCAGCTTGAGTTTGCTAACTATGCTTTCTAGAACCTTCACTAATATTGCCAATAAGCAGCCTTAGATTTTCCTGTAGATTCTTCTATTTAAACTTACTTTTATCACATGTAATAATATACAATACATAATATATGATATTATATATAGATGCTCCTTAACTTACAATGGGGTTATGCTGCAATAAACCCATGATAATTTGAAAATATTTTATGGCTGAATAGTACTCCGTTGTATATATGTACCACATTTTCTTTATCCATTCATCTGTTGATGGACATTTAGGTTGCTTCCAAATCTTAGCTATTGTAAACAGTGCTGCAACAAACACTGGAGTGCTGATATCTCTTCTATATATTGATTTTCTTCCTTTTGTTTGTATACCCAGCAGTGGGATTGCTGGATTATGATGTGGTTATTACACATTTCATGCTTGTATCAAAACATCTCATGTACTCCATAAATATATGCACTTACTGTGTATCCATAAAAATTAAAAAAGAAACAAATCCATTGAAAATATTGTTCAATATTTTGAAGGCATTATTCTTGAGCAGGACAATGGATAATGCAGCATCCAAAGTAATGATGCAATTAGCATGAAATAAATGGAATTTGGAAATGCAAGAGGTAAGAAGATCTAGATTGTCTTCAAGAGACATGACATTGTTAGTAATAACAATGGTATTACAGACACCTTACCAGGGGTTGATCTTGGCTTTATTCCATTGTAAGTCAAGGAAAGTACTGAATGCATATACTCAAACTATTCTAAAGTCAAAAAATTGTCCAATTAAAACATTGTAAATCAAGGATCATCTGTATATTTATAAATATCCATGTGTATATAGAAACATGTATAAGTATAGGTAAAATTTACTGCTCTTATTGTTTATTTTGAAATAGGTAGTTTTATCTTTGGATTCTAATTTCTTAAGACTTTTGAACTACATTCAAATATATCTCAAAGTAGCTAATTTTGTAGTTGTTGGAAAAGAATAATAGATACTTCACAAGCGAATATTTTAAAATGGCCCATAAGAGCTAAAAATATACTTGACATCATTATTAGTTATTAGAGAAATAAAAATTAAAACTGCAATGGGATAATGCTTTTTACTCACTAGAGTAGCTAAATTCAAATGACTGACAACACCAAATGTTGGTGGGAATGTCGAGCAATTGGGATTTTCATATTTTGTTGGTAGAAGTGTAAAATGGTGAAATCACTTTGGAAAACTGTTGAGAATTTTCTTCAAATTTGGCACCAGAAAAATGGAAAAGTCTGCAGGCATCTGGAATTTTAAAAAGGTTTTTTTGGGAAACCAGGATAATATAGCAAGGCTCTGACTGATATAGGAGTTATGGATCAATAAACCAATTGAATGGAGCAATGTTGGAACATATTCAAGAAGATACTGTATCTGAATTGAACTTCATGGAAGTTTATTTTCAGTTACACTGAATTATGTCTGTTCCCAAAGTGCTGGTGGGTAACATAAAGTTAGAGATAAACAGCATTAATATTCTCACACTTACTATCCCATAAGAGTCTATGAGCTAGGCTGGTTTCCATATTCTGTAGAATACCGTGTGATGCATAAAGGGTTCCTAAGGAGAAGGATTGCTTGACGGGGTGAGCAAGGTTTATGGAAAATGGCATAGTCTTCGAATATTCAATACCAGTAGAATATAATTAACTCTGGCATTGATGTCTTTTTTTAATGAAAATAAGTAATTCAAGACCAAAGCTGTTGAAACTTTAAATTATTTTGAGCCTTAAAAGAATGTGATTATAGGACTTGAGTCACTAACAGATAGCTGTAACCTAGGAAGTTGTAGTATTTGTTTGCCTGATTATAAATTAGCCTTTTTCCATTACCTACATTGTTTTTTAGAATGTTGTAAAAGACTAACGAGTGCCAGAGAAGACCCTTTCCCTCTTTATTTTTGATCTTCGTTATTGATTAACTTCCTTCTTCCTTGTTTTACACAAAGACCTCATGACTATTACATTGTCAAAGTTAAAATGTTAAAAATACTCATTTAAATTGGAAAAAGAAAACAAGCTATAACTAATCAATGTGCTGTAACTCATAAATCAAGTTTGTATGGGGAAATCTTTAATTCTGCTACATTTCTTTGCTTTCTGCCTACATAAGTAAAACCTTAACTTTTCAACTTTGGAGCATTGACCTCATTTCTTTGGATTCTGTGTTTCCCAGATGGCCATCCTTAGCTTTGCATTTGAATAAACACTTACACTGGATTCTCATACTATTATTTCAGGTTGGCATTCCTTTTGTCACCATTTTCTCAATTATATTTATCTTTTGTGTCTTTTTTCTTCAGCTTGTCAGCACCCTTCTGGTCCCATCTTGTTTGATTTCGTGAAAGAAAACTACTGTCCAGAGAAGGGATCCCAGTACAATGACTCTGCTCAGCCATGTTTAAGTGTGGTGTTCCAGTTTGATTATGAACCATTTCAGGGCCAGCATTATGGTGCACTCCCATCTACACTGTGGACACTATTACGCTTATATTAAAATTTTCCGACTCCCATCAATATATTTAACCAGAAAGTTGCATTATACATGTCACAGATGCTTTCATATCACTGAGAAAAGAAAAAAACTTTGTCTTTATTTAGCATGTTTATATATGGTACAGCTATTGAGGGCCTGGATGCTCGTCTGTGCTTACCACTCAGTACTGTGGACCACAGTGATGAAGACTGTGCTGATTTCAGCTTCTCTTTATCACTATACTACTTGCACCTGTACTCAGTTTCTGTGGTCTCCCTCTTCTCATTACCAACACCAAACCCAGGCTACTCGTTCTACCTCTCCTTTTACTTGATCTCCACTTGGGACCCATGATGAAGCCTCTCACGTATAAATAAAATATTTCCTACTTAAATCTCCTGCAAGAGTTAAGAATTTGTAGTCAAAAGGATTTATCTGAGTGATCTTCCTTCACTTGTTACATGAGAATGATGCTAAAGATGGGTATATTTTATGCACACAAATACCTGCTTTCTTTAGACCTCAGTTTTTTTTATTTGTAAGACAAAGGGAATAGATCAAGTTTCAATGTATTTCCACATTTAAAACCCTATGTTCCCATAAAATGTTAAGTACATGAAGCAGAAGCTGCAAAAATCAAATTAGAACCCATGCATACAGACCTAAAGAAAATCTACAAAATACTATAGAATTCAGGAATTGTGCTTAGCCAGTGTTAAGACCAAGAACTGTCCAGATTCACAGATACTGAATAGGTGATGTTGCTTTTCTTGTCTACTTGGCTATATCCGCCCCCATTTCCTAAAATCGTTATCTGCGTACTTTTGAGTATTTTGTATATTGTCATACAAACTACACAGTGGTTCTAAATTATAGAACATGAGGGAGACTTCTTCTGATTTTGAAGCATGAGTACCCTGATAAGTCACAAATTTCAGTTCAATGTCTCTTTTATCTATTTTAAAGCAAACCACATTCTCCAGCCATATCTGAAGTTTGAAAATAGGACTAAATATTGGAGATCTACAGGATTAATAAATTATAATGATATTATTTTGAAGTCGATATCAAGTCTGGCCCTGTGCTTACCATAGCTTGAGCCTAATTGTTTTTCTAAGTTTTATAAAGTCTCATAAGTTTTATATATTTTGTCTGAAGGGAAATTGTCAGATAGAATTGAGAATTAGAATTAGACAGGCGACACATACAAGTAGTCACATCTAAAATGACTTTGCTTCAAGTGAGAAAACATGTCTCCGTAATACCCACACTGTAGTCTCTCATATCCCTAAATTCACAAAGACTTACTTTATCAGAGAACGAATGTAAAAGAAAAGTGTATTAGTCAGTGTTCTCTAGAGGGACTGAACTAATAGGATATATATATATATGTGTGTGTGTGTGTGTGTGTGTGTACACATACACACACACACAAAGGGGGAATTAAGTATTAACTCACATGATCACAAGGTCCCACAATAGGCCATCTGCAAGCTGAAGATCAAGGAGAGCCACTCTGAGTCCCAAAACTGAGGAACTTGGAGTCCGACGTTCGAGGAGGAAGCATCCAGCACAGGAGAAGGATGTAGCCTGGGAGGCTAGGCCCATCTAGTCTTTTCACATTTTTCTGCCTGCTTTATATTCTAGCTGCGTTGGCAGCTGATTAGATGGTGCCCACCCAGATTGAAGGTGGGTCTGCCTTTCCCAGCCCACTGACTCAAATGTTAATCTCTTTTGGCAACACCCTCACAGACAAAACCAGGATCAATACTTTGTATCCTTCAGTCAAATAAAGTTGACACTCAGTATTAACCATCACAAAAAGAGAGAGAGCAGGAATCTGAAAGAAGGAAAGGAGCAAAAATGGCAGTAACAGCAAGACTGAGAGAGCATTAAAATAAACATGGGAGTCAAAGATTTTGGAGAAGAACAACAAAATTTTGGATTCTGTAAAGAATACAAAGCTATGAAACGGACACTACTGCTGGATTACAGCTTATTTTGTTCATCTATAAAATGAGATTTATTTGATCAGTATCCTTCAGGATCTAAACTTACCTAGAGAGAAGACATATGGAAAAAAATGGAGCTACCTATCACCCTTGTTTACAAGCAGTTCTACTCCAAAGCCACCTCAACCTTCAGCATAGTTACCTTCTCCATTAATCTCTAACCTTTGTCCAGGTACTTGGAGAGAAGTAGGGGAAACAGGCAGCAAAGGTTTTAAGTTTGCATTATCTGTCAACACTAAAGCACTTCCAGTCAAAAGGAAAAAATCTGACAAGCATGACCAACTGTTACAGAAGATTAAAAAGGGAGCTCAGATGATGATAATTTGGGTTGTATATAGATATATTTATCCAAACTTTAATACAGAATTATTCTTTCTGTACAAATATTTTCACAATTTGCTCTCGGATCTGCTTGGTCCTGACTCCATAAATGACAGGGTTAAGGGCAGGTGGGACAACCACATACAGGTTAGCCAAAAGAATATGGATATAGTGGGGAATGTTTTGGCCAAAACGATGTGTCATAAAAGAAAAAAATGCTGGTGTGTAAAAGCACAGCATAACACAGACATGAGAACCACAGGTATTGAAGGCCTTTAGTCGGACATCTTGAGAGGGAAGGCGAAAAACAGCTCTAAGGATAAGCACATAGGAAGAGGCAATTAAGATCACATCCACAATAATATAAGAAATCACCATGAGCCCATAGATTATGTTGATCTTAATGGGTGCACAGGCCAACCCGGCCAGACCCCTGTGCTCACAGTATGTGTGAGGTACGATGTTATGCCCACAGAATGGCAGACGCAGAATGAGAAACACAAATGGGGTTACAAGAACTAAATTTCTTCCAACAACCACAGAAGCTAGGATACTGATGGTTTTATTGGTGAGGATCATGGTGTACTGGAGAGGGTTGCAGATGGCAACAAAGCGGTCATAAGCCATGACCACCAACAGAACAGTCTCCATGCCTGTAAACATGTGAATAAAGAACATCTGAAGAAGGCATCCCCCAAAGCTGATCTCTTGGAGGTTGAACCAGAAGATTCCTAGCATTTTGGGGATAGTGGATGTGGACAGACCCAGATCAATCATAGACAACATGGCCAGGAAGTAGAACATGGGCTGGTGTAGACTATGTTCAGTTTTGATCACAAAGAGAATGGTCATATTCCCCACAATGGCAATCAGGTACACAATACAGAATGGGAAAGAAATCCAGATATGTAAAGTGTCCAGTCCTGGTATTCCTAGCAGGAGGAAGAAGGGGGGATAGAAGTGGGTGTCATTGATAGAAGGCATTCTCCCAGCAAGTGTCACTGAATTCCTAAGTATGAAGGATCTCACTTTCTTTAAGGTCCTCTCTTGTCAAGTTCCTGAAGAAACAGAAAGACTCTTATCAGTGTGCTAGAGGTAATGGTATAGGTGGTTAATTTACAAACATTCAAGACTCACTTCTTTCCAGAGGATAATCGAGGAAGCCTCTCAACACAGATTATTGTTCTGAGATCCATCATAGGCAATATTGCTTATGGCTTTATGTTTTGTAATCTTTGAGATATTTGAAAGAATGGGAAAAATTTCATAATGCAATGCATATTTATATTACGGCATTCCCTTCCATTACTTTCCTAAGTAGCCCTTCTTTACTTTTTGGGAAATCACCATTCCATGTGTTCTTTGAAGTGTGGTCTTGAGATCTCTGGGGTTTTCTAAGTACCTTTCCAGAAGTTCACAAGCTCAAAACTATTTTTATAATAGAAAATTTTTAGCCATTCTCACTCTCATTCTCTCATAAGTACATAGTGAAATTTTCCAGAGGTTATATGAGGTGCTACCATAACAGATTAAATGAAATTGTAAATGATGTTGTGAGATTTCAGCTCTATTATCTTAACTTAGACAATAAAAATATTTGCAAAGGAAAATGATACCATTTTTACAACTAATTTCTTGAAAAACAGTGATTTTAACAAAAAGTACCAAATTATGTTTTATATAATAGTTTGTTAATATTATTTTAATATTAAATATTTAAATTTTGCTCTAATGTCTAATAATATAAATATTATGGATGTAATTCAGAGAAACTAAAATTCTGAGTATCTCAATAGTTTCTAGATGAGACAAAGATTCCTAGTACAAAGGAGAAGTACTACTGTCTACCACTTTCTATGTTTTATTATAATATAAACGTAAGGATCTTATACAGTGACATCACATAAGTGTAGTTAATCAGTCTCTGTTAGAACTTTCCTGGTTCTAACTCAGCTAAACTGATAAGTGCATTTCTATTATGGATTAATTACTAATTTTGATGCTTCTAAATCTTCATGAACAATCCAGTTTCTCCAAGATCCTGTCATTCTGATTCCCTGATATCCTTCCAATAAAATGCCTTGTGTGTATCTGCCAAATTATGTTTATCTTCCTTACAATCTATAACATCAGTTAGTAACATAAAAAAAATTCCCATGTCCCAAAATTGTGCCTACCTTCAGGTGTAAACAGATCAAATATTTAGCAAATTTTAATATTGAAATTAAAATGTTTTAAGGACTCTTCATTGATTCCTTGACAATAACAAGGAAAATTACCTTATTTTAACTTTGCATCCCTAAAGACACTGTACAACTCTGTAGCAACTAATGTAACCTGGATTGTATAATATTTATGCATGTACTGGCCTTATTTCTACAAAGAGAATAGCTGCAACTAAGAGTTGAGAACCAGGGGTAATCATTGTAATACTCTCAAAACTGCCACATGAATGTTGGTTCCCAGTTGTTCAGCATTTAATTGAATCAGAGTTGGGGTTTGTAATAAGTGTGCTTTTGTTTGTGTGTGAGTGTGTGTGACAGAGACAGAGAGTGAGAGAGAGAGAGAGAGAGAGAGACGGAGAAGGTTGGAGAGATAGGAGTAGAGAGAGAAATCATGTTTTATTATGTACGTGGCTGCATACATCAGTTGTCCTGTAACTTTGCCAGGTAGCTATTTTACAGCAGAAGTACACAAGCAAAGGAGTTAATAATTCCCCATTCTGTATGAGAAGAACAAGAGCATTTCTTGGTCCCCGAGAAGCTGAGAGAAAATTGAAAAAAGAACATAATGTTTGCCAGTATTGAGGAAAAGATGCCAGGCTGAAAAATCAGAGGGCAGTGGTTTTTGTGATTTCACCTGGGAGAGTCTGAGGAAATAGCTAGGATGATGTGTTGTGAGATTTACAGTCCAGAGTCAGCCCAATCTTAAGGGTGGCTGTGTCTCAACATGATACTTTGCCAGCTGAGAAAAACATTCCCAGGGAGATGGCAAAGAGGACGCTTCTCTGACAGTAAAATTCAAAGCTGCCAGCACATCCACCCTCTCACAGTTTTACCTGAATTCTTGCCTTCTTTCTGTTATAACTATATGCCACAGTAGCAGACAGTGTATGGCCAATAACCTCAAGATCATTTTTTGAGGGCAAATTATTAAGTTTGTTCTTCTCTAGATATGCACATTGACAAAGATCCCTACTGGAGTCCATCTGAAAAGACAAATTCATAACAATTAGCAATTTTTCTCTTATTGTGCTCACCAAAGTTCACATTTTGAACTTGTGATTTTTTTTACTTTGTTGGATTTTTATTTTTTTGCTGACTGTAGTAGAATATTACAGAAGTCTTCTGTGGACCTTAAAACTTTTCAGACATGGCTGGAAAACCTGCTAAACCATTTACTTGCTTGAGACCCTTGGACAGATTCTTTAACCAGATAGATCAGTTTTTTTTTCTCCTGTAAAAATGAGATGATAAATTATAACTAATGTGGTTTATTTTAATGATAAATAAGACCAATGTTTGTATAGGTGCTAGTGCATAGTGTATCCTCAACAAATTATACTTACTTATTTTATTAATGCTCCCAAATATTTTGTTTATTTAAATGCAAGATAGCTAAAATAATTCACCTGTTAGCAGAAAGAAGTTATTTCATTGTAAAAAGTCCAAATTATGTCACAGTTTGGCCTAAGATTAGATAAAGGAGGAATGGCTCAGAAGAGGCCAAAGTGAAGAAATGGCACAGAGTCAGACATTAATATTTATGTCTAGATTTTTATGGATACAAATATGACCCAATACTGCTCATTTAGAAAAGAAACAATTTTCTCCTCTTATTCTTACAGCTTTCCCAATCTTGGTGAGACCAAAGCAGTTGATGAATGGATAAAGTGGATAAATACCTTCATTCAGGCTCTTCCATAACTGTGCCATTGGCGGTTCAGTCCGGCTGATCTAGCAGGGGTATTGTGCTTACAATAAAAATGGCTTGGGGATGGTTCCATAAAGTAGTAGGGATATAGGGAACCAAGTTACAACTGGCAACATTAAATTCACTCAGACAATGAGGGAAACAGAGAATAAAACTTTACAGACCAAATATGTTAATGCCTATGTAATTGTATTTGAATATTGACATGTGATACCCACCCACCACCTTAAATAAACACATACAAAAGAAGTCTGCAATAACATCCTTTTGTCTTATTGACAACAAGTATGGCCATGCTACTATATGACTGTATTTGTGGTGTTTCGGCTGTGAACAGTGTACTCTGTGAGAATGTGTGTGTATGAGTGTATGTGTGTGTAAGAGAGAGGGGCAGAGAGAAAGGGGGGAGAGAGAGAGATACACAGACAGAAATTCTGTGCATTACTAATTGGTACACCACTGCCCTCACCAATCCCATGTGCTCTGTTGTGTTCCTCTGTGAAGAAAATGGTGCAATGGTGCTTAGGATAATTCCTCAGAAAAGTGGAAGAATCTGGCCTCTCTATCCTCATTTGCCCTCTTCTTCTCTCCTGTGTATCTTTTCACTTCTCCTGCACAAGCATTCTTACCTCTGTAATATTTCTTCTCCCAGCCCTCACTTGGAGCAGAATTGGAGCATGAGTCCAGGTTCTTAAAGACCGTGATTAGGTTCCCCTTGAAGCCTCTGAGCAACAAGCCTGCTTGGTAAAGTGGAGGCAACTTTATAGTGAGTGAGAGCATCCCTATGACCAGGCATGTCCCAGAATCCCCGAGCCTAGTCTTCGGAATCCTCTGGGCAGAAACATGGACTCGAGGGTCATTAAGTCATAGTAAGTCTTTATTCCTCTTCACTGCATCTGCAGAGAAACACCATGCTAGATATAACTCCTTAGCTCAGGGGAGCAGATGTGTTATGAAAGGATGGGAAGGGAGCTATCCTGAAGAGAGAGGAATCTGTTTGGGGAATGATGTTAATTCCGCTTCCCTCAGGAGCCATGAAAGCATTGATTTTGGACCATTAACTCTTCACAGTGTGACCATGAAACTGTTCTCAGCAACTTTTCTGTTTTAATATGTTTGTGTAAATCCTGATGTAGTTTCACAGCTGTTACAATTGAGGCTTCAAAAGATGAAGGAGAAGACATCTCAAATAGACAAATTAGACTCTGTGGTACAACTCTGTTTATTGGCAGTGTGCATGCCTGCAGATAATAGCAGCAACTTTCTTCCAACCCACCAAGATTCTCCTTCTCAGTCTATAACTAATGGTGAACAGATAGTCTTTGAAGAGAGGCTTTCATGTGTTTCAGCTCTTTTGGCAGAAAGTGAAGAAAATTCTACGTTTTCCTTATAAAACATATTATATTGTCCCTTCCAGCCAGAGCAGAGGTAGTGTTTCCTGAGAGGCTCCCTTCCTGAATGATGACATAGTAGACCCGATAGTACTACCAGGACATGCTGCAGAGCCTGGTTTTCCTGACTATAGTTAGAAATAGACTGAGGGAAAAATAAGTACATTAGACAATTAGTTGGTATTTTTTGCCTCCTAAGTTCAGACTATTTTGAGTTGTTAGCACAGAAACAGCAATGTCGTCTGTGGTCCAAGAGAGATTCTGGTTTGATCTGCCACGTTCTTGTGTTCATTACTTCTCTTTTGATTAATGAGAAAGTAACTCCTGAGGTTCCTGTTTCTCCCTCATTGTGTCCATCTTCCTTACTGTATCCACATTTATCTTCCCAAATCAAGTCTGACTCTATCCAATTTCTGCTTAAAATTCCTTCCCATGACCCCTACATTCTCCATTGTATACTGTAGACTTTATGTAATAAGGGGCAAACACCATTGTTGCCAAAGTCCTTCACTCAATACCCAATCAACTTTTTATACTTTCATTATACTACATGACTCCCGAACACACATCTTGTCTTTGATAATCAAAAGTCCTCCATATGAAATAACTTCATCTCATTTCTACTTTGCTTCAGCACTTTCTCAATTGTCCTATACTTCTTAATGACCTTTCATATGAATCAATCTGATATAATCTTTGTGTCTTTTGTATTTTCACATCAGTGTGTGCCACTATTATAACAGGCAAATTTTATTTTGTGTTGGTTTTGTGTTTTCTGTCTTCCATTATTTTATGGATTGATATTAGAGTGATGTTTAAGTCAACTTTATCCTTCAGTTCACTTAGTATAGTGCTTTGATTGTAGGAGGTGTTCTGGCATTGAATTACATTATTTTTAAAACATAAAAATTCTAGTTCTGTTAGGGTCATATCATATAATCATATATCTCCTAATTGGTCACTGTACCTACCCCTCTCCTATTCCCAAGACTATTTCACTGTGACTTCTAGAATCAATTTTTTATGAGCAGTGATATTATTTTTGGCCTTAAACCACTTCTGATGTTCTGTTTCTCTTCCTTTTGAAACAGAAACCCAGCTGTTCCCTGAGGACATTACTTCTGAAAAGTGTTGAAGGATTGGATATATTTTCCCACTATTTTCACTGTTTCCTCATGCCAAATAGCCTAAAGGCCTAGAGACTTTTTGTCTTGGACTTTTGACAGTTTGACATTATAATGCCTCGGGGAGGACCTTCTTGAGTTGAATTTACATAGGGGATTTTGAGCTTTCGGATCTGGATATCTACATCTCTCTTCATATTTGGAAAGTTTTCAGCTGTTATTTTATTAAATAGGTTTCCTTTGTCCTTTTCTTTCTCTTCTCCTTCTAGAATTCTCATAATACAAATATTTGTTTACTTAATGGCATCCCATTAAGGAACACCATTATTTCTTTACTTTTTTAAATCCTTCTTTTGTTTTTCTTTGACTTATTTCAAACAACCTGTCAACAGATTCTTCTGCTTGACCAAGTCTGCTATTGAATCTCTCTATTGTAACTTGAAAACTTATTCATTGAATTCTTCAGCTACAGGATTTCTATTTGATTTTTATGATTTTTATCTTCTGTTGAATTTCTCATTTGTTTCATGAATTGTTTTCCTGATTTTATTGAATTGTCTATGCTGTATATTCTTGTATTTTATTGAGTCTTCTCAGCATCATTATTTTGATTTTTTTTCTTTGGCAATTTGTTGATTTTCTTTTTACTGGAGTCTGTTACTACAGTGTTATGTTCCTTTGGTGGTATCATATGTCTTTGCCTTTTCATGTTTCTTGTGTCTCTATATTGATGCCTGTGTATCTGCTTATCTCCAAACTTTCCAGAGTGGTTTTTATACAGGACAACTATCACCTGCAGTTGGGTTTTAGTGTGCCAGTTGGGAAGAGTGTGGTGACTCTGTTTCCAGATGGGTGTAGCATAGTCTCCGTGCAGCTTCCTGAGCTGAGTTTAATGTCAGCAATAACTGTGGGTGCCTCAGTGGCTTAGACTGTAGAAGTTTGTAGTGGCACAGCAGTAGTGGTGGCACAATTTGTTTATGTCCTTAGTGTCAAGGGCTTTTGGGGTCCTCTTATTTTTAATTTTTCCCGCAGTGAGGGGACTCAGCTGACAGAATCCCTCAGATTTGACATGGCCTATAAGCAGCTGCAGCAGCGCTGGGCTCGAAGTACAGTGGCTTGGAGTGGCTGTGGAGCCAGGGTTCTAGGCTCAGGGTCTCACAAATGAGCACTCCTCTCCTTCAGTTACTTTCATTAAAATGTAATTATTAATTCATTGTTCTGGCTATCGGTGTGAGGCAACTAAGAGCTGGAACATTTTAGTAGTCCATCTTGCTCACATTGTCAAGATTAACCCCTTGATGAGAGGATATTAACTATCACATTGAAAGGGCAGTGACATAGAGGCAATTATTTTTCAATATATAATTGATTTACTTTGGCTATTCATTTGATCTTGCTTCATTTATTAAAAAGCTGTTTGTCATAAATTATACATTTATACATGTGTATTTTTGTGTTTGGACTGTGTGGTTCTGCTTTTTGTCTGTTCTTGTACAAGTATTTCACAGTTTTCATAAGTGATACTATAAAATAAATTATGGAATATAATAACATAAATCCTAAAATTTTGTTCTTCAGGATTTCCAGCCAATTTCTTTTAAAATGTTTATAACACTTTGAAAACAAAAACAAGAGGACAAATAAGCAAACAAATTCATTAAAATATTTATTGCATTGAATATATAGTTCAATTTTAGAGAATGTTTTTAAAAGGTTATTGATTATTCCAAATCATGAACTAGGTATATCTTTTCATGTATTTATGTATTTAAAAAGTTCCTTTGAAGGATTATTATGCTTTTATTTTAGAAGTTTTGCATATCATTTGTTAGAGTTAGGTCAAAGCATTTGATGTTCTGTGATGCCATTTATTTATTTATTTATTTATTTTATTTATTTATTTTTATTATACTTTAAGTTTTAGGGTACATGTGCACAATGTGCAGGTTTGTTACATATGTATAAATGTGCCATGATTGTGTGCTGCACCCATTAACTCATCATTTAACATTAGGTATATCTCCTAATGCTATCCCTCCCCGCTGCCCCCACCCCACAATAGGCCCCGGTGTGTGACGTTCCGCTTCCTGTGTCCATGTGTTTTCATTGTTCAATTCCCACCTATGAGTGAGAACATGCAGTGTTTGGTTTTTTTGTCCTTGCGATAGTTTGCTGAGAATGATGGTTTCCAGCTTCATCCATGTCCCTACAAAGGACATGAACTCATCATTTTTATGGCTGCATAGTATTCCATGGTGTATATGTGCCACATTTTCTTCATCCAGTCTATCATTGTTGGACATTTGGCTTGGTTCCAAGTCTTTGCTATTGTGAATAGTGCCGCAATAAACATACGTGTGCATGTGTCTTTATAGCAGCATGATTTATAATCCTTTGGGTATGTACCCAGTAATGGGATTGCTGGGTCAAATGGTATTTCTAGTTCTAGATCCCTGAGGAATCGCCACACTGACTTCCACAATGGTTGAACTAGTTTACAGTGCCACCAACAGTGTAAAAGTGTTCCTATTTCTCCACATCCTCTCCAGCACCTGTTGTTTCCTGACTTTTTAATGATCGATGCCATTTAAAAATATATAATTTTCAAGATTTTAATTTATAAATTTTTTATTAGTATATAAAAATATAATTTAAAAAATTTTATTATTATTTTTTATAGAAACAGGGTCTCCATAAGTTGCCTAGGCTGGTCTTGAAATCCTGGGCTTAAGTAACCCTCCTGCATATGGCCAAAATTGACATAAACAACACATTCATGGTTTTCAAAAATGGCAATAGAAAATAAAAAATGGTAGTCTAAGGTTCATTTTAAAGACCTGAATGACCTAAGTGGAATATTGTTCAAGCGAGATAAGGTCAAATTCAATTTTGAATATTACTACCACAATCATTTCACCCAATTCTATGACATTCCTAGTGATTTTTTTTTACTAATTTAGCATACAAAATACATGCAAACTCAATGGGAAGAGTTAATATCAAAGTAACTAAAAAAAAAAAAATGTCCACAAGTTTTAATAATCATCAATTTAATTTCACATATATAGTTTAATATTCTTTATTCCTTAAAGTAATGAGGTGTCAACTACTCACCTGATAAAGCTATTTTATGACTGGGTATTTATTATAAAATACTGTATAAATTTCTGTGTCGAGGTATTTTTGAGCGTATTTATTTCTGACATAGATACAAGTTTCAAAAGGTGAAATAAAAATAAAGAAGGAGAGAATAATAAAGAAAATTTCTACATTTGAAAAATTATTTAAGGCTTAATATTGACAGTTTCAATAGAGGCCCAGTAGGGACTTAGGTACTACTGTTTGGTAGAAATTGTGAACACAAAAAATAAAAAGAAAATCTTAAACCATTTCACAGAAAAAGAGTTGAGAGAAAGAGAATAAAAGTTCAAGTGAGAGAGACAGAGAAAAGAGCATAGATTAAAGGGAACATAATCTGACTGGGATCCGAAATCTCAAATGCAAAAGTGAATGTTAAAAAAATCATGTCCAAAAAAAATAATTTTGCACTTGGAATTCAATGCTCATTCAATCCATTATTCATATCTGAGAGAAAAATGAAGACATTTTCAGTGAATTAAAGTGATCCTCCTTGAAACTTACTTTTATATGGCATATTCTGTGTTAGGGGTCAATAGATAACATTATTGCAAATACACACTCAGACATGCATAAACACACATACATCTAGCAATTGCTGCCAATATGTTTTTAAACATACACGCATACATACATATGTATAAATAAATAAATATACACACACATCTGTATAAAATATATATATGTATAAAATTGATGGTCCATTTTGGCAAAAACAATTTATTAATTTTATCACAAATTTTGTCTTTTTAGGACTTACACTTTTATAACCTGAAATTCTCTCCCATTCAATCAATTTTTAGTAAAGAGACTTTCTACCCGCTCCTGGATTTGCTTGGTCCTAACTCCATAAATGACTGGGTTAAGAGCAGGGGGAATGACTATATATAGAGATTAGCCAGGAGAATATGGATATACTGTGGGATGCCATGACCAAAGCGATGAGTGAGAAAGGAGAAGAGAGCTGGGCCAAAAAATGCTAAGATGACACAGATATGGGAGCTACAGGTATTAAGAGCCTTCAGGTGGGCCTCTTGGGAAGGGAGGTGAAAGACTGTGCATAAAATTCTAGCATAGGAGATGATGATAAGAAACATATCCAGAAACAAGATAAAAATATTCCCAAGACCATGAGAGACATTGACACTGATGCTGGCACAAGCCAGACGAGCCACTCCCATGTGCTCACAATAGGTATAAGGGATGATTCTATGTCCACAGTAAGGCAGCCTCATGAGGAGAAAAATGATGGGAGCAATCATACATAAGCTTCTAAGAACCACAACCATAGCAATCACACCAGTAATTCTGTTGGTGAGGATCTTGGTCTACCTGAAGGGGTTGCAAATAGCCACATAGCGATCAAATCCCATGACAAGAAGTACAATGCTCTCCATGACTGCAAAAAAAATGGATAAAAAAGACTTGAGCAACACAGCACCCAAAGCACAACTCCTGAAGGCTGAACCAGAAGATGCCCAACATCTTGGGGATAGTAGATGTAGAAAGACTCAGGTCATGACTGACAGCATGGCCAGAAAGTAGAACATGGGTTGGTGAAGGTTTTTATCAGTCCAGATAACAAATAGAATGATAAGATTTCCAACAAGAGCAATCAGATATACAACACAGAAGGGAAAGCCTAGCCAGCGTTGTGCAGCTTCCAATCCTGGAATTCCTAACCAACAGGAAGGAAGAGAGGTGGGGTTCAGTGACATTGGGAGAAGACATTCTTCTGCCAACTGCTAGCGGCCATGGCTTTAAAAGTTCTTTTCAGTTCCCGTCGGGCAATTCATCGAGACTTAATTGAGATCTAAAACAAATAAATAAACAAATCCTCAAACAAAGGATTGATATTAAGAATACCTTTCTGTAAAGGCCTTTGTTTTTTTCTCCTTCTTTTCATTTTCCATACATAATCCTAGTATCACTCCTTACCCGCACCATGAATGTGAGAAGCTGAACTGCCAAGTAGAAGCTTGAACTATGTCTCTCCTAAAATTTTGAGTTCAGAGTAAATAAATGTACTTATTCCCTTCTTTCTCAAGATATAGACACTATGAGTTGATGAAAATAAAATTTATGATAATAAGAACCACAGTAATAATAGCTATTATTGATTAGATATCTACTATTTTTCAGTCTTTGCATCTACTGCTACTTACATATATTATCTCATTTAGTTCTCGCCAAATTTCATGACACAAGTTCTACTGGTATCTGATTTTATGGAACAGCAAAGTTTTGCTAAGTTAAGTAATTTCCCATCATTTACAGCTAATAGGTAGGAAATTCAAAATTTGAAACTAGGTTGAAATTCAGATATGTAACATTAATCTGGCTCTATATTTGCAATATTTGCTGTCAGGTATAGTGAAAGGAGAAAGAAAAGAAAGAAAAGTAAGGTATGAGGAAAAATACGAGAATTTAGAAGAGCCAAAACTTCTTCAAAGAAGAAAAAATCTGCAGGATTTACACTATCAGACACTGAGTCTTCTTATAAAGTGATGATAATTTTAACAGTGTTTTATTAGAAAAAAAACACAATACAACAGAATTGAGTCAAGAAGCAGATCCACACCTTTTCTAGGGTCTAGGTATCTAGAAGGAAGGTATCCCTTAGTGGGAATTTAAAGTAAATTGGTAAGGGAGAATGATTATCTGTGAAGGTTTTCCACCATATGAAGTTCTTTTACAAGAGCCTATTGACCTTGCTAACAGTTTAAAGAAATGTGACATCAAATTAGATTAGCCTGGAGCTCTCTAAACTTCAAAACTTAAGGGTACAGTCCCGAAGACTACCCTCACTTCTGTCATTAACTGCAATTTCAGAGGTTTTCCAAAACCACCCTCAGCTTCAATAATTCACTAGAAGTACTTATAGAACTCACTGAAAGCTATTATGTTCATGGTTACAGTTTATTACAGGAAAAGGACACAGATTAAAATTAGACAAATAAAGAGATGCTTAGAAAAGAAACTGAGGTGTCCAAATCTGAAGAATTTGTTGTCCTTTCATGGAGTAAACATGCATTACTCTTATGGCATTAATGTGTGACAATATGCATGAAGTCATATTGCCAACTAGGGAAATTCTCCCAAGCTTTGGTGTTCAGAGTTTTTATTGGGATTTCATTATATAGGTATGATGGCTGGATTGATTGCAAATGTGGTTGAACTCCGTCTCCAGGTTTACTGGTGTCACATGACCCAAAGTCCCCACACTAAGTCATATTGTTGATCTTTATGACATGGCCAGTCCCTACCCTCAGATCTAGTGTGACCAATCCCCAGTCTAATAAACAAAGACTCTCTTATTAGGTATTGTGTATATTTCCTTCTAGAAGCCAGGAGCAAAGGACAGACCTCTCTCTGGGTAAAGTCAAATTTTTTAGCACACATCTGCTTATTTAGTTCCAAATATATTATTTACTACTGCTATATGTGAGCTTTTTACCTCATGTCTTATATGGGCCTTGGGCTCAGTTATAAATTCAGGTTTCTTAATAATCAAATTTGAGTTCAGTTAAATCCATTTGAAATATGAAGCATGAAGAAAGACCAACAGCTAATCACCATATTGTATCCTTTTCTATAACAGGGTACATTCATAGTCTTTCTAAGTATAAACAAATTCAAGCTCATTAAGCAATTCTTCTTTGCCTTCTATGGAATTTTGTCACTCTCTGTATCACTCACTATCTCATTATAAGGCATTTTGTGTAGGAAAAAGAAGCAAAAGCACAGAATTTTTAATATTATTGGCACTGTGACATGGAATAGAGTATTGATTCTGTTATTTCTGGCTTTCTGACTTTACATAAGTTACACTATGTTCAGAGTCTAAGTTTCTTCTAGAAATAAGCATAGTAATTTCTACATGATATTATTATCAAGTGGGATAAATAAAGTCACATATGCGTGAAATATTGAAGGTGTCTAGCAAATATTTTTCTCCCCAATATCTTCCCGTTTTTTTTATCTTACCTCTTCTTAGACTGCTGATATGTACTATTTTATTCTCCACCCCGATTCTCCAGGTCTTAACTCAATTTCTGTTAATTCAAATTCCAATCTTAAGTATATATTACACAAAGTTGCTGATTGGAAACCCTTACCAAGATTTCTTCCTCTGTCTTAAGGAGTCAAGTAACAACTATGCATTCAGTTCTTGAAATATATATAAATGGTTTAGCATAGAGCTTCAGTGCACCCTGAAAAATGTTAACGAAATGTCTGTGTGTGTTTGCTGGCGCAGAAGAGTTTTAATAAAGTCTCCAAGTGCCACAGTGTCTGAGACACTGAGGTTAAAATGAAGAGTAGTTCCCCTTTGTTATTGCACCAGATGAAGGGAAGCTCTAGGGAGATCTCAGTGAACCCTGTGCCCATTACTTGTTCAATTTCCAGTTCTTGTTATTTCAGATAATATTTATAACAGGTCTCATTTTATCTTTTTCTCTCCTTCCTTATTTCTTATCTTCCTGTCTTTCATTTTATGAGTTGCTTGGATTATTCCTTTGGGCTCTGTTGGGTATCCAGTATAACCAGCAACTCTTTACTTACATTGACAAAATTCATATAACATAAAATTTACCATTTTATATATTTTGAAGTTTACAATCCAGTGGCACTTAGAGCATTTACAATTTTGGCAACTATCACCACTATCTCGCTTCAGAATATTCATCCCTCCAAAAGTGAACCCTGTACCCATTAAGCAGTCACTCCCCATTCTTTTCTTCTTCCAGCCCCTGAAAACCAGTAATCTACTTTCTATTTCTGTGCATTTTCTTTACCAATTTATTATGGATATTTCATGTAAATGAGATCATGCAATATGTAGGCTTTTGTGTCTGCTTTCTTTCACCTATCATGATTTCAAATTGCATCTGTGTTGCAGCATTTATCAGTACGTCATTTCTTTTTATGGCTAAATAAAATTCCATTGTATGGATATATCACACGTTTATACATTCATCAAGTGATGGATATTGGGTTGTTTCGATCTTTCGGCTTTTGTCAATAATACTGCTATGAACATTCTTGTTTTTTTGTTTTTTTTTTTTAACACCTGTTTTCAATTCCTTGTTTTTTTTTTTGGTTTTTTTTTTTTTGGTTTTTTTTTTTGAGATGGAGTCTTGCTCTGTTGCCCAGGCTGGAGTGCAGTGGCATGATCTTTGCTCACTGAAAGCTCTGCCCCTCAGGTTCATGCCATTCTCCTGCTTCAGCCTCCTGAGTAGCTGGGACTACAGGCACCTGCCACCACACCCGGTTAATTTTTTTGTATTTTTACTAGAGACGGGGTTTCACCTTGTTCGCCAGAATGGTCTCGATCTCCTGACCTTGTGATCTGCCCGCCTTCGCCTCCCAAAGTGCTGGGATTACAGGTGTGAGCTACTGCGCCCGGCCTCAATTCTTTGAGTACATTTTAAGAAGTAGAAATCTTGGGTCTTATGGTAATTCTACATTTAACTTTCCCTGAAAGTTCCAAACTATTCCATAGTGACCACATCAATTTACATTCTTGCCAGCAATGTATGAGTGTTTCCATTTATCACATCCTCTCTAACACATGCCATTTTCCATGTTTAAAATTATTATAGTAATCATAGTAGATGTCCAATGATGTGTCATTGTCTTTTTGATTTTCATTTCCCCAGTGACTGATGATATTGAGCATCTTTGCCTGGGCACATTGGCCATTTGTATATCTTTAAATAAATGCCTATTGAAGTGGTTTGCCCATTTTAAAATTGTTTTTACAATTTTTTTGGTCGCATTGTATGAGTCCTTCTTTGTATATTCTGTATACTAAACTCTTAACAGATATGTGATTTTCAAATATTTTCTCCCATTCTATGAGTTGTCTTTTCAATCTCTTTACAGTGTTATTTAATTCACAAAAGTTTTTGATCTTAATGCTTCATTCACTAATTTATAACTCATTGCTCTGTTTTTGTTGCCCTATGTAAGAAATCAAATCTGAAGTCATGACATACCCTATGTTTTATTCTAAGAGTTTCATTGTTTTAGTTATATTTAAGTTTTTGATTCATTTTAATTTTTGTATATACATAGTGTTATTTAAGGGTGCAACTTCAATTTTTTTTTTTTTTTTTTTTGAGATGGAGCCTTGCTCTGTTGTCAGGCTGGAGTGCAGTGGTGCAATCTCAGCTCACTGCAAGCTCCACCTCCTGCGTTCAAGCAATTCCCCTGCCTCAGCCTCCCAAGTAGCTGGGATTACAGGCACACACCACCACACCTGGCTAATATTTTGTATTTTAGTAGAGATGAGGTTTCACTATGTTGGCCAAGATAGTCTCAATCTCCTGACCTCGTGATCCGCCCTCTACAGCATCCCAAAGTGCTGGGATTACAGGCATGAGCTACCGCACCTCAGCCAACTTCCCTCTTTTATCATGTGCATATCCAGTTGTCCTGGCACAATTGTTTTAAAGTTTTATTAAATTTTTAGTTGATAAATAATAATGGTATATATTATGGGGTGAATTGTGATGTTTTGATATATATGTATGTTGTAGAATTATCAAATCATGATAATTAGCATATCTGTCACCCAAATATTTATCATTTCCTTGTGGTGACAAAAGGCCTTTGACAAAATTCAACAACGCTTCATGCTAAAAACTCTCAATAAATTAGGTATTGATGGGACGTATCTCAGAATAATAAGAGCTATCTATGACAAACCCACAGCCAATATCATACTGAATGGACAAAAACTGGAAGCATTCCCTTTGAAAACTGGCACAAGACAGGGATGCCCTCTCCCACTACTCCTATTCAACATAGTGTTGGAAGTTCTGGCCAGGGCAGTGAGGCAGGAGAAGGAAATAAAGGGTATTCAATTAGGAAAAGAGGAAGTCAAATCGTCCCTGTTTGCAGATGACATGATTGTATATTTAGAAAACCCCATCATCTCAGCCCAAAATCTCCTTAAGCTGATAAGCAACTTCAGCAAAGTCTCAGGATACAAAATCAATGTGAAAAAATCACAAGCATTCTTATACACCAATAACAGACAAACAGGGTGCCAAATCATGAGTGAACTCCCATTCACAATTGCTTCAAAGAGAATAAAATACCTAGGAATCCAACATACAAGGGACGTGAAGGACCTCTTCAAGGAGAACTACAAACCACTGCTCAATGAAATAAAAGAGGATACAAACAAATGGAAGAACATTCCATGCTCATGGGTAGGAAGAATCAATATCGTGAAAATGGCCATACTGCCCAAGGTAATTTATAGATTCAATGCCATCCCCATCAAGCTACCAATGACTTTCTTCACAGAATTGGAAAAAACTACTTTAAAGTTCATATGGAACCAGAAAAGAGCCTGCATTACCAAGTCAATCCTAAGCCAAAAGAAGAAAGCTGGAGGCATCAGGCTACGTGACTTCAAACTATGCTACAAGGCTACAGTAACCAAAACAGCATGGTACTGGTACCAAAACAGAGATATAGACCAATGAAACAGAACAGAGCCCTCAGAAATAATGCCATATATCTACAACTATCTGGTCTTTGACAAACCTGACAGAAACAAGAAATGGGGAAAGGATTCCCCATTTAATAAATGGTGCTGGGAAAACTGGCTAGCCATATGTAGAAAGCTGAAACTGGATCCCTTCCTTACACCTTATACTAAAATCAATTCAAGATGGATTAAAGACTTAAATGTTAGACGTAAAACCATAAAAACCCTAGAAGAAAACCTAGGCAATATCATTCAGGACATAGGCATGGGCAAGGACTTCATGTCTAAAACACCAAAAGCAATGGCAACAAAAGCCAAAATTGACAAATGGGATCTAATTAAACTAAAGAGCTTCTGCACAGCAAAAGAAGCCACCATCAGAGTGAACAGGCAACCTACAGAATGGGAGAAAATTTTTGCAACCTACTCATCTGACAAAGGGCTAATATCCAGAATCTACAATGAACTCAAACAAATTTACAAGAAAAAAACAAATAACCCCATCAACAAGTGGGTGAAGGATATGAACAGACACTTCTCAAAAGAATTCATTTATGCAGCCAAAAGACACATGAAAAAATGCTCATCATCACTGTCCATCAGAGAAATGGAAATCAAAACCACAATGAGATACCATCTCACACCAGTGAGAATGGCAATCATTAAAAAGTCAGGAAACAACAGGTGCTGGAGAGGATGTGGAGAAATAGGAACACTTTTACACTGTTGGTGGCACTGTAAACTAGTTCAACCATTGTGGAAGTCAGTGTGGCGATTCCTCAGGGACCTAGAACTAGAAATACCATTTGACCCAGCCATCCCATTACTGGGTACATACCCAGAGGATTATAAATCATGCTGCTATAAAGACACACGCACACGTATGTTTATTGTGGCACTATTCACAATAGCAAAGACTTGGAACCAAGCCAAATGTCCAACAATGATAGACTGGATTAAGAAAATGTGGCACATCTACACCATGGAATACTATGCAGCCATAAAAAATGATGAGTTCATGTCCTTTGTAGGGACATGGATGAAGCTGGAAACTATCATTCTCAGCAAACTATCACAAGGACAGAAAACCAAACACAGCGTGTTCTCACTCATAGGTGGGAATTGAACAATGAGAACACATGGACACAGGAAGGGGAACATCACACACTAGGGCCTGTTGTGGGGTGGGGGTAGGGGGTAGGGATAGCATTAGGAGATATACCTAATGTAAATGACGAGTTATTGGGTGCAGCACACAATCGTGGCACATGTATACATGTGTAACAAACCTGCACATTGTGCACATGTACCCTAAAACTTAAAGTATAATAATAATAAAATTTAAAAAAGAAAATCCTCTCTTTTAGCTATTTTGAAATATACAGTAAATTTCAACTCTTATTTCAGATACAGGGGGTACTTGTGCAGGTTTGTTACATGGGGCTGTTGCATGATGCTAAGGTTTGGGGTGTGAATTCCATCACTCAGGTAGTGAACATAGTACCTGATAGGCAGTTTTTCAGCCTACTTCCTCCCTCCACCCTCTAATAGTCCACACTGTCTTTTGTTCCCATATTTATGTCCATGTGTTGTTTAGCTTCCATTTATAAGTGAGACCATGCAACATTTGATTTTCGTTTCCTGTGTTAACTTGCTTAGAATTATGACCTTTGGCTCCATCTCTGTTGCTGCAAAGAATATGATTTCATTCTTTTTATGGCTGCATAGTATTCCATGGTGGATATATGCACCACTTTTTTTAATCCAATCTACCATTGATGGACACCTGGATTAATTCCATGTGTTTGCTATTGTGAATACCACAGCGATGACAATGAACACATGAGTGCATGTGTTTTTGGGCAGAATTATTTATTTTCCTTTGAGTATATACTCAGTAATGAAATTCCTAGGTCAGATGATAGCTCTCTTTTAAGTTCTTTGAGAAATCTCCAGTTTGCTTTCCGCAGTTGCTGGGCTAATTTACATTCCCAACAACAGTGTATAAGGTTTCCCTTTTTCTGCAGCCTCACCAGCACCTGTTTTTTTTTGTGTGTGTGTGTTTTTTTGGACATTTTAATAATAGCCATTCTAACTTATATGAGATGGTATCTTGCTGTGGTTTTGATTTGCATTTCTCTGATGACTAGTAATGCTGAGCATTTTCAATATGTTTATTGGTTGCTTATATGACTTCTTTTGAGACATGTCTGTTCATGTCCTTTGCCCATTTTTTAATAGGATTGTTTTTCGCTTGTTGATTTAAGTTCTCTGTGGATTCTGGATATTAGATATTTGTCAGATGCATAGTTTGTGAATATTTTCTCACATTCTGTAGGGGATTGTCTCTGTTGATAGTTTCTTTTACTGTGCAGAATATTTT
Organism: Homo sapiens; assembly: GCF_000001405.40. Lineage (NCBI taxonomy): Eukaryota > Metazoa > Chordata > Mammalia > Primates > Hominidae > Homo > Homo sapiens. Next base: position 5,865,803 of record NC_000011.10, on the reverse strand, counting down.
TTAGTTTATTTAGGTCCCTTTTGTCAATTTTTGTTTTTGTTGCAATTGCTTTTGGGGACTTACCCAAATATTTTTTGCCAAGGTCAATGTCAAGAAGAGTACTTCTATGGTTGTCTTTTAGGATTTTTATAGTTTGAGGTCTTACATTTAAATCTTTGATCCGTTTTGAGTTGATTTTTGTATACGGTGAAAGGTACAGATCCATCGTCAATCTTCTGTATATGGATAAACAGTTACACCAACACCATTTATTTAATAGGGGGTCCTTACTTCATTGTTTGTTTTTGTCAGTGTCAAGAAGATCATATTACTGTAGCCATGCAAATTTATTTCTGTGTTTTTTATTCTGTTCTATGAGTGTAAACTCTTTTTAGAATAGTTTTTTCTAGTTCTGTGAAGAACGATGTTCATAATTTGATAGAAATAGCATTGAATCTGCAAATTTCTTTCAGTAGTATTGCCATTTTTATGATATTGATTCTTCCAATTCATGAGCATGGATTATTTTTCCATTTATTTGTGTCATCTCTGATTTCTTTCAGCAGTGTTTCGTAGTTCTCTTGTAGAGATCTTTTGCCTCCTTGGTTAGCTGTATTCCTAGGTATTTCATTTTATTTGCAGCTACTGTAAGTGGGATTGTGCTCTTGATTTCATTCTCAGCTTAGATGTTATTGGTGTATAGAAATGCTACTGATTTTTCTACACTGACCCAACCATCTGGTGTCTTTAAATGATCCATCTCACATGTAATGATATCCACAGGCTCAAAGTAAAGAAATGGAGAAAGATGTACCATGAAATGGAAAATGAAAAAAAGCATCGATCACTATTCTTGTATCAGATAAAACAGACTTTAAACCAATAAAAATTAAGAAGGACAGCACAGGGCATGACATAATGATAAAGGGTACAATCTAACAGGAAGCCTTAACTATCCTAGATGTGTACATTTTCAACATTGGGGCATCTATATTCATAAAACAGCTTTTTCTTGGCCCACAGAAAGAGTAAAACAACCACACAATAATGGGATATTTCAACACCCCACGGACAGTCTTAGCCAGATCATTAAGGCAAAAATCTAACAACAAAGCCCTGCACTGAAACTATACCCTTGACCAATTGGACATAATAGACATTTACAAAACACCCCACCCAACAACCGCAGAATATACATTCTTCTCATCGTCATATGGAATATATTCTAAGATTGGTTACAGGCTTAGTCATAAAGTAAGCCTCAATAAATTCAAAAACATTGAAATCATACCAAACATACTCTCATATCACAGTGCAGTAAAAATAGAAATCATTACTAAAAAGTGCTCTCAAAACCACACAAATGCATGGAAATTAAACAATTTACTCTTGGATAACTCCTAGGTGAACATCAAAATTAAGGCAGAAATGAAAAATTATTTTAAATTAATGAAATAGGGACACAATTTACCAAAATCTCTGGCATGCAGTCAAAGTAGTGTTAAGAAGAAAGTTTATAGCCCCATATAACTTCATCAAGAAGGTAGAAAGATCTCAAATTAACAAACTAACTTTGCACCTAAAGGAACTAGAAAAAAAAGAATACACCAACCCCAAAGCTAGCAGAAGAAAATAAAGTAAGAAAAGACCTTAATGAAATTTAGATGCAAAAATATATACACAATGTTAATGAAATCAATACTTGGTTCTTCAAAAAAATAAGATTGATAGACCCCAGCTAGATTAACAAACAAAAAGAGAGGATCTAAATAGGCACAATCAGAAATGACAAAGGTGGTGTTACAACTGATCTCACAGAAATACAAAAGATCTTCAGACACCACTATGAACAATTCTGTTCACACAAATGAGAAAATCTGGAGGAAATGTTTAAATTTTGGGAAGCACACAATCTCTTAAAATGAATCAGTAAGAGATTAAAATCCTGAATAGACAAATAGCATCTTCTGAAATTGAATCAGTAGTAAAGAAACTACCAATAAAAAAAAAAGTCCTGGACCAGACGGATTTACAGCCAAATTCTACTAGACATCCATAGAATAACTGATACCAATTCTACTGAAACTATCCAAAAAAATCAAGGAGAAGGGTCTCCTCTCTAACTCATTCTATGAAGCCAGCATCAGCCTGATCCCAAAACCTGGCAGAGACAACAACAACAACAAAAAACTTCAGGGCTATATTTCTTATGGACATAAATGCAAAAATCCTCAACAAAAGATTAGCAAACCAAATTCAGAGGCACTTTGAAAGGTTCATATACCATGATCAGGTAGGCTTTTTTTCCTGAGATACACGGTTGTTTCAACACAGGCAAATCAATAGACATGATTCACCATATAAACTGAATTAAAAGCAAAAACCATAAGATCATCTCAGTAGATACAGAAAAAGCTTTTGATAAAACTACACATCCCCTCATGATAAGAGAAAAAAAACCTCAACAGACTAGGCAATGAAGGAACATACCTCAAAATAATGAGCCATCTATGACAAATCCACAGCCAACATCATACTGAATGGGCAAAAGCTCAAATTATTTCCCTTGAGAATCAGAACATGACAATGATGCCTACTCTCACCACTTCTATTAATCATGGCACTGGAAGTTCTATCCAGAGCAATCAGGCAAAAGACAGAAATAAAAAGCATCCAAATAGAAAAGGAGGTCAAACTATCTCCTTGCTGACTATGTAATTTTATACCTAGAAAATCCTAAAGACTCTGTCAAAAGGCTCCTAGAACTAATAAACGACTTTAGTAAAATTTCAGGGTACAAAATCAAAGTACAACAGTACATTATTATTAATTACAGTCATCATGCTGTGTTAAACTCAGCCAGACTATTTGTTTTCTCACTGAATGGTCATGAAATCATGGCCCAAAATCAATAGACCAGAGACATATGGGTTTATTTCTCAACTCTCAATTTGATTCCAGTGAGTTTTATGACTATTCTTATGTCAGCACCATGCTTTTTTGAGTATAATAGCTTTGCAGTAAGTGTTAAAATAAGAAAATGTGAGTCGCTTTTGTTTTTCATTTTTAAATTGTTTTGGCTATTCAAGGGCCTTTTCTCTTCTATATGTATTTTAGTTTTATCTCTCTCCATTCTGCAAAAGAAGACATTGAGATTTTAATAGGAATTTAACATGATATATAGATAACTTTTATGAAAGTGACCACCTTAACAGTATTAAATCTCCCAATCCATGAACATAAATATTTTTCCATTTATTTAGACCTTCATTAATTTTCTTCACCAGTGTTCAGCAAAATACAACTGATTGAGTATTGCTCTTGTGTTGTGCAAAGTTGCTGCATTTATCAGTTCTAATAGTTTTTTGTGAATTCTTTATGATTTTCTACATGTAATATTATGTTTTCTGCAAATAAAGGTAGTTTACTCGTTCCTTTAAAATTTGAATAATTTTTCTTTCTTTTTCTTGGCTAATTGCTCTGGCAAGAACTTCCAGTACAATGTTAAATAGTAGTCATAAAAGCAAGCACCCTTGTCTTGTTCATGATCTTAGGGGAAAAGCTTAATTATCCCTTTGGATATTCACCACTGAGTATGATGTCAGCCACGGGTTTTTCATAAATGCCCTTTATATGAGGAATTTTCTGGGTTTTGCTATTAAAATGTTTATATTCTACAACATAACAAAAATCCCACTAGGTTTATGTCTATGTATGTGTGTCTGTATGACATCTTGAATGTACTAGGCATTTTCTTGTAGTATAACTTGCATTCTATATTTTAATATTATTTTACCAGAGATGACAGATTAGGGCCTTCTCAAGTCTTTTCTGGATATTTTCATAATCATGTACGCATGTGGTGTGTTTTAGCTTCTCAGGAACATTTCAGAGCTTTGAAAAATCCCCTATGATCAATTCATTCCCCAATTTTTTCTTTTAAATTTTTCGGATAGCCTTTTGTTAGTTCCCACTGTTATTCCTGCTTCAGAAATCTGTGATGTTAAACAATTTCTGCTGATTGTATTTGACTCATAGCCCAACAAAAATCTTGTTCACAAAGACTAAGCTTTGAGTGGTGTCAAATAGATATGCACACTGTAGAAGAGATTTCCAGAGAGTTGCCATCAAATGTCCATTGGTGGATGAATTGATAAAGAAAAGTACAATGGAATAGATGATGAGATATTGATTTCATGAAAAATTCTATCAAGGGGGTTTTAAAATGAGAAAATAAAATATTTTATTAGGACTAGAAAGAGAAATTTGAAGAAGAGAGAGTCAGGGAACTAACTGAAGAAGATGTGATAGAAGAATAAAGACAAAATCCCAAGTGTTTACCAAGAGTTTGGCAATTTAATTTTGAAGTGAGAAATTAAACATATTCTGTCAGTGTCAGTAAATGAATATAAAATTTGGGAAAAACAAGAGAACAATGATAAACTCTTGCCATATTGTTTCAGTATAAGGAGGAAGAGATTGAGAAGAGGAATTCTCCAGAGTCTATTAACTATACTACATCAACGCCTCCAAGATACTATGGTACCCATCCCAGGGGAAGTGGGGCTACAAGAACAGTATAAATATCTCCTATTGGCATAATAAATGGTGTACCCCAAGAATATGCCAAGGGATGTTTTGTAGAGATTTTGAGACTAAGGTAAGTTATATCATGGTTAGGCTGTGAAAAATACCAGGAGGGATGGAGAAAGAGCTCATGGCAAGCTAGTATGGAGAGATGCAGGAAAGGTGAAAGTATGACAAGATGAAGAGTGAATACACACTCATACTGATAAACACCTCAAACTGTATTTTTGCCTACACACACATATGACCATGCAAAGTCTCAGATGCAAAAGTAAAGTGTGAAAGCTGATGAGGAAGAAATTGTACCAATATATCCCATATCTCTTTAGCTATTATTTCTGACTCTATATATATATGTACACATGTGAACAGCAAAAGAGCAAGACTAGCTCTCTGTATTTTCTAGAACATACAAAATATAGCATAGGTGAAGATAGAATGATGGTTACCAGAAGCTGGGAATGGTAGTGGGGGACTGGGGGGAGGTGGGATGGTTAATGGGTACAAAAAATAGAAAGAATGAATAAGACCTAGTATTTGATAGCATAACAGAGTGAAGATAGTCAGTAATAATTATACATTTTAAAATAACTAAGAGTGCATTTGGATTGTTTGTAACTCAAAGGATAGATGCTTGAGGGGATGGATACCCCATTCTCCATGATGTGCTTATTTCACATTGCATGCTTGTATCAAAACATCTCATGTACCCATAAATATATATATCTATGATATGTACCCACAAAAATTAAAAATACAAATTTTAAAAATATGTTTTTAAATTAATTTATAAATAAATGAATCAGGAAGAAGCATGGCCCTGAGGAATAGACTTTTATGAACATAGACTCAGAGCTAGAGTGATAAAACATCTGAGAAATGGAATAAGGTTACATGATAGCAGGCTGGTCATGAGACTGTGAGATTAGATAAAGATGAGAAAACAGGTGTACATTATCTCTTTTACTTATGCTCATCTGTTCCAGGATGTGGGAATATGGATAGGTAGGGTGTGGTGGAGGTTGGTGCAATAGGGTAGATTAAGAAGATGACACACTGAGGACGTGGCTGCTGGATAGCTGGATATAATTCCATGTAGGACCTTAGAGTTAGGGAGTCAAAACAGGGGCTGAGAACCAATTTTATTTTTAAATCCAGCAGAGATTGGAAGATATGTAAATATGTGTTGAAATAATGGTTAAGTAAACATTTATTGGATAATTAATTGATTGGTTGCTTTGATCAGTATTTATAAACTTGGAAATGATGTTGTCCTAGGGAGAAGGGAAGCATTAATTTCCAAATCTTCTTTTAAAATCCACAGAGATACATGGGATAAGTTGCTATCCTTGGAATGTAGCCATATTTTTATTTTTTCAGTTCATGCTGTATGGAGCCCCTAAACATGACCAAGACATCAGACTTAATAAGAATCTCTGGATAAGACCATTGAAGAGGATGACTGATTTCATTTTTATATCCTAAGTGGCCACTGTGCTTTTTTTCCCACTTTGCCCCTGCTTATTTATACAGAATAAAATTTTCTTTCTTTTTTGTCAGAAGAATTTCTCTGTAAGTCAGCATAAGCCTAACTTCCTCTATACAATTTTTCTTGACTCACCTCTACATTTAAAACATCCTGTGCACATTTCTACCATAGCACTTGCAGTACAGTTCTTAAATTTCATGTTTGGAATTTTATCTTCTTTACTACGTGGTGATTTCCTTAAGGATATATGACCAGTTTTATTCATTTTTTGTATTTAAACTTCCTAATTACCACTGATACATAGAGAACCTCTTCAATATTTGATGGGATAAATTGTGAAAGGTATTTCGCTGCCTATTTTGTGTATTCTCAATTAGTGAAAAACAGGAAGTTTATACCCTTATCTCTGATAGTTTCACCCAAGTTTATACACACACATTCTCTCTCTCTCTCTCTCTCTGAAATAATTTCCCAAATTATCAAATAATCTCTCATTTTTGCTATTCTTCGTATGCTTCAAATAGGTACTACCAGCAATGCATTTTTGTTGTTACAGGATTAAAGTAGAACTTGCTGACATTCACACACTTTTATCTCTGCTGCGTACGTCTCAATTCTGACTTCCCCCAATGTTCAAGTATTCTTAAATTGTAATCAATGCTTTTTGTGTAGTTGCCACGTCACATTTAACCAATTCCGCATTATCTGTAAAACTAGTTTTTCCCAAGTAAAAGTAAGTTGCGCAGTAATGAACTTTTTGCTTCAAATTTTGAATTTACTATCTGTAAATTCAGGATTTACTATCCGTAAATTCAGGATTTACTATCTGTAAATTCAGGATTTACTATATTGGAGACATCCATAGAGACAAAACAGCTGGGATAGAATTTGAGTAGCAGCTAAACTGTAGGTCATCCAAAGGGCTTCTACTTTCTTCCCATGAATATAAGACTGAGATATATTTGAAAATTTTGTAGCCCAGAATATTTAGTTTCCTTGCCACAGAAAAAGCTGGCCTATATATAAACAGTTTCTTTACTGAATGCGTGTATTTATGCACTCTCCAAATAATAGGATTATCTAGATTAAAATTATCTCTTCATCCATGTTCCATCATAGCTGCAAAATACTCTTTGTCAAGTATTTTCTTTTCCTTGTTTTTACCCATTTTCCAAATCCGATGGATAAGCTTCTTTTCTCAAACACAGGTGTGATGGAAACTAAATTATTTATTTCCTAAAATATGACATTAAAATTACCCACAGTTTTGCCTCCTTGTAATCAATGTCTATTTGTGGAGGTTTTAAATTGAGAACTATTATGTAGCAGATCTTTTTCCTGCATATGAGCAAGATAAATTGTTTCTTCTCTCAGAAGTATACAGTCTAGTAGTCACAAATTGTATACAGTATACACAGTCTAAATTGTATACAGAAGTATACAGTCTAGTAGTCACAAACTGTATACAGTATATACAGCCTAAATTGTATACAGAAGTATACAGTCTAGTAGTCCCAAATTGTATACAGTATAGTCTAAATTGTATATAGAAGTATACAGTCTAGTAGTCACAAATACCTGTAAAAATGCATAACAACACAGAAACGGTTTTACACACTACATTTTTGATTCCCAAATAGAGGAATAGTTGAGATTACAAATACCTTGATCGTGAAGCAAAAATATGTGTAACATTTCTATAGACACTGACCCTGGAACTTTATTTTTCTCATTTAGTTCTGGCTAAATTCCAGATTTTGCATTTTTATTTGGCAGATGACATTCTTCTGCCATTTCTTTTTATATTAGTCTTTGATATTAGGTGAAGGGGCAGTAGAATAAGACTGGTTCTATTCCTGGTACCAATGTTGCTCAGGAGAGGCTAGGAGAAATTGTGGAGAGTATTTTACCTTACTCATGAATATATATAAAGAAAGATTAATATGTTATTGTGAATTTGACTAGAAATCTGAACAAAAGAAGAAGTGGAACAAGAATTACTAATAGGAATATTATAATCGTCGCTGGTGTGCCCAGCAGCTTTATATGGCAGGAAGAATGTCTACGTCTAATCACACCCAGTTCCATCCTTCTTCATTCCTACTGCTGGGTATCCCAGGGCTAGAAGATGTGCACATTTGGATTGGAGTCCCTTTTTTCTTTGTGTATCTTGTTGCACTCCTGGGAAACACTGCTCTCTTGTTTGTGATCCAGACTGAGCAGAGTCTCCATGAGCCTATGTACTACTTCCTGGCCATGTTGGATTCCATTGACCTGGGCTTGTCTACAGCCACCATCCCCAAAATGTTGGGCATCTTCTGGTTCAATACCAAAGAAATATCTTTTGGAGGCTGCCTTTCTCACATGTTCTTCATCCATTTCTTCACTGCTATGGAGAGCATTGTGTTGGTGGCCATGGCCTTTGACCGCTACATTGCCATTTGCAAACCTCTTCGGTACACCATGATCCTCACCAGCAAAATCATCAGCCTCATTGCAGGCATTGCTGTCCTGAGGAGCCTGTACATGGTTGTTCCACTGGTGTTTCTCCTTCTGAGGCTGCCCTTCTGTGGGCATCGTATCATCCCTCATACTTATTGTGAGCACATGGGCATTGCCCGTCTGGCCTGTGCCAGCATCAAAGTCAACATTAGGTTTGGCCTTGGCAACATATCTCTCTTGTTACTGGATGTTATCCTTATTATTCTCTCCTATGTCAGGATCCTGTATGCTGTCTTCTGCCTGCCCTCCTGGGAAGCTCGACTCAAAGCTCTCAACACCTGTGGTTCTCATATTGGTGTTATCTTAGCCTTTTTTACACCAGCATTTTTTTCATTCTTGACACATCGTTTTGGCCATAATATCCCACAGTATATACATATTATATTAGCCAACCTGTATGTGGTTGTCCCACCAGCCCTCAATCCTGTAATCTATGGAGTCAGGACAAAGCAGATTCGAGAGAGAGTGCTGAGGATTTTTCTCAAGACCAATCACTAACCAGTTGGAGGTTGGAGAGTCTGTCACTCTAACCTAATAGAAAGCAGAAAAACAGAAGGGAATGCTGCAGCCAATAACATTATTTATCTGTTAACTGAAGCTTTTGACTTTAATTATAATAATGAGAATTTTACCCTTGTCGAACTCTCCTTTTCCAAGTTCTTTTATTTCTATTGCTGGATCCTCAAGGCAGTTTTATAAAGTATGTATTAGTTTTTCCATTCTTGTGATTAATATACTTATGTTCGGAAAAGTTGAGTGATTTACTCAAACTACATGTTTAATAGGAAGTAGTAATTTAAGCCAAATAGACTGCCTTATAGTTTTCTTTAGTATGTTTAAGAAATAACAGAATACGGAATAAAATTCTTACTTTAAAAAGATAATAAACAGAATAAGTGGCTTCTAGAATTCTTAAAATAATAATAATAGCTTACTCTAGTAATAATATTAACATACCATAGATGCAGTGTAGATATATGGGTATTGACAGGTATACCACACATGAATATACTCATATCATGCCCACCATAATCTTATTCAATAGTTACTATAATTTCCCTCATGCACCTAGAGATGCAAGCATAGTCATAAAATTAGATATTAAAGGAAAAAGGAAATAATGCAGCATGAGCATGACATATACATTCGTAAATATTTCATTCATTTGCTTGTTTAATTATTTAAATAATATTTACATAATATATTTTTACATATATGAATATATGTGCGTGTGCGTGTGCATACTTCTACTATGTTTCATGTGTGGGTTTATGAGCTGTAGGAACATTCGAAGACACAGTGTATTGTCTTTAAGTACTTATATACTTTGAGAAAAAAGAAATAATAAGTTGTTTCTAAAGTAGTGTTGAGACATATTTTTTTTTTCTTCAGGAGATTTGGAAATTGTGTGGCTATTAGCAGTTTCATTCATAATGAAATTTATAATCCCTTAAAAAACTTGGAGGAAGATAATTGCAGGAAGAACACCTTGAATGTAAGTTCTTTATTGCTGCTCTGCCTGCCATTTATACAGTTAAGATATAGGATTAGGCAGTAGACCACAACAAGTGGCATGTGCAGACTATAAAGCAAAGACACTTAAATTTAGCTGTGATTCAATGATCTCCTATAGAAAGCAGCCCTTAGGTCAATCACTGGGTGAACAGATAGGAGCAGAATGCGCTCTGTGGAAATTAAGGGTTTAGGACCAGAGTCTACCATTTTCTTATGGGAGATTCCAGAGAGTGATGACATGGAGGATCTCCCTCTCTTGGCTTCAGGCGAGGTTCTACTTGTCGTATAAATCTTTCCTCCTCAGGGTCACAGCCCTGCAACTGGGCAGGTGTTTACTGGTAGAATGTAGGATGGAAGGCTGTGGAAGTACTTGATGGTTTCTTTCTTGGAGAAGATTCTCTGGCCATGGCAAGACAGTTGAGTGTATTCTAAAGACATCTCAGTAGACAAGGTAGGGCCGGAAAAATTTAGGTAGGGCTCAGGACTGAGGGAGTAGGAGCAACTAGGGAGGAGAGAAGCAGCACCAAGGAATATGGGTAGAGAGAAAGTGAGATATTCTGGATGAAATTTAAAAGGATTATAAGAGTGAAATGGTAGATACGTATTCTTTTACAATCACTTTCAGAGAAATCTCCCAGATAAACAAAATATATATTCATTTTTCTGTTGTTTCTGTATCTTTCCTGGGTTTGCTTTGTCTTCCTGTGTCTGGATAAATAGTTTTAATCATTTAAAAATGTGTATGTGTTTGTGTTTATATGTTCATAGAAAGGAAATGATAGAAGGCAATTTAATTTACCAGTATGGATTGAATAATTGGATATATCAGTTTGAATGTATTGATTGAACCAGCACTTTCTAAATAGTGATAGGCAAGACTTTTTCTAGATTTTATTCCAGGGACGCAAGGATGGCTCAAGATACACAAATCAATAAATGTGATTCACCATATAAGGAGAATTAAAAACAAAAAACATGATCATCTCAATAGATGTAGAGAATATTACATAAAATTCAGCGTCCCTTCAAGATAAAAACTTTCAACAAAATAGGCATTGCAGGAACCTTTCTCCAAATAGTAAGATCCATATATAACAAACTCAGCCAATATCATATTGAATGGGTAAAAGTTGAAAACATTCTCCCTACAAACCAGAACAAGACAAGATGCCCACTTTTAGTCTTCCTTTCAACACACTACTGAAAGCACTATTCAGAGCAAACAGGCAAGAGAAAGAAATAAAAGGCATCAAAATTGGAAAAGAGGAAGTCAAATTCTCTGTTTGCTAATAATATAATGTTATGTTTAGAAAATTTTAATGACTCCTCCAAAATACTCTTAGATTTGATAAATAAATTCAGTAAGGTTTCAGGATAGAAAATGAATGTTCAAAAACCAGGAGCTCCTTGGGAAATCTTTCCACAGTGCCTGAAATAATTTACATTCTCACCAACAGTGTATAAGCATTCCGTTTTCTCTGAAGCCTCTCCAGGTTTTTGATTTTTTAATAATAGCCATTTTGACTGGTATGAGATGGTATCTCATTGTGGTTTTGATTTGTTTTCTCTGATGATTGGTGATGCTGAGCATTTTTCATATGTTTGTTTGTCTCTTTTATGCCTTCTTTTGCGAAGTGTCTGTTTATGTCCTCTGCCCATTTTTTAATGGGATTATTTGTTACTTATTGATTTGTTTAAATTTCCTGTGGAATCTGGATACTAGACTTTCATCAGATGCTTAGTTTTCAGAGATTTTCTCCCTTTCCTTAGGTTGTCTGTTTGCTCTGTTGATAGTTTCTTTTGCTGTGCAGAAATTTTTTATTTTAATTAGGTCCCACTTGTCAATTTTTATTTTTGTTGCAATAGCTTTTTGGGACTTACCCAAAAATTCTTTGCCAAGGCCAATGTTGAGAAGAGTATTTTCTAGCTTTTTGTCTAGAACTTTTATGGTTTGAGGTCTTACCATGAATCTTTAATTCATCTTGAGTTAATTTTTACACACAGTGAAAGGTAAGGATCTAGTTTTATTCCTCTACTTATGGAAATAAATACAAACTAGGTATCTGAGCACCATTTATTGAATAAGGAATTCTTTCCCCACTCCTCATTTTGTTGGCCCTGTCAAAAATCAGGTGGTTGTACATGGCAGCTTTATTTCTGAGTTTTCTAGTTTGTTCCGTTGTCCTTTGTATCTGCTTTATACCAGTGCCATGCTGTTTTGATTACTGTAGCCTCATAGTATAGTTTGAAGTGGTGTGACACCTCCAGTTTTGTTCTTATTGCTTAAGATTGGTTTGTCTATTTGGGTTCATTTTTGATTCCATATGAATTTTAGAATAGTTTTCTAATTCTATGAGAAATGCCATTTGTATTTTGATAGGAATAATGTTGAATCTATAAATTGCTTTGGGCAGTAGGGTCATTTTGATGATATTGATTTTTCCAATCCATTTTTCCAATCTAGCATGAGAGCATAGGATCTTTTTTCATTGATTTGTTTTGCTTCTGATTTTCTTCCATGCTGTTTTGTAATTCCTATTGTAGACATCTTCCACCTCCTTGGTTAACTGTATTCCTAGGTATTTCATTTTGTTTGTGGCTATTGTAATTGGGATTGTGTTCTTGATTTGATTCTCAGTCTGAACATTATTTTTATATAGAAATGCTACTGATTTTTGTATATGGATTTTATATCCTGGAACCCTGATAAAATGGGTTCTCAGTTCTAGCACCCTTTTGTCAGAACCTTAAGGGTTTTCTATGTATAGAATCATATCATCTGCAAAGAGAGATAGTTTTCTTCAAACAGAGCTACCATTTAACCTGGTGGTCCTACTACTGGATATATACCCAAAGGAATATAGCTCATTATACCAAAAATACACAAACACTCATATGTTCATCACTGTGCTGTTCACAATAGCAAAGACATAGAATCAACCTAAGTGCCCATCAGTGGTGGAGTGGATAAAGAAAATGTGTTACATATAAACTACGGAATACTAAGCAACCATAAAAAGAATGAAATCATATGAATGAAATCAACATGGATGGAGCTGGAGGCCATTATCCTAAGGAAATTAATGTAGGAACAGAAAACCAAATACTGCATGTTCTCACATGTGAGAGCTGAACACTGAGCAGACATGCTCATGAACATGGGAACAACAGACACAGAGGACTACTAGAGGGAGGAGGGAAGGAGGGGGTCATCAGCTGAAAAACTACCTATTGAGTACTATGCTTACTACCTGGGTCCAATATACCCAGGTAACAATGTGCATTCTGTATCTAAAATAAAAGTTTTTTTTTAAATAAAAGATAGCAAAGATTAGTAGCATTCCTATACACCAATAACATTCAAGCTGAGAACTAAATCACAAAGTCAGTTCCACTTACAATAGCTTAACAAACACTTAGGAGTATATTAAACCAAGGAGATGAAAGATCCTTACAAGAAAAACTACAAAGCACTGATGAAGTAAGTTACAGATGACACAAACAAATGGAAAAATAATCCTATGTTCATAGATTAGAAGAATTAATATTGTTAAAATGACTGCACTGCCCAAAGCAATCTACAGATTCAATGCAATTCCAATCAAAGTACCAACATCTTTTTTTCACAGAATTAGAAAAGAAAATCCTAATATTCATATGGAACCAAAAAAAGCTCATATAGACAAAGCAATCCTAAATGAAAAGAAGAAAGTTGCAGGCATCACATTACTTGGCTTCAAATTATACTACAAAGCTATAGTAACCAAAACAGCATGATACTGATATAAAAAAAGACATAGATTAGTGAAAAAGAACAGAGGACCCAGGCATAAAGACACATACCTCCAGCCAAATGATCTTTGACAAAGTTGACAAGAACATACCTTGAAGAAAGGACACTTTCTTCGTAAATGGTGCTGGGAAAACTGGATTGCCACATACAGAAGAATGCAATTTGATCACTATCGCTCACTGTATATAAAAATTTACTCAAGTTACATTACATACTTAAATTTAAGACCTGAAGTTATAAAAATTCTAGAAGAAAACCTAAGAAAACTTTTCTGGACATTGGCCTAAGCGAAGAATTCATAACTAAGACCTCAGAAGCAAATGCAGTAAAACCAAAAGTAGATAAATGGGACTTAATTGCAGTTAAAAAGCTTCTGCAGAGCAAAAGAAATAATCAACAGAGCAAACAGACAACCCTAAGAAAGGGAGAAAATATTTGTGAACTATGCATCTGACAAGGGACTAATATCCAGGATATACATGGAACTCAAACAATCCAACAGCAACAACCCAAAAACCAAGTAACACCACTAAAAGGTGGGCAAAGAACATGACAGATATTTTTTAAAAGAAGACATACAAATAGCCAACAAGCATATAAAAAATGTTTAACATCAGAGAAATGCAAATTAAAACCACAATGAGATACCATGCCACACCAGTCAGAGTAGTTAGTATTTAAAAAGCCAAAAAATAACTGATGTTGGCAAGCATGCAGAGAAAAGATAACACTTGCGCAATGTTGGTGGGAATGTAAATTAGCACAACCTCTATGGAAAACTGTATGGAGATTTCTCAAAAACTGAAAATAGAACTACTATTTGACTCAGCAATCCCAATACTGGGTATATACCCAAAGGAAAAGAATTTCTTACATTTAAAAGATATTTGCACTTGTATTTTTAACTCAGCACTGTGTACAACAGCACAGATATGGAATTGACCTAAGTGTCCATCATTGGATGATTGAATAAAGAAAAAGTGGTATGTATATGTAAACCATGGAATACTATGCAGCCACAAAAAGAATGATATCACATCTTTTGTAGCAACACAGATGAAACTAGAGGTCCTTATTTTAAGGGACTAACTCAGAAACAGCAAGTCAAATGCTGCATATTCTCATTTGTAAGTGGGACATAAATAATGTCTACACATGGCATAGAGTGTGGAATAATAGACATTGGAGACTTGAAAGGATAGGAGAGTGGAAGGGGGGTAAGGAATGAGAAATTACTTAATGGGTACAATGTGCACTATTTGGGTGATAGTTACACTAAAAGCCCAGATTTCACCATGTAATATATCTATGTATCAAAACTGCATTTTTACTCCCTAAATTTACACAAAAATGTATTCTAATTTCTTTTTCATTGCTTATTTTAAGTCATCAGTTATTTTCAACTGTGCATTTAACTTACAGATAAATAAGTTAGTGGGGTTGGATTTTATTGTTGATTTCAAATGTTATTTATATTTATCATTTGGTATGTGTAGCTGTCTCTTTTTGTGTGGCTTTAAGAAATGGTCATTTAACAATATTCTAGATGTGTTAAAAGGTAACATGCATTTTCCAATTAGTTTTTAAATGTACATTCTCTTTATTTTACTTACTTTTGTGTACTTAGTTTATTTCTAGAAGTGTTGAGTTAAAATCTCTCTATATAAATTTTGATATATCAATTACATTTTTATTTCAATTACCTGTTGTTACAATTATTTTGAAGTTATATTTCAAGGTGGGTAATATTCTTGATTCTCATCTATCCTTCCCTAAGAATTCTTCGAATTCTGTTGTTTTGTAACAAGTGTACTGGTGTAACACCTTTTTTACATTTTTCAATTTGCCCTGTATGTTTTACAAAGTAAATATATTTAACAGTGTTTGTAATTTAAAAACTATTCATAAAAATTTGTCATACATAGAACAGAGAACACACACATAGCCAGTCAATAACTGTAAATATTTTCTTACATGTTCACACATATGCAAAAACACAACTTATTAGAATATTTTAAGATAAATTACAGATGTCAAAACAATGCACCATAATACTAAGTATACTTATCCAAAAATATAAATTTTTGCAATATAACCATTAATCTCTGCTGTATGTGTCCCTGTATGTGCATGTCTCTTTGTGTGTCTGGGTGAAATTGTGGAAGGAACCACATCACTTTTTCTATTCTGTTCTCTAGTCTATTTTACTTTATTCTATTCTACTATATATTATTTTATTATATATGAATTAAGCACATTTTGTTGAGACCACTTCATATGCAGCACTCTGAACTTTTTATTGTCTCACATTAGGATGTACAGAATGCTCAGTTATTCCCAGAATGATGCTAGGTGGAATTAATGATACAGGAAGTAACAATGAGACTTCTCATTTGTAAAGTTAAATTTTACCTGCACCCACTTCCTTATATGATTATCAGTGTCCTGTGAGTGGCCAAGTTTGTTTCATACTGTTAGACAAAATTTATTTAGAGATAAAATAGAGACAGGAAAGAGAGGATATAGTCTTATAAGGCATAACTTCATGTAAAAGCATAGTAAGTACAGAAAACATTCAAAACACAAATATTCAGTTCAATAAATTTCCACAGGGTGATAAAATCTATGATATCACAATCAAAATTTAGAAACAGAATATATTTTAATGTTTAATTTTATGTGTCAAGTTGACTGAGCTATAGCAGGCTCAGATATTAATAACTGGGTGTGTTGGTGAGGATATTTTGGATGACATTAACATTTGAAATGTAGACTGAGTAAAGCTGATTGCCTTACCTACTGTGGTTGGGCCTCATCCAATCCATTGCAGGCTTGAATAGAGTATGATGTTGAATATTAAAGAATGTTTTCAGCCAAACTGTCTTTGAGCTGCGCCATCAGTCTTCTGCTTTTAAGCTCAGACTTGGACTGGAACTTACACCACTGACTCTCCTTGCTCTCAGGCCAATGAACTCGAACTTGCACCATGCATCTACTGATTTATGTGTATTTTATTTGCAGTCTCTACCTGCCAAGTAAATAACCACTATTTAAATTTTTCATCACTATCAAATAGTTTTACCTGGTTTTAATTTTATATAAATGGAAACATTACTGAATTGTCACATTTATATCTGGCCTTTAAAAATTTAAACACATTTTTGTATGTCTTCATTATATGTAGCAGTGGCTTCCTTATTTTCACTGCTGTATGTTATTCTGTCATGTGAATGCACCACAGTTTCTTTCTCTGTTCCACCAACATTACAGTTGTTCCCACTTTGGGCCTTTGATAAACAGCCACTAAAATGGCACCCACTGATTCTTACCTCCTGATATGGATGTCCTTGTGTCATCCCCTCCCCTTGGGGGTGGGTTTAATTAGGTATTTCTTTCTAGCAATGTGAATAGGGAGAGGTGATGAGATGCCACGTCTTGATTTAGATTTTCACAAGACTACGTCTTTTGAGTTCCTTCTTTTTTTTTTTTTAATTTTACTTTAAGTTCTGGGATACATGTGCAGAACGTGCAAGTTTGTTACATAGGTATACATGTGCCATGGTGGTTTGCTGCACCTATTAACCCGTCATCTAGGTTTTAAGACTTGCATGCATTAGGTATTTGTCCTAATGTTCTCCCTCCCAGGAGGGGAGGCCTCCCTAAGACAGGCCCCGGTATGTGATGTTACCTTCTCTGTGTCCATGTGTTCTCATTGTTCAACTCCCACTTATGAATGAGAACATGCGGTCTTTGGTTTTCCCTGTGTTAGTTTCCTGAGAATGATGGTTTCCAGCTTCATCCATGTCCCTGCAAAGGACATGAACTCATTCTTTTTTTATGGCTGCATAGTATTCTGTGGTATATATGTGCTACATTTTCTTTTCATCATCACTGGTCATTAGAGAAAAGTGAATTGAGTGTGTTTTTATTAGCTCTCTCAGGCTCTTACTCTGAGAAGAACTAACTGTTAGCTGCTTCCTGGAGATACCCATAAGCCAAAAAAAAAAAAAAAAAAAAAACCTATATACCACAAGCCAACAACCAGATGGGTCTGAGGCCTTTCAGTGGCTGTGTGACTGACTTGGAAGTGCATGTCTACAGTGGAGCCATGAGACAACTGCAGCCCTTGTTGTTTCATATCTCTTACTTTTTGATGTATTTATTATTGTGCTTTTTAAAAGGACTAAGACCACCAATACAACTAGAAATAAAAGTGGTAATAATTGATATGTCTATTTTATCTCTCATCCATGGGGAATATATTTTAAAATCTTTTCAAAGTATGATATTTGCTGTGGCATCTTAGAAACATAGGCACTGTGCAGATTTTATACTTATTCTTATAGTTTGTTGGTAAAAGTGTTTTCCTAGGAATTTAAAAATTGATGTCAAGTAGCAAATTTGTTTAAATAAAATTATTCATAACATCAAGGTCACCGCATGTTCTCACTCATAGGTGGGAATTGAACAATGAGACCACATGGACACAGGAAGGGGAACATCACACACCGGGGCCTGTTGTGGGGTGGGGGGAAGGGGGAGGGATAGCATTAGGAGATATACCTAATGTTAAATGACGAGTTAATGGGTGCAGCACACCAACATGGCACATGTATACATATGTAACAAACCGGCATGTTGTGCACATGTACCCTAAAACTTAAAGTATAATAAAAAAAATTAAGGTTATAATTTGTATTTTGAAATCACTTTATTTTTTTTCAAAATGGATATTGCTAAGCCTTGTGAAATTTTAATTTTTTTGAAAATCAATGCTGTACCTTTTTGAGACTTTTTATTTTATGTTTCTTTCTACCACATTATTTTATTAACTATTTTACTATTTTCTTATCTTTGTATTTTATTTACCATTTCATTCTGATCAGTTAAAGTCAACATTGGATGACTTATTTTCAGCATTTCTTATTTCCAAATGTATGCATTTATGAGCTTCCTCTTTCTTTTACATGCAGCTGTAGTTTCCTAGGCAAGCTTTAGGAACCAACACTATCTGAACATGGAATGTGTACTTGTACTGTCACCAGTGAGTTATGTGAATACATAAAAGACTTGTCTTTCACAGAAATCTGTTAAGGACACCATGTTTTGAAGGAGTGAAGGATTGATACGGTGATCTGCAAGAGAAGTCATGAGAGAGAATGAAAAAAGTGTCTTGAAAGCATCTGTTTACATTGTACTATGACAAAAGAGGGCCATTAAGGCACTGAGGGGACAGCACCTAGTAAGAGTGTGTTCCAATGAGTTTAGGCTTCTCCTTTTGGATTTATTATTTATTTAGTAGGGAAGTATTAATTATGCAGCCACTACATTACAGACACTACCCTAATGACTTGGAATATAACCATGAAAAACAGGCATAGTCTCTGCCTTCATGAGATGAATATACTTACAAAATGAGAGAAAAACCAATGAATACAATATAATTTCAAGTAGGTATAAATGTTAGGAACCAAGGTAAAGCAAGCTAAGAAAATAGAGTTGGAAGAATGACCCTTTTAAATTCATTGGCCAGAAAATTCTTGTTTGAGTCCTAGATATTTGAGGAGGGATAAATGAAGTAAGGGAACAAAACTTTGGAAGATATCAGAGAACAATATTCCAGGTCTTATGAGTAGGAAAGGCAAAATCCCTGGGATAAAAGTGAGCTTAGAATTGAGAAATGGCACAAAGTACATGCCTGGAGTGGAGGGAAGAAAGGAGTGAGTGGCAAGAGATGGGTTTGAGGAGTAATTCCAGGGCAACCAACCTTGGTAAGAAGTTTTTATCAAATACTATGAATACAGAAGGAAAAGGGACGAATGTATTAGTAAAGTTTTATTCCATGAAGTACATTTATCAGGAGGTGGTTTGCATTGTAAACTTGCACTTTTTATATGGATTACAGAAAAAGATTGTAGATTAATGCTTCAAGATACATGAGAGTGGAAGTGAGAGGCAAGTACAGAGGGAGAAGAGAGAAAGAGAGCAAGTGAGAGGAGAGAGATAGAGAGAGAGAGATTGAGAAGAGAGAGTGAGAAAAAGAGAGGATTGATTTATAAAGTAATGAAGAGTACAGGATTGGATCTGAGCCAATAAATCAGGCATTCACCAGGGGATTGAAATTAAGTTTAAAAAGAAGAAATCATACAAATTCTTGTTGGTAAAAAATGTGAATTATTTGAACCAATGAAGAATTTTTTTTCTCTAGTCTGTGAAGGGGGAAAGGGACTGCAAAACAAAACAAATTTGCAGTGCCTTTTAAGTAAACCATGCCAATGTGTCATAGATACAGCAGTTCCTATCCCAAAGGAATCAAAGTTTTAGTGAAAACATAAATGCCTTCTCTTCAGCATGTTAAATTGTGCACTCATGCAGAAGCCAAATGGTGTTCAAAATAATGCTTCTTAGAGATTTAGAGATCAAGATAAGTCATATCAACATTCAGCTGCAAAATGCAAGAGAAGAGATGAGGAAAGGCTTATGTCAAACTTATAAGGAGAGATAGAGGACAGAGTATGGACAGAGAAAGCACAATCATACTCATGACCTCTCAAGACTACACATGCTTTTGCACATTCACATATACCTGTGATCCTGCAAAATTTCACACATGAAACCAACAAGACTTCAAAGCTGATGAGGAAGGTAATGTAGCGATATATCCTATAGCTCTTGTTTCTGAACCTTATGTACGGGAGCTCAAATGTGATAGTAAGAGGGCAAGATTTTTTTTCCTGGTTTTATAGGATAGTAATAGGTACAGTAAAGGTAATCAGTAAATATGTCTTTAATAATTACATTTTTGAAGAAATGAATTGTGAAGCATGGGCCTGAGGAATAGAGTCTTTCAAAAAGATAATCCAAAGTTAAGGTGACAAAGAAGCTGATAAAGGAAATGAGGTTTGATGCGGGAGTGACGGGCATAAGACTGGGAGATTAAGCAGTTATAAAATTAAAACATGCATATTTTCTCTTCTGCTTACCCTCATCTGACATGGGACATGAAATGAGGTGTGTATGAAGACTTTGTGAGGGTTATTGGATTAAGGTGCAGTAAAAATAAGTAAGGTTTCAGAAAATGTCTACCAGATATAATTCTATGAAAACCTTAGTTTTAGAAGGTCAAACAAAGGTGCTGGGACCTAGTTTTATTTCTGAACCCAACACAGATTGGAGACTGTACAAATGTGTGTTGGAATAATAGGTCAGCGTACAGTCATAGACTAAGAGACTAGATGTTTTGAGAAATGTTTGTAGACTTGGAAATGATGTTTTCTCAAATAAAAGTCCCAGTTATAAAACTCATTTGGGAAAATCCACAAAATACATGTGATAAATTGATTTTCATAATATATAGCCTTATTTTATCTTTACAAATTTCTGTTGTACCAAGAGTGACTAAGATACCAGATATTTCTTAGGACATAGAAGTGCATACACAGAGTTCAGTGGACATTTTACTGTGTCACTGTAAAAAGCAATGCAGAGGACCAAGATTCCAGGATTTTGTCCTGGCTGGACAATATGTTTCTTTTCCTCACTTTGTCCTTGTATTTTCCTCCATAGAAAATTATATATATATAAAAAAAAATAGATAATAAAATATATAATATATAAATATATATTATATAAAAATATATAAAATATATATTATATATAATATATATATAAATATATATAATATAATATAATATATATAATATATAATATATATAATATATAATATATATTATATATAAAAATATATATATAAATATATATTATATATAAAATATATATATTAAGGATTTTCTCTTTAAGTCACAGCCAAAGCCCAACTTCTTCCCTGGAATTTTCATTGCCCCATCTCTACACCTACAACATTTGATGGGTGTTTTTATCATAGTACTTGCAATGCAGCTTTCAAATTTCTTCTTTGGAATTGTGTCTCTGTCTGCACTGTGGTCTTTTTGAGAGTGTTTGACAGGTATTATTCAAATGAATGCTGGCTGGCAAATATAGGACCTCTTAGATATTTGATGGAATAAATTGTGAAGTGTACCCTTCTACATCCCTCATGTATTATTCACTAATGGGGAAAGAAAGAATTGTGTCTTTATCTTTGACTTTCCTATTACAGATCTGAGAACTTTAAAGCTATTCTCAACAGCCTCAATAACCATGTATATATTCTCCTTCTTGAGGTAATTTCCCCAATTTTCTCCCATTTCTGCTAGCCATCATTAGCTTCAAATGGTAGGTTTTTTTTAGACACTTGCCTTGTTACAGGTTTAAAGTAGAGCGTACTGATCTTATTTGCTTCTAATGGAGACCTCTCGACTCTGACTTCTTCAAGCCTCCACGTATTCCCAAATTTGAATCAAAGTGTTCTGGTCAATTGTGTAATTCACAATCACTCCACATTATCTGTACAACTAGTTTTAGAAAAGAATTTGCTCAATAATAAACATCTCTCACATTGATTTTTGAAACATTTAATTTATTATAAATGAGCCCGGAATCTTTCCATAGACAGAAAGAGTGTTACAAAACAAAATCATATAAATGTTTTTATTTCTGTGCCGTGAAAAGCAAAGTTCCATAAAGACACTAACATACCAGATGGAGAACAGCATTGGTAGGAAATATATTGTAAAATAAAATTCTTCTCCCTGTCCATGTAAGTCTGAGATAATATTTAAAATTCTCTAGAAGAAAAAACCCACTCTCTAGAGTTTCTTCAATGTATGTGTTTTTTTATGGGTTCTATATATGGTGTATTTATCTAAATTAATCTTTTATTCCATATTTAGCTTTAAGTGCAAAATACTTTTCATTAATTATCTTCCTTTAATTTTCTTTACCCAATTTCCAAAAATGATGGATACAGTATTCTTTTTGCAAAAGAAATTGTGATGATCAAGGAGTTGTTTATTTTCTGAAACATCACATTAAAATTTTTTGCTGTCTGGTTTTCAATTTATTAACTTGATTAACATTTAAAATTGAGAACTCTTAAGTGGTATATAAAAAATATACGCTTTTCAAAGACTTGAAACCAACCCAAATGCCTGTGAATAATAGAGTGGATAAAGAAAATGTGGCACATATATACCATGGAATACTATGCACTTATAAAAAAGGATGAGTTCATGTCCTTTGCAGGGACATGGATGAAGCTGGAAACCATCATTCTCAGCAAACTATCACAAGAACAGAAAACCAAACAATGAATGTTCTTACTCATAAGTAGGGGTTGAACAATAAGAATACATGGACACAGGGAGGGGAACAACACACACTGGGGCCTGTCGGGGGTTTGGGGGCTAAGGGTGGGATAGCATTAGGAGAACAACCTAATGTAGATGACGGGCTGATGGGTGCAGCAAACCATCATGGCACGTGGATACCTGTGTAACAAACCTGCACATTCTGTACATGTATCCAAAAATTTAAAGCATAATAATAAAAAAAGAAATAAATAATAAATATTACATGTATGTGTAAATATAGGCTTTTTCTCTCTGCTCTAAAAGTAAACCCACTAGTACTCTACAATTCATGTAGAAATGCATAGATACACACAAACACACACTCAGTGCACAAATATAAACTTTATTGTTAGCAGGATCTCTAGTAAGGGATTAACAGAGATTACAGATAAAAATCAGCCTGAAAGTTAAGAAAAATGAGTGTAAAACGATCAGATTCATAGGTTCTGAAATCTTATTTTTAAAATTAGTTTCTGCATAGACTCTTCATTATAAATTTCTGTCAGGCAGATAGAGGTTTCTCCCCACTTTATTCCTCATGTGTAATAAATTCTGGTAGGAAAAGTGGCAATCAGGTGAAGCTGATTTAATTATTGATTCTGTTTCATGCTCATATGACCCTAGCAGAGTAAGAGGTATTTTACTCTTTTTCAGAAAGGAACCAAGAAGAGTACAATGCTATTTTTTATTTTACCAGGAATCAGGATAAAGTGAGAAGTGGAGCAAGAATCACTAATGGAAAGTCAATAATTGTCACTGATACACACAACAGCTTTTTGTGACAGAAAGAATGCCTATAGCTAACGACACCCAGTTCCATACTTCTTCATTCCTACTGCTGGGTATCCCAGGGCTAGAAGATGTGCACATCTGGATTGGATTCCCTTTTTTCTCTGTGTATCTTATTGCACTCCTGGGAAATGCTGCTATCTTCTTTGTGATCCAAACTGAGCAGAGTCTCCATGAGCCCATGTACTACTGCCTGGCCATGTTGGATTCCATTGACCTGAGCTTGTCTACGGCCACCATTCCCAAAATGCTGGGCATCTTCTGGTTCAATATCAAGGAAATATCTTTTGGAGGCTACCTTTCTCAGATGTTCTTCATCCATTTCTTCACTGTCATGGAGAGCATCGTATTGGTGGCCATGGCCTTTGACCGCTACATTGCCATTTGCAAACCTCTTTGGTACACCATGATCCTCACCAGCAAAATCATCAGCCTCATTGCAGGCATTGCTGTCCTGAGGAGCTTGTACATGGTCATTCCACTGGTGTTTCTCCTCTTAAGGTTGCCCTTCTGTGGACATCGTATCATCCCTCATACTTACTGTGAGCACATGGGCATTGCCCGTCTGGCCTGTGCCAGCATCAAAGTCAACATTATGTTTGGTCTTGGCAGTATTTCTCTCTTGTTATTGGATGTGCTCCTTATTATTCTCTCCCATATCAGGATCCTCTATGCTGTCTTCTGCCTGCCCTCCTGGGAAGCTCGACTCAAAGCTCTCAACACCTGTGGCTCTCACATTGGTGTTATCTTAGCCTTTTCTACACCAGCATTTTTCTCTTTCTTTACACACTGCTTTGGCCATGATATTCCCCAATATATCCACATTTTCTTGGCTAATCTATATGTGGTTGTTCCTCCCACCCTCAATCCTGTAATCTATGGGGTCAGAACCAAACATATTAGGGAGACAGTGCTGAGGATTTTCTTCAAGACAGATCACTAACCAGTTGGAGTTTGGAGGGTCTCTCTTAGCATTCATGATGAAGCAGCCACTAGGGAGGAGAGAAGAGACACCAAGGAATTTGGGTACAGAGAAAGTGAGATACCCTGAATAAAATTTAAAATAATTATGAGTGTATTGGTAGATAAATATTATTTCACAGTCACCTTCAGTGAAATGTCCCAACCACAAAATATATCCATTTGTTTGTTTTCATGTTTTTGCTGGGTTTGCTTTGTCTTTTTGTTTCTGGATAAATAGTTGTAATCTTTTAGAAAATGTGGTGTGTATATGTGTTTATGTTCATATGTTCATAGAGAGGAACTGGTAGAAGGCAATTAAATTGACCAGTATGGATTGAATCCTTGCCTGTATTAATTGTTTGAACCAGCACTTTCTATTGATAGGCAAGACTTTTTCTCCTGATGCTCTGTTCTTCCAGAAAGTCTCCTTATCCAGTTTGAGAGAGAAAGGCACATAACATATATTAATGCAGAGTGATAAATCAAAGGACAGACTTATGAATCAGGTAGGGTGTGGTACACATGGTTTATTTGTGGGATAGTGGAGATTTTCTTGTATTATGACCTTTCTAATGTAATTAGGAGAAAAATAAGTTAGTAACTGACATTTCCTCCTCAGTACTGATTTGAATGAACACCAGTCATTTTTCTATGTTGAGCTTTGTTTTTGTTCAAATTAAAATGTAACCTAATTTCTGTTTGGGCATTCATTTTAAGCCATTGATTATTTTCTATTATGTATTTAATCCGCAGATAAATAAGTTAGTGGGGTTAGATTTTATTTTGAATTTCAAGTGATATATAGGCTTATAATTTGGGGCACGTGTGTGTGTGTGTGCATGTGTGTGTATGTGACTTTAAAAAATGGACATTTAACAATAATTCAGATGTATTTAAAAGCAATATACATTCTCCAATTATTTTTTAAATGCACATTCTCTTTACTTTTACTTACTTTTGCGTTCTCAAACAGCTTGTTTTTATAAGAGTTGCATTAAAGTCTCTACAAATTTTGATATACCAATTATATTTTTAATTTCAGTGACCATTGTTGCAATTATTTTGAAGTTATATTTTGAGATGGAGAAATATTCTTGACTCTTATGTATTTTTTCTCTGTTATAATTGGTACTTTGAATTCTATCATTTCATAACATGTCTAATGTGTGTCAACTTTTTATGCATAAAATTTGTTCAGCATATTTATTTAATAGTTTGTGGACACATACTAGTTGTACATATATATGGGGTATTGTGAAATTTTGACACAAGGATACAATGTGTAATGATTATATTAGAAAAATTGGTGTATCTGTCACCTCAAGAATTTATAATTTTTTTGTGTTAGGAAAATTCTACTTCTACTCTGCTAGTTATTTTGAAATATATAATACAGTATTGTTAACTATAGTCACTCAATTATGCTACTGAATGCTAGATCTTATTCCTTGTAACTGTATTTTTGTACCTATTAACCAATCCCTCTATCCTGCCCTCCTCACTACCCTTTACAGCCTGTGGTAACCATCATTCTACTCTGTCTCCATGAGATCAATTTTTTTTAAGCTCCACATAAGAGTGAGGACGTGTGATATTTGCGTGATTTATTTCACTTAACATAATGTCATCCAGTTCCATCCACGTTGTTTGTTCGTTCCTTTCTTTCTTTCTTTTTCTTTTCTTTTCTTTTTTTTTTTTTTTGAGACCTCCCTCTGTTGCCCAGGCTGGAGTGCAGCTGTGTGATCTTGGCTCACTATAACCTTTGCCTCCGCCTCCTAGATTCAAGCGATTCTCCCACCTCAACCTCCCCAGTAGCTGGGATTACAGGCGCCCGCCAACAAGCCCAGCTAATTTTTCTATTTTTAGTAGAGACAGGATTTTGCCATGTTGGCCCGGCTGGTCTCAAACTCCTGACCTCAGTTGATCCGCCTGCCTAGGCCTCCCAAAGTGTTGGCGTGAGCCACGGCACCTGGCCCATGTTGTTTGAAATAACAGGATGTCATCCTTTTTCATCCTTTTTCATGACTGAATAATAATCCATTGTGTATAGGTATACATTTCTTCATATATTTCCCAGATATATGACGTGAATATTATAAGATCTAAAGGCCTGTGCAGCATGGCTATGACTTTCCTAGTGCCTGAAAATGCCATCCAGGAGAGATAGATAGATAGATAGATAGATAGATAGATAGATAGATAGATCGATAGATAGATAAAATCATTGAGATTAAGGATAATGTTGAAACCCAATCCAAGGAAGCTAAGAATCACAATAAAATGATACAGAAGCTGACAGATGAAATAGACAGTATAAAAAAGAATGTAACTGATCTGATGGAGCTAAAAAACACACTGCAAAAACTTCAGAATGCAGTCACAAGTATTAACAGCAGAATAGACCAAGATGGGGAAAGAATCTCAGAGCTTGAAGACTGGATCTCTGAAATAAGACAGTCAGACCAACGTAAAGAAAAAAGAGTAAAAAGGAATAAACAAAACCCTCAAGAAATAAGGAATTACATAAAGAGGCCAAAACTATGAGTCACTGGCAACTGGCATCCCTGAAAGACACTGGGAGAAAAGCAAACAACTTTGAAAACATATTTTATGGTATCATCCATGAAAATTTCAGCAACCTTGCTAGAGAAGACAACATTCAAAGTTAGGAAATGCAGAGAACCCCTGCAAGGTACTACATAAGAAGATCGTCCCCAAGTCACATAATCATCGGGTTTCCCAAGGTTTTAGTAAAAGAAAGAATGTTAAAGGCAGCTAGAGAGAAAGGGCAGGTCACCTACAAAGGAAACCCCATCAAGCTAACAAAATACCTTTCAGCAGAAACCTTAGAAGCCAGAAAAGATTGAAAGTCTACGTCGACATTCTTAAAGACAAAAATCTCCAACCAAGAATTTCATACCCAGCCAAAGTAAACTTTATAAGTGAAGAAGAAATAAGATTATTTTTAGATAAGCAAATCCTGAGAGAATTTAAAACCCCCAGATTTGCCATACAAGAGCTCCTGAAAGGAGTGCTAAATATGGAAACACTCTTACCATCTAATTCAAAAATGCACTTAAGTACATAGACCAGTGACACTATAAAGCAACCACATAAAAAAGTCTGCATAATAACCAGCTAACAACACAGTGACAGAATCTAATCCATACATATCATACTAACTTTTAATGTAAATGGGCTAAAAGCCCCAATTAAAAGGCAGAGTGTCAAGCTGGATAAAGAAGCAAGAGCCAAAGCTATGCTGTCTTTAAGAGATTCATCTCACATGAAATGACACTCAGGCTCAATAAATAAATAAAAGGGGAATGGAGAAAAATCAACCAAGCAAATGAAAATTTAATAGAAGCAGGGATTGCAATCCTATTTTCAGACCAAAAGATAAAAAAAGACAAAGACAGGCATTACATAATGGTAAAGGTTAAATTGAACAAGAAGATCTAACCTAAATATATATTCACCCAAATAAACACAATTAGAAATGGCAAAGGAAATATTACTACTGACCCCATAGAAATATGAATAGCCATCAAAGACTATTATGAATACCTCTATGCTCAGAAACTAGAAAATCTGTAAGAAATGGATAAATTTCTGGCCACATACACCCTTCCAAGTCTGAACCACAAAGAAATTGAATCCTGAACAAAATGATAGTAAGTTCCAAAATTGAATCAGTAATAAATAGCCTACCAAAAAAAATGCTCAGGACCAGATGGATTCACTGTTGAATTTTACTAGATGTACAAAGAAGAGCTGGTACCATTCTTACTGAAACTATTGCAAAATATTGAGGAGGGAGTCCTTCCCAACTCATCTATGAGGCCAGCATCATCCTGATACCGGAACTTGGCAGAGACACAACAAAAAAAGAAAACTTCAGGTCAATATCCCTGATGAACATAGATCCCAAAATTTTCAATAAAATACTGGCAAATCGAACCCAGCAGCACATGAAAAAGCTAACACATTATGATCAAGTAGGCTTTATCACTGGGATGCAAAGTTTGTTTAACATCCACAATCAATAAATGCGATTCATTAGACAAACAAAACTAAAGACAAAAACTACATGATTATTTCAATAGATGCAGGAAAAGTGCTTGATAACATATAACATGCTTTCATGGTAAAAACCCTTAATAAATTAAGTATTGAAAAAACATACTTCAAAATAATATGAGCCATCTATGACAAATCCACAGCCAACATTATGCTGAATGGGTAAAAGCTAGAAGCATTCCCCCTTGAAAACCAGCACAAGACAAGGATGCCTTCTCTCACCACTCCTATTCAACATAGTATTGAAAGTCCTGGCCAGAGAAATCAGGCAAGAGAAATAAATAAAAGGCATCCAGATAGGAAAAGAGGAAGACAAACTACCCCTGCTGGCAGAGGACATGATTCTATTTCTAGAAAACCCCACAGTCTCAGCCCAAAAGCTCCTTCAGCTGATAAACAACTTTAGCATAGTTTCACAACATGAAATCAATATACAAAAATTACTAGCACTCATATACACCAACAGCATCCAAGCCAAGAGCCAAATAAGAAATGTAATCTCATTCACAATTGTCATAAAAAGAATAAAATACCTAGCAATACAGCTAGGCAAGAAGGGAAAAGATCCCTACAATGAAACTTACAAACACAGCTCAAAGAAATCAGAGATGATACAAACAAATGGAAAAACATTCCATGTTCATGGATAGAAAAAAAGAGAATCTGTGAATACTGCCACAATAAACATATGCATGCATGTGTCTTTATAGTAGCATGATTTATAATCCTTTGGGTATATACCTAGTAATGGGATCGCTGGGTCAAATGGTATTTCTAGTTCTAGATCCTTGAGGAATCGTCACACTGTCTTCCACAATGCTTGAACTAATTTATACTCCCACCATGCACAATAGCATAGACTTGGAACCAACCCAAATCCCAAATGTCCATCAATGATAGACTGGATTAAGAAAATGTGGCACATATACACCATGGAATACTATGCAGCCATAAAAAGGGATGAGTTCATGTCCTTTGTAGGGACATGGATGAAGCTGGAAACCATCATTCTCAGCAAACTATCACAAGGACAGAAAACCAAACACCGCATGTTCTCACTCATAGGTGGGAATTGAACAATGAGAACACATGGACACAGGGAGGGGAACATCACACACTGGGGCCAGTCGTGGCATGGGGGGCTGGGGGAGGGATAGCATTAGGAGAAATACCTCATGTAAATGATGAGTTGGTGGGTGCAGCAACCAACATGACACATGTATACCTACCTATGTAACAAACCTGCACATTGTGCACATGTGCCCTAGAACTTAAAGTATAATTTAAAAAAAGATGGGGGGGTAAGGTCAAAAAAAAAAAAGAGAATCTGGGGAACAAAAGTCAGTGATAAAGACTTTATAAACTCCTCTGGGCTTATGTTGTTTTTTTTCAAAATTAGTGGAGATATTATCTTTTTAAAAATAGTTAAAATGTAGTTAAAGAATTGAAAACAATGTATTGGTTATCTTTTATTGTATAACAATCACCGCAGAATTAATCAATTTAAAACAAGAGATGTTATCATCTCACACATTTTCTGAGAGTCAGGAATCCAGTAAAGGTTTAACTAGGGAGGTGTAGCTCAGGTTTTCTTGAGAAGTTACAACTAGTTGTTGGACCTGCCTGAAGTGTCTGAAGACTTGATCAGGGCCGGGGGGTGTTCCTCAAAGCTCATTCAGATGGCTCTTGGGAGGAAGCTTCACTTCATTATCTGGTGAGCCTCTCATTAGATCTGGACATAACACAGCTTCTCCAAAAGTGAGTGAACCACAGTGGGGCTGGAGGAAAGAGGGAAGAAAGAGAGAAAGAGAGAGGTGAAATATAGAGTATCTACTATAATCTAATCTCAGAAGTGACATACCAACAGTTAGTTTAATTTTCTTTTGCTCCAGGTTTATTGAGGTATGATTGACAAATGAAAATTGCATATATTTAATATGTACAATGTAATGTTTAATATATGCATATACTGAAAAATGAGAACCACAGTCAAGCTAATTAATATATCCATCACCTCACATATTTACCTTTGAGTGTATGTGTGTGTGTGTGTTTGTGTTTGAAGAGAACATTTAAAACCTACTCTCAGCAGATTTCAAATATACAATACATTATTCTTAACTATAGTTACCATGCTATACATTAGATCTCCAGAATTTATTCATCTATAGCTGAAAGTCTGTACACCCTCAACAACATCTCCCTATTTTCCCCACTGTCCAAGAGGTCCACCTCTTTCTAGTCCCACTCAGAATAATGAGGGGCTTAGCATGGCTGAGTGGCTGGGGAAGGCTGGGAGCAAGGAAGAGAGGCAGCGACACCCAGCAACTAGTGTCCTGTACAGCTCAGGAAACCAGGTGATCATTCACTACACACTCACTTTCCCTCGTGAGAGGAATTGCTTGCCAAAGGGGCTTTCTTGGCATTGAGCTATGCTGCCTTAGAAAAAGGGTATCACTGCTAAAGGGAAAATGTTTCATTTTACTCTCTTCAATGCGCCTACTCTCAGATTTTTTGCTCCAACAATGTGCTAGAACTTTTTCACTGGACTCCCAGACTCACACAAGGATTCTCTTGCTCATGAGTTATTGTCAAAATCAATGCTGGTAGTCAGATGACAATAGAAAACTCTAATTCCATCATCTTGCTGACATCACTCCCCAACACTTCTGCCACGTTTTATTGGTCACACAGAGCAGCCCTGGTATGATTGTAGGAGGGAACTACGTGAGGGTGTGAATGTTGAGAAGAAGGGTGTCTTTAGGGCCATCTTGAGACCTGCTATCATAAACTTCTAAAATAGTTTAAAATAAAAAATAGATTAAAATATTATTTTAAAAGGTGTACAAGGAAACTTCCGAAGGTCATGAATGTGTTCATTAACTTAATTGTGGTGATGCTTTCATGCCTATAAATGTATCTTAAACTTATCAATTTACATTTAATATACAAAGCTTATTGTACATCAATTCCTCAGAAAAGATGACAAAATAATAACAAGAGTGCTCCATTACTTTTATTTGGGAAGGAGGACATCTGAAGAATATCTAGAGGAAAGTGGCAATACCAGATGCCATGCTGCTTCAAATCACACTTACAATTCTTAATCCAACAGCAAACGTATCAAGTGCCAACATTATGTTAGTTGCTATTCTAGACAATAGTGATATAGATATAAGATATAGCCCATATAAACTGACAGTCTGGAACAGGGAAGGAAATACAGAAATAAAACATCTTTCTGGGTTCCCTCGTTTTACTTTTGGCAAGAGAAAATGTGAATCTTACATTTCCCCAGTGCTTAGCAACACTTAATTTGGCTTCTTATTATCTTCAGTATAGAATCCAAAACCTTAGTCTGGCATGCAGATCCTATATGATCTGACTCTATCTTACTTCTTTATCATTCACTAAAACACTATCCACATTCTATATCTTAGTAGCAATGAATTGCTTGCATTTTAAAAATGCATTATGGTCTCTCTCACCACTAGAAATTTTCACATACTGTTCCATCTGATTCAAATGACATGAACCGTCTATTTTCCTTCCTCCTATTATATTTTCATAAAAAACTCTTAAAGAGAGCTATCATTGAGTCCAGCCTGGGCAACATGGCAAAACCCCATCTCTACTAAAAACACAAAAAATTAGACAGACATGGTGGTGCACACTAATAGTCCCAGCTACCAGCTACTCAGGAGGCTGAGGTGAAAGAATCACCTAAGCCTGGGAGGTCAAGGTTTCAGTGAACCACGATCGTGTCACTGCACTCCAGGCTGGGCAACAGAGTGAGACTGTATCACCAAAAAAAAAAAAAAAAAGAGAGAGAGAGAGACATCAACATACAAACTATTCTTTGATTTTCCCCTAATCTTCTGAAATTTTTAGGCAATGATGATTACATAATTAAATATATTCTAAAAATATCTTTCTTGAAAATACACTAAGATAACCAATATATTTGCACTCATTTTTCTTCTTAAATTTTCTATTATAAATTGACAGTTTATAATTGTATAAATTTATGGGGTACAAAGTGACATTTTGATTTACAAATCCATGGTGGAATAATTAAATCAAGATAGTTGACATATCTACCACTTCAAATACTTAACATTTTTGTGGTGAGCAGATTTGAAATTTATGTTCTTAGCAATTTTGAAATGCGCAATGCTCTATTCTTAACTATATTCATCATACGGTGTAAGAGAACTAAAAAAATTTCCTCCTTTCTAATTGAGATTCTGTATGCTTTGACCGTCATCTCCCCACTACCCCCAAGCCCGGCCTCTGTAACCGCCATTCTACTCTCTGCTTCTATGAGTTCTATTGTTTTAG
This sequence comes from Homo sapiens, assembly GCF_000001405.40. Classification (NCBI taxonomy): domain Eukaryota; kingdom Metazoa; phylum Chordata; class Mammalia; order Primates; family Hominidae; genus Homo; species Homo sapiens. Next base: position 5,832,514 of record NC_000011.10, on the reverse strand, counting down.
ATTCCACATGTAAGTAAGTACATGCGGTATATGTCTTCCTGTGCCTGGCTGATACCACTTAGCATAATGTTATCCAGCTGCATTTGTGTTGTTGCAGATGACAGAATTCTCTTCTTTTTTAAGGCTGAATAGTATTCTATTATGTATGCCTCCCACATTTTCTTTATTAATTCATCTGTTGATGGACACCTATGTTGATTCTGTAAAGTGGCTAACATGAATAGTGCTGCAGTAGACATGGGAGTTCACACATGTCTTTGACAAACTGATTTCAAACCTTTTGGGTAAATACCTATATGTTGGATCACATGGTAAATCTATTTTTAGTTTTTTGAGGAGCCACTATAAAATTTTCCATAAGGGCAGTACTAATTTACCTTTCTACCAACAGTGTACAAAGGTTTACCGCTGCAGGCTCTGTGAGACAGCCAAAAAACTTTGAGTGCCCAAAGTGTGAGGGGAAATGTCTGCCCCCAAACACACATCCTCACTGGGGAAACTGAAGGTCCAGTTCATGGGAGAAGGATTTGACCTTAACTGGAGCTGAAACACATTTAGAGAGCCGAGTGAAATAAAAGGGTAGAGGAAGCAGCCAAAAGAGCCCTGTGGGCACTCTCAGTCCCCAGGAAAGCCATTCCTGACTGCCAGCGGAATTGGGGAAAGACCACAGGGAGAAGGAAACTTTCAGCTTAACTTTGTAATAATTTCAACCAAATGCAAAGTTTCTTGGATAGAATCTGGGGGAGGAGACAAACAGGGATCACAGATATGAGCACAGAAACTGCAGCAGTTTCTGGGAGGCATGAAACCTGAAAGCCCTGCTTCCTTTCTCAGTGGGGAGGCTTGTAGCCTGGGGCAAGCTCTCAGCCCTGCTCGCCGGCTGCCTTGAAATAAACTCGGTGCTGTTAGGGATGAATGGTGGAAGTTGGGCTGGCCTTTCGAGCTGTGTGGGAGCTGGGTGAGGCCTGTCATTGCCACCTTTCTCCCACTTCCCTGGCAACCTGTATGACACAGCAGAGGCAGCTATAATCCCCCTGGGAACATAACTCCACTGGCCTGAGAACCCCCTCTTCCCCTACAGAGGCCAGAGCAAGCCCCGCCTAAGGAGGGGCTTGTATCCTCCCTATACTACCACAGCTAGTATCCTCTCTCCCTGTATATATATCAGCTTGCGTCCTCCCTATACTACCACAGCTGATGTTCTTTTGAAAGTACCACCTCCTGACTGGAGGCCAACCAACAAAAAAACCAGCATACTAAACAAAACTGTAAACAAGGACCCTCACAGAGTCCACTTCACTCCACTGCTACCTCCATTGGAGCAGTTGCTGGTATCCACAGTTGGGAGACCTGAAGATGGATCACATCACAGGACTCTTTGCAGACACTCCCCAGGACCAGCCTGGAGCCCAGTAGCCCTGCTGGGTGGCTACGCAGAAGAGAAATAACAATCTCTGCAGTTTGGCTCTCAAGAAGCCCAATGCCTAGGGAAAGAGGGAGAGTGCCACATGAAAGGAGCACCCCATGAGACAAAAGAATCTAAGGAGCAGCCTTGAGCCCCAGATCTTCCCTCTGACATAATTTACCCAAATGAGAAGGAACCAGAAAAACAATTCCAGTAATATGACAAAACACTGTTTCATAACACCCCAAAAGATCACAATAGCTCACCAGCAATAAATGCAAACCAAGAAATCTAAATTGCCAGAAAAAGAATTCAGAAGGTCAATTATTAAACTACTTAAGGAGGCACCAGAGAAAGGTGAATACCAAGCCGCTCAGCAGAATCTAACTAGTGCCTTATGATCTGAGGTGGGACAGTTTCATCCTGAAACCAACCGCAGCCTCTGCTCCCCTATCCCTGGAAAAATTGTCTTCCACAAAACAAGTCCCTGGTGCCAAAAAGGTTGGAGATCGCTGCGATAAATAACTACTTTTCAAGTTCATCCTGCTTTCTTTTTGCTGGTTAGGTTGGTAATTGTGTTGGGGATGGGGCATGGTGGGTAGAATCTAAAACATGTTGAATTACTTCTTTTAACAAGGCATGCTACTTATCCTCCCTTACCTTTTAAGGTAAGTGGCCTTCCCAATTATGTCTGTGGATGTAATGCTGAACACTTAGGTAATCACTTTTTTGCTACTCTGATGTTTAATTTCTCCTTTCAGTCTCTGGGATGCTTTTTCTTAATTTTTTTTTTTTTTTTTTATAATGGCTTCCAGCTCCGTCCATATCCCTGCAAAGGACATGGTCTCATTACTGTTTTTTTTAATTATTATTATACTTTAAGTTTTAGGGTACATGTGCACAACATGCAGGTTTGTTGCATATGTATACATGTGCAATGTTGGTGTGGTGCACCCATTAACTCGTCATTTAGCATTAGGTATATCTCCTAATGCTATCCCTCCCCACTGCCCCCACCCCACAACAGGCCCCGGTGTGTGATGTTCCCCTTCCTGTGTCCATGTGTTCTCATTGTTCAATTCCCACCTATGAGTGAGAGCATACGGTGTTTGGTTTTTTGTCCTTGCGATAGTTTGCTGAGAATGATGGCTTCCAGCTTCATCCACGTCCCTACAAAGGACATGAAGTCATCATTTTTTATGGCTGCATGGTATTCCATGGTGTAGATATGCCACATTTTCTTAATCCAGTCTATCATTGTTGGACATTTGGCTTGGTTCCAAGTCTTTGCTATTGTGAATAGTGCCGCAATAAACATACGTGTGCATGTGTCTTTATAGCAGCATGATTTATAATCCTTTGGGTATGTACCCAGTAATGGGATGGCTGGGTCAAATGGTATTTCTAGTTCTAGATCCCTGAGGAATTGCCACTAATTTTCCTCTCCACTTTGAACAACTGTGAGCAGATTATTTGTGTAGCTATTCCCCATCCCACTGCAGGGTGCTCTGCTTTATCTGGCTATTTCTCAGGAATTAACAATAAAAAGATTCCTGTCTTTTCCAGGAGAGGCAGCATGTCCTGTTGAGTGCTGTGCTTCTTCCAGGACCTGACACCATGTGTCTATATCATGGGAAATCACCCTACAGCTGCTAAAAATTCTATCATTTGGAATGGCCTTGAATTTCTTTAATAGAACTTCTTTTTGTCTTAATATTGTAGTAGGTCTAAAATATTCCCAGAAAATGATTTTTAAACTTCCTCTGAGAAATGTATGGATTTTAAAATCTATGTTGGTGTCTTACAATCTTTTCTCAGAAATTATTTTATTTTTTTCTTTTAATTCTTCTTATTTAAATTTTTTTTATCTCATAGCATCTTCAGGATTTTGACAACATACATTTATTCTTCTTCATAGAACGTCTTTTTTAGGCTTGAGGTTTATTTTCTAAAACATTCATCACATTCTACAATCAGTGATTACGAATAATTGAATGTTAAATGTGTCTTTAAAGAATTATCATTTAAAATAAAAATTGTACAATATAGCCCTTATTCTCAAATTTCTTAGAATCTACTCCTCTTTCATATTAGCAAAGTCTTCATATTTTTAAATACAGAGTACTCACATTCAGAATTCATGAAGCAGTAAGCAAAACTTGAGTCCAAACAGGTGCTTTCACTACAACACAGCTCCTAATATTGGTGAGACTATCTAGTAAGGGCTAAGATCACAGGCTTGAACACCATAGGGTCCCTGAACTTGACTTTATTTCTTGGCCTTGTTTTCATCTCAAATCTGGAATAGCTGCCCCAAAACTGCAAATGGCTAAATGACCACTAACATCTCTACTGAATTTTTCCTGTAGAGAGGTTAATTCCTGAAACTTTTTCCCCTTCTCTAATTTTATCCAACGAGTAGCTGCTACAGGGTGTTTGAAAAACTCTAGATTGAGTCAAAATTTGTAAAATAGAAACATTTTCATCATGAAAATGACATAGCTATTTTCTGAGTATGACATCTTACACAGCAAAATCAGAAAAGATACCTTGACTTCACATTTTTTAAAAGGACAAAGAGAACAAGTGCTGATGAGACTATGAAGAAAAAAAACTCTGGTACATTGTTGATGAAAGTGTAAACTAATATAGCTATTATGGAAAAAAAAAAGTATGGAGGTTCCTCAAAATATAAAAAATAGAATACCATAAGATCCAGCAATCCCACTTCTGGGATTATATCAAAAGGAAATGAAATTAATATGTCAAAAAGATGTCTACACAACCATATTCATAGTTACATTATTCAAAATATCCAAGAGGTGGAAACAATGCAGGTGTCCATTGACAGGTTAACAGATAAAGAAAATGTGATACATACACACAAATACTATTCATCCTTAAAAATGAAGGAAACCCTGTCATTTTTGACAATGTGAGTGAACTTGGAGGACATTATGCTTAAGTGAAAAAAGGCACAGAAAGACAACTACTGTATAATCTCATTTATACGTGAAATCTAAAAAAGTTCATAATATATTATAAAATGAGTGCTATAAAAATTTACAATATAATCACACTTTTTAAAAAATGTCACATTAAGATCTTTATTCCCTTTGCCTAGTTGGCTCCTTCTCTACTTTCAAGTGGCAATTTGAATGTTCTTTTCTCAATAATGAGTTTTCTACCCACCTTGTCTAAGTTAGAGCCCTTGTGATAGGCTTTCATTACATCTACCACATAGCAGACAATTATCCTGGTATTTGAGACACTTCAGTAAGCAAATCAGGTAAAGATCCCTGTCTTTGTGGTGCTAGGTGCTAATAATCTTTTTTTTTTATTATTTTTCTCCTTTTTTTTTTTTTTGTGAGACAATCTCACTCTGTTGCCTAGGCTGGAGTGCAGTGGCACAGTCTTGGCTCGTTGCAACCTCTGCCTCCCAAGTTCAAGTGATTCTCATGCCTCAGCCTCCCAAGAAGCTAGGTGTATTAGTCGGTTTTCATACTGCTGATAAAAATATACCTGAGACTGGGCAATTTACAAAAGAAAGAGGTTTAATGGACTTACAGTTCCACATGGTTGGGGAGGCCTCACAATCATGGCGGAAGGTGAAAGGCATGTCCAACACGGTGGCAGACAAGAGAAGAGGGCTTGTGCAGGGAAACTCCCATTTTTAAAACCATCAGACCTCCTGAGACTTATTCACTATCATGAGAACAGCACAGAAAGGACCCACCCCCATGGTTCAATTACCTCCCTCCAGGTTCCTCCCATGTAGGAATTGTGGAAGTTACAATTCACGATGAGATTTGAGTGGGGACACAGCCAAGCCATATCATTCTGACCCTGACCCCTCCTAAATCTCATGTCCTCACATTTCAAAACCAGTCATGCCTTCCCAACAGTCCCCCAAAGTCTTAACTCATTTCAGCATTAACTCAAAAGTCCACAGTCCAAAATCTCACCTGAGACAAGGCAAGTCCCTTCCACCTATGAGCCAGTAAAATCAAAACCAAGTTAGTTACTTCCTAGATACAATGCGGGTACCGGCATTGGGTAAATACAGCCATTCCAAATGGGAGAAATTGGCCAAAACAAAGGGGCTACAGGCCCCATGCAATTCCAAAAGCCAGCAGGGCAGTCAAATCTTAAATCTCCAAAATGATCTCCTTTGACTCCTTGCCTCACATCCAGGTCATGCTGATGCAAGAGGTAGATTCACATGGTCTTGGGCAGCTCTGCCCCTGTGGCTTTGCAGGGTGTAGGCCCCCTCCTGGCTGTTTTCATGGGCCAGCATTGAGTGTCTGCAGCTTTTCCCGGTGCACAGTGCAAGCTGTTGGTGGATCTACCATTCTGGGGGATCTGGAGGACTGTGGCCCTCTTCTCACAGCTCCACTAGGCAGTGCCCCAGTAGGGACTCTGTGTGGTGGCTCCAACCCCACATTTCCCTTCCACACTGCCATAGCAGAGCTTCTCCATGAGGACCCCACCCATGCAGCAAATTTCTGCCTGGACATCCAGGCATCCTCTGAAATCTAGATGGAGGTTCCCAAACCTCAGTTCTTGACTTCTGTACACCCACAGTCTCAACACCATGTGGAAACTGCCAAGGCTTGGGGATTCCACCCTCTGAAGAAACAGCCCAAGCCGTACCTTGGCCTCTTTTAGTCATGGGTGGAGCAGCTGGGATACAGACACCAAATCCCTAGACTGCACACAGCAAAGGGACCCTGGGCATGTCCCATGAAACCATTTTTTTCTTCCTAAACCTCCCAGCCTGTGATGGGAAGGGCTGCTTCAAAGGTCTCTGACATGCCCTGGAGACATTTTCCCCATTGTCTTGGTGATTAACATTTGGCTCCTCGTTACTCATGCAAATTTCTGCAGCCAGCTTGAATTTCTCCTCAGAAAATGAGTTTTTCTTTTTTTATCTCATTATCAGGCTGCAAATTTTCTGAACTTTTATGCTCTGTTTCCTTTTTAAAACTGAATGCGTTTAACAGCACCCAAGTCACATCTTGAATTTTTTGCTCCTTAGAAATTTCTTCTGCCAGATACCCTAAATCATCTCTCTGGTTCAAAGTTTTATAAATCTCTAGGGCAGGGGCCAAATGCTGTGTCTCTTTGCTAAAACATAACAAGAGTCACCTTTGCTCCAGTTTCCAACAAGTTTCTCATCTCCATCTGAGAGCCCCACAGCCTGGATTTCACTGTCCATATCATTATCAGCATTTTGGTCAAAGCCATGCAACAAGCCTCTAGGGAGTTCCAAACTTCCCACATTTTTCTGTCTTTTTCTGAGCCCTCCAAACTGTTCCAACCTCTGCCTGTTACCCAGTTCCAAAGTTGCTTCTACATTTTCAGGTATCTTTTCAGCAGCACTCCACTGTTCTGGTACCAGTTCACTGTATTAGTCTGCTTTCATGCTGCTGATAAAGACATACTTGAGACTGGGCAATTTACAAAAGAAAGAGGTTTAATGGACTCACAGCTCCACGTGGCTGGGGAGGCCTCACAATCATGGTGGAAGGTGAAATGCATGTCTCACCTGGTGGCAAACAAGAGAAGAGAGCTTGTGCAGGGAAACTTCCATTTTTACAACCATCAAATCTCCTGAGACATACTCACGATCATGAGAACAGCATGGGAAAGATCCACCCCCATGATTCAAGTACCTCTCACCAGGTTCCTCCCATGACATGTGGGAATTGTGGAAGTTACAATTTAAGATGAGATTTCCAGAGGGACACAGCCAAACCATATCACTGGGATTAGAGGCATGTGCCACCATGCCCAGCTAATTTTTGTATTTTTAGTAGAGACTAAAATACATGTTGGCCAGGCTGGTCTTGAACTCTGGCCTCAAGTGATCCACCCACCTCGGCCTCCCAAAGTGCTGGGATTACAGGCACGAACCAGTGTCCCTGGCCTTGTGGTACTAATAATTTAAAGAGCATGATTGGAGAGGACATCCAATAACAGTTAACATAATAAATATATAAAATTTTATAATGATTTAGAAATGAATGTGCTCTATAAAAATATGAGAGTAAGAAAAACTTGGGAGCACTAGGTACACTTTTAAATATGGTGTTCAAGGTATAAATCTTTGATGTGGTCATCACTGAGCAAGAAATTATGCTTCTGTTCATAGCGGGAAGAAACTCAGAGGTTGCAATATAAAGTATTTAACTCCTCTAATTTGTCTTCGTGGCTTTTGTAGAAGTCATTTGTTAGGATGAGTTAGAAAATGCAGAAATGTTTAGTCTTATGACTATGTACATTTGTGTAATACCATGTGGCACTTTCAGAATTTGATGTTAACAGTGGAGGGTGTCCAGGTTCTTGGCGTCTTGAACAAAGAATTGGACAAAATGCACAAACAAAGCAAGGAAGGCATGAAGGGATTTATTGAAAATGAAGGTACACTCCACAGTGTAGAAGCAGCCTGAGCATAGAGGCTCAAAGGCCCTGTTACAGAGTTTTTGTGAGTTTAAATACCCACTAGTTGGGGTACACTGTATGTAAATGAAGAGGATCAAGTAAAGTTACAAAGTCATTTACTCAGTGTATGCCCTATGGAGAGGGTATTTCCTCTATAGCTGAAGTGTGGATCAGCCTTATGTTCCCTGCCTCCAGACCCTATCTTCCTGCCTCAATGGCAGCCCTTCATATTCTAATAAGCCATTTTCTGAAAAAAAATCTGTCACTTTGTCCAGTGCCGGGCCATCACTGGAGGACTTTATACCATCCCAATCATAAAGTGCATACTACAAATTCTTTAAATTTTTAAATTCCTTGTAGAAATGGTCCAGTGTATTATAGTCATTAAAATTAAAGACACTGGAACCAGACTGCCTGGGTTTAAATTCAAGACCTACCACTCGCTGATTATATGACTTTCATTAACTTATTAACCTCTCTGTGGCTCAGAGAGATTATCTTATCTGTAAGTTTGCTTATCTGTAAACTGGACATAAAATAGTACCATCCTTACAGTTGGTTTTAGGATTAAATGAGAATGCAATACAGTAATACATTTCTGGAAAATAAATGCTATGTACTTTTTGTTGTTATTGTTGTTGCTATTATCTTGAAACTGTGTGTGTGTGTGTATGTGTGTGTGTGTGTTTGTGTGTGTGAGAACAGTTAACACTTTGAAAGTAAGTAAGTATGGAGGAAGACATAAGGGATCTCTACACAGGAATGCCTTGAGTTCTGAAAAGAACCTGGGTTGGTGCATGAAAAAGCAAGTAAAAACTAAGAAAATGAGTTTTAGTGGAAGAAAGAAGAAAGTTGGGGAGGAAAAAACAGAGGGAGACAGGATTTAAGAGGCAGTGGTTATGGCGGAGATGTGAGCAGTCCAGAAGGGTAACGAATGGGGCAACAGCTGCTTAAAGTTGAAGGGTGATTCTAATATACTTAGTATCTCTCAGATGAAGAGCAATGTGGGGCATGCCTGAAGTTGTGACAAGACTCACAAAGCACTTCCTGATAGGACCTCTGTCTACCTTTCTAGTCACATTTTTTACTCCTCACCCTTTCTCTTTTACCTCTGAATATACAAAAACCTTTGTGAACCTAAACTTGCTATTCTTTGTTCAGCCTTAATATTAGAGCTAGGTTGTTTATTTTTTTCCAAATAATTTCCATCTGCTTTTCCTTGTAGGACACTTATACATATAATTCGAGATTGACCCTATATACTATTTTCCCTGTAAAATCTTTACTCACTACCTCCAATAGATATTGATGATCATGCTCTCAGGATTCATGAGTTTTGTGAACATCTGTGATGTACAATTACCTTGTTATCATTTTATAATGATTCCATTGCATTTTATATCCTCTACTAGACAAGGAATTAGCTAGTGTTTTTGTTTTCATTTACATTTCTCAGCGTGGAGTAGGCACATGGAGTCAGGCACATGATTGTACCCAGAAAAACTTGTTGGCTGACATTGATAGTATGTTTGTGAGAACTCAGTGAAAACTTGCCCATGGCTGGGCATAGTGGCTCACACCTGTAATCCCAGCACCTTGGGGTGCCAAGGCAGGCGAATCTCCTGAGCTCAGGAGTTCAAGACCAGCCTGAGCAACATAGTGAAACCCTGTTTCTACCAAAAATACAAAAAAATTAGCTGGGCATGGTGGGGCATGCCTGTGTCACAACTACTCAGGAGGCTGAGGTGGGAGGATCACTTGAGTCCAGAAGGCAGAGGTTGCAGTGAGCCGAGATGATGCCACTGCAGCCTAACCTGAGTGACAGAGTGAGACCCCATCTCAAAAAAAAAAAAGAAAAGAAAGCTTGTCCACACAAAACTGATACTGCACTGTGCACTGCCTGTACAACTGGAAAGATTTATCCTCAAACTATGATTTTCATAATGAATCAGAGTTGAAACTAATAGCTCATAAAAATAACTAAAATTTATTGAATGGTTAGTATACATCAGAGATTGTGCTACAAGCTTTTTTTGCATCAGAGCATTTAATTAGAAGAAACATCTCTGTGATACATTTTCTTTTTCACATTTGGAAGAAAATATGGAAGTCAAAATTTAGAGAGATTATGTAGCCTGTCCAACTCTAGTGGCTAGAAATTAAAAGACAGAGGACTTAACACTTGAGATGAATTGAATCTGAAACTGATGTTATATTTCCCCCAATTCTTTCCTACAAACTTTTTATTTCCTTCACACTGCATTCATTTTTTCTCTCTCCCCTTTCTTTTATATGTATTTCTTCTCACACATCCCTGGCTACAGTCCAGATTCTGAGTATCTTGAAACCAGGAACCGTATCATCTGCCTCCCTCTCAATAAATCTAAGATATGACTAATAATATTGCTTAAATTAGTGTTTCAAAAAATGAATTGATGAGTGAATGAATAAATAAATTATAATATATACTAATAGCTTAATGGTTTGCCTGCTTGGTCAATAACATGACAATTATATTTTCAGATCCATTTTATAATTTATTTATTTATTTTATTTTTACTTTAGATTCAGAGTGTACATGTGTAGGTTTGTTACAAGGTTATATTACATGATGCTGAAGTTTGGGCTTCTGTAGATTTTTTCACCCAGATAGTGAATGTAGTATCCAACAGAAAGCTTTTCAGTGTTTATTCTTCCCGCTCCTTTCGAAGAACCTGGAGTCTATTGTTCCCATTTAGATCCATTTTAAATGGAGACCCTAAACTGATGACTTGGGAAAAACAGAACCCTTGGACATTCTTCTGTGAATTATAGGGTATTTTAACACATATTTTGCTGACAATTAAAATGGGGAGATTTCATAGAACATATAAATCTAGCTTGTCTTTAAAAAATACTGAAAAATAGTGAACACTGGACCCACGTTTCTCTATGTCTCTACAGCCTCCCCACTTACACGCAACGCAGGGATTGTCAGCAGGTCTGCTGTCCTTATTTTACTACCTTTCTGGTCTCACAAACATGTGAGTCTATAAACGCTTAGGAAAAGCATCAACTCTTTAAGTAATGGGTATATTACTTCTTTATTTTGCATTCTCTGCTTTGGCAGATCCTTGCCCCCACTCCCAACACACACAAATTCAAGAACTTGCAGAGACTTCAGAAAATTGACATATTATGGTGACTTACAAATTTATGTCTTTATTTTGATTTTTTATTTCTATTTTTATTTTAGGTACACGTGCAAGTTTGTTACATGGGTAAATTACATGTCATGATTTTAATACCATTTTATTCACATCTTTTATGAAATTTTGTCTCCATTATTTTCTCACCACCTGAAACAATATGTCTATTCTATGTTTCATTTGTCATAGGTAAAACTAACCTTGTCTCCAAGTAAAAATTTAATTACACCTTCCTGAATCTGCTTGGTCTTGACTCCATAAACAATTGGGTTCATGGTAGGAGGCAGTAGCAGATAAAGGTTGGCCACGATGATGTGTATGTGGTTTGGGATATTGTGTCCTACAAAACGATGAGTGAAAAAAGTGAAAAAAGCAGCAACATAGGTGATCACAATGGAACACATGTGAGATGTGCAGGTGCTGAAGGCTTTGTGACGAGCATCTGCTGATGACAGGCTCATAACAGCCTGCAAAATCATAGTGTAAGATACAGAGATACAGCAGATATCAAACACACCAATCAGGAGAGCAACCATCAGACCATAAATAGCATTGACCTTGAAATTGCCACAGGATACCTTGGCCACAGACATATGGTCACAGTAGGTGTGGGGGATGAAGTTCCCCCGGCAATAGGGCAGGCGCTTGGTGAGGAGAGTGAATGGGATGATGAGCATCACATTCCTCAAGAAGGTGGCAAGACCAGCCTTGGCGATGACAGGGTTGGTAAGGATGGTGGCATAGCGTAAGGGGTAGCAGATGGCCACATAGCGGTCCAGGGCCATGAGCATGAGCACCCCAGACTCCATCCCTGTCAGCATATGGACAAAAAACATCTGGGCCAGGCAGGCGTTAAAGTCAATCTCCTTGAGGTTGAACCAGAATATGCACAGCATATTAGGTACCATGGTGGTGCACAAGGTGACATCAGTGAAGGAGAGCAGGGCCAGGAAGTAGTACATGGGCCGGTGCAGGGCCTCCTCATGGCTGATGAGGCAGATGAGCCCACAGTTCCCCACGACAGCAATGATGTACATAAAGCAGAATGGCAGGGAGATCCAGATGTGTGTGGCTTCCAGCCCAGGAACGCCATTCAAGATAAAGAATCCTGGGGTCAGGCTGGAGCTGTTGTCCCCAGACATGATGGCTGACAGGAGGAGAGCATTTTATACTCTTTAGCAGCCATTGCTTTCTGCCTAGGAGAGGGAGAGGGAGAGTTAGAGACGAGATAAGAGGTACTGGTTTGGACAAAGTGAACCTCAAGTGCCATGTACATTCACCTTACATTGATAACCAGAAATTCTTTCTTCCAACTATAGCAAGAAAGACTTTGAACTACAGTGTCCAAAGTCACTAAGCAGTACAGTCTTACCACTACTCAATGTGCCATTGCAAACTTTGATTAACTATCCTCACTTACCACACCTCTCCCCAGCACAACTCTTATACTGTACTACATTCTGATAACAAATTGTGAGTTAGGCTGTAACTGTCTTCCTCCTTCAATAAGTCCATTTCTATTCTGTGCTCTCAGAATCTTCCCATTCTAATTGTACCTGAGTCTTGTCACTGAAATCACATGGGTATAATTACAGCATCACCCTAATATGACCAGTTCTTATCAGTAGCTTAACTTTCCGTTTTTAACAATATCTCAAATATTAGCACTTTTCCCCTGCCTTGATAACAAAAAATGCTTGTATTCTATATATAAGATGTCAGTAATGTCCCACATAACTTACTCAAGATAATACATAGTAGATAATAAAATATATGTGAATGAGTGAATACATGAGTTAAGAATTTGGTATGTCTGATACTCAAACTCTATCTGATGTCAAAATCATGTTTTTCTATACCATGGAATTTGAAAGGAAGTTCTTGACAAGAAACAGGAAGATATTTACAATTCTAAATCATTAACAAGTTTTACGTAAGTTTAGTAGTGATTTTGCTAAAGATCTAAATTCAATTAGGTATAAAATTTGGCTTCTCTATCTTTTCACAAGTTCCCTATCCATTCTCAATACTAAATTTACACTCAAAAAGCCCTTGAAGTTCTGGGATTATTGACTGTTTGTACTGCTTTAATTTAGTATTATTTTTGTTATAACTGAAAGGAAGTCAATTAAAAAATAGCACCACATCTTTGGATTGCTATTTCTTGATGGAGCAGTAGAAAGAATTGAATAGTATTTGAAGGAATTTATAGCTTCAGGGGTGTTTGAAGAAAGTTGAAGTGTCCTAATTATTCAATTTTTTTTTTATTCGGAATAAAACCCTAATCCTTAAGTTCTGTAGTAGACCCCATGGAGCAAAGCCAATGCCAAACATTCCTCACTATCTAGCAGAAATAGATATACATTTGCAGTGTGATGGCATGGATTACATGGTTGTGAATCCACAAGGCTTAGAGTTCTGTGACCGAAACATTCTAGAAATCACTGCAGTTGTCATGTCCACTGGCTAGAGTACATGGAAATTTCCAATGATGGAGGGAAATGTAAAGCAACCACATGTTTCAGAAGCTCGTGATCTCTGAATACTACCTGACTGGATCTCATATAAATAATCCCTTCTTATAAGGAAGTTCTCACAGTACCTCTCCAGAATGTCACTGTTTCAAGAAACCATCATTTTATGTTCTTAGACAAGACAAACTTAAAGATTAAAATTTCTAGTGTCTACCATCTTTTATGTGTACACCACATTGAAATGAATGGAATGAAAAGAAAATAAGATTAAGTCCAGTGGAAGCCACCCAGAAAGAAAAAGAGCCATTACCTCTTAAGAAGTGAAAGAGAAAGTAAAAAACATTGCCCCTTACTGCTATTACTTTTTAAAACTGTTTCAGTGTATCAGGCTGTTGCATTCTTTGCCAAAAATGTCTTTACCCTTTCCTAAAATAGGGATTTATGAAAATTGACCAATCTCACCTCAGTGCTAGGCACAATCAAATCTCTGTGCATGGCTGAGAATCTTTAGGAGTTGTTTGAAATCTAGGATGACATCTTCTTACATAAAATTTTTTGTTTCCCTGGGGAATTTCCAACAAGATGCCCCAGGCTGATTTAGTCTCCACAATTAGGTGTCTCCGTGGGTTCTGTTTAAAAGAGAGTGAACTTTGGGCCTGCTGGTAATAGATGTATATTTAGCAGCTTTTGAGTAGAGAAAGTTTAATGCCTTTTCCCAAGTGGGAAATATGGTCACCAAGTCTGGTCATGAAAAACATAATTTTTTAAAACTTTTTTTTTCCTCTTACAACAAGAGAAGTATGTCTTTAATATAGAAAATTTGGAAACTATGGAAAAGTATAATAAAGAGTTGAAAATCACTTGTAATTCTAAAACAGAGGAATAAGCCCTCTAAAAAGTTTTCTGTGCTTAATTCAATCACTTTATAATTATTATGTATAATATTCCGATATTTCAAAAAAGTAAATTGCAGATGATATGGAGTTGTATACATTGTTTCTATCTCCAGCTAGTATTATTTTGTGCACATTTCATCATGACATTGTATATGCTTTGAATTAAAAAGTTTAATAGCTAGACCTTCTTTCCATCCAATAGCTGTACCAAATTTAATCATGTGTTTTATTACTCTTGAATATTTGTTTCCAAATTTTTCTATCAAATATAATTCCTCAATGAATATCTTAATCCACTCTGTATGCATTTCTGATTTTTCTTCTCTACCGATAGATAGAAATGTTATTGAAGTTTATGGGCTCAAAAGGCATGCACAATTTTAATTGTGTTGATAAACGTTAGAAAAAATCATTTCAATAAAATCTGTGGTGATGTTCATTTCCATGCAAAGCGACTGAACCATGCCCCCAAGAATACTATTATATACCTTCTTTCCCAAGCTTCACTAGTGCAAATACTGTCTCACTTGTA